>NC_000014.9:67187470-67490500 GCF_000001405.40 Homo sapiens
GCCACTGCCACTACCATGGCTTCTGCATCTCCAGAATTGCCCTTCCCAAATCTATCCTTCACTCTGCTCTCAGAATGATCAATTCAGAACATAAATCTCTCCATGTAACACTCTTTATTAGAGCTACTGGAGCAGATGAAGTCCCAGCACCTAGTTATGGCTTTCAAAGCCCTCCATCATCTAGGCTCTTCTTCCGTGAACTTCATTTTCTTTCAACCCTTCAACTTTATGTAACACCAGACCATTTGTAGTTACCCCTCAAACCCTGTCATTTTATGCCTCTGTGCCTTTGCTCAGACTGACTAATCTTTCAGGATTTAGCTTGGATATTAGCTCCTCCATGAAACCGTCCCTAAATCCTCCAATTGGACTAAGTACCCTTCATCTGTGCTCCTAGAATCCCCTGTCACCCCTCTATCTTATCACTACATAACACTGAAATAATCTGTTTACATGACCCCTTCTCCACTTGATGGTAAACTTCTTGAGTGCAGAGACTGTTCACCTTTGTGGTCCAGCATGGCATGGTGCCCAGGAAATAGTAAGTACTCATTACTGAGCTGACCAAAAGAATGTACCTTGCATTGCACTCACCAGGGACTGAATGTGGCAGGAAAGCTTCATATCCCAAGCTTAGGACATGCAGCTGAGAAGATCCCATGCAGGCGTGAATAGGCAGGCCCATCTCATGAGGGACAAAGAGGGCTAATTGCTCACGGACCTCACTTTGACAAAGTGCCACAAATTCAGACTTACAATCTCCAAATGAAGTTATACATACAGTTTTATATTTTGTGCATCTTTAAAAGCATTTTAAAGACGCTTTTGAAGGTAAATATTTTAAATATACCATTATTTTTATTTCCTTCTTTTGGTATTTCTTCTCTTTTTAATGTATCAGTAGCCTCAAAAAATGGACGTGAGATAATACCAAAGTTTAATCAAGGTACCGCAGAATTAAATTGATATCATCAACAGTTAAGAGATGAGATCAGATCTATGCAAAAATATTTTCTGGCCCTTGGGCAGGAAGAACAGGAACATGGCAAGTTGTGATCATGCAATAAGTATGCTCAATGAAGAAATCTTACTCAGTGGGACTATAGGTATGACCAGAGGAAGAATTTGTCCATCCAAAAGATGGCACTCAACATAGAATAGGCGAAACAGAGCATCTGAGACAATAACAGGGGAACCACTCGGACAAGTGCAGAAAGAGACTCAGCCAATCAAGTGCATTGAACCACCACCAGAGCCTAATATCATTAAATATTCATGCTATACAGCCCTCGGCTCAGTTTCTTTTCCTTCCTTCCTTCCTTCCTTCCTTCCTTCTTCCTTTCTTTTTCTTTTTCTTTCTTTCTTTCTTTTCTTTCTTTTTCTTTCTTTTTCTTTCTTTCAATAGAAATGGGGTATCACTGTGTTGCCCAGGTTGGTCTCAAACTCTTGGGCTCAAACAATCCTCCTGCCTTGCTCTTCCAAAGTGCTGGGATTGCAGGCATGAGCCACTGCGCCCGGCCTCAGCTCTGTTTCTAAGCAGTTTCCCTCTAAAAATGCTATATTCTTTTAACGCTTTTCTTCACAGAGGCTCAAAGTGCCTTAAATATGTTTAAGTCTCTGAAACTTGGGATATAGGGAAAGTGAATAATAAATTATCAATTGTATGATCAATGATGTAAAGTCTGATATTTTTCCCGTGGTTATACTATTGCTAAATTGACTTTTCTCTCCAAGAAATCCTCTGAAAACTTCACACCACCACCTGAATGCCCACTCCTGAGCGGTCCGGTCAGGGCTCCATGGGAATGCTGACCACACTTCCTCTCAGGGGCAGACCTGCACGGCTGCTCCTCCCCAGTGCCGTTCTTCTCTTACTGCAGAGACTATGTCAGCACGTTATGATTATGATGCAGCAGCAACAGAACAATGCCCAGAGCAGCCTGGCCTGTGCTTCTTTTACTAAGTGGTTAGTTGCCTGCTGAGTAGACATAAACACCTGCTAAAGAAATGTGAAAAGAGTGGAAACGTGCTATTTGGAGGTTATTTTCCTAGTCGACATCCAGGAGATCTCCAGAGATCTATTTCAGCCCCACCTGTTGGTAAGTGACTGTCTCATTACTGCAACTTGGGTTTGAAACTGAAGGAGAAGGAAATGAATAGTTCAATTAATTCTGGTAATTCGAGGGCAGAATGTCTATTTTTTTCCATCTTCCTCTTCTCCTTCTAGTTTCATTTCTTCTACCTCAACCAGAACAAGCTGAAAAGCCGAGAGACTTAACACCTGGTGACTGCTTTTCTTTTTCTTAGAAATAATTTCATTGAGAGTTTGAGTTTGAAATGAAAGCATGTTTTCTGGATTTTTTTTAATTTTTTTTTTTTTTTTTTTTTGAGACAGAGTCTCGCTTTGTCACCCAGGCTGGAGTGCAATGGCACGATCTTGGCTCACCACAACCTCTGCCTCCTGGGTTCAAGTGATTCTCCTGCCTCAGCCTCCCGAGTAGCTGGGATTACAAGTGTGTGCCATCACGCCCAGCTAATTTTGTATTTTTTTTTTAAGTAGAGACAGGGTTATAGGCATCGCCCATCATGCCCAGCTAATTTTTTTTTTTTTTTTTTTTGTATTTTTGTAGAGACAGGGTTTCACATGTTGGCCAGGCTGGTCTTTAACTCCTGACCTCAGGTGATCTACCTGCCTCAGCCTCCCAAAATGCTGGGATTACAGGCGTGAGCCACTGTGCCCAGCCTTTTGTTCTTTTCTTTTTTTTTTTTTTGAGACACAGTTTCACTCTGTTGCCCAGGCTGGAGTGCAGTGGCACGATCTCGACCCACTGCAACCTCCACCTCCCAGGTTCAAGCCATTCTCGTGCCTCAGCCTCCCAAGTAGCTGGGACTACAGGTACACACCACCATGCCTGGCTAATTTTTGTAATATTAGTAGAGACAGGGTTTCGCCATTTGGCCAGGCTGGTCTCGAACTCCTGACCTCAAGAGATCCACCTGCCTTGGCCTCCCAAAGTTCTGGGATTACAGGCGTGAGCCGTTGTGCCCGGCCTGTTTTGAAATTTTGATTTTTCAGACTGTTATCCCAATTTTTTCTTCCATAAGAAAAAATTCTCAAAGACTGAGAATTGAGTAAATTTTGGGGGAAACAGCCCTTTTTAATTACTCAAATATTTCAAAGATTCAGAACACAAGGCTTTCTCTTCAAAGCTGAAAGGTTGGGCATGGGGATATCATTTTCAAGAGATAGAAGCCACAACAGTTAGACTCCTGCAAAGGTGCAACCAGAACTGCAACCTAGAATTGTGCTGGACCTAGCCTAAAAATATGTTTATTAGTATAGTAAGAATCTTGGGAAAAATCACCCAGGTAAATGCCACACTTCAAAGTGCTGGGAATAATTAACCTCAAAGCTCCAAGGAGCACAGAGAACAGCTTTAATGAGTGACAGGTAAATGCTGTCATTTAAGAGCTATCATGTAGCCAGGTGCAGTGGCTCATGCCTGTAATCCCAGCACTTTGGGAGGCTGAGGCAGGTGGATCACCTGAGGTCAGGAGTTCAAGACCAGCCTGGCCAACATGGCAAAACTTTGTCTCTACTAAAAATACAAAAATTTGCCAGGCATGGTGGCGGGCGCCTCTAATCCCAGCTACTCAGGAGGCTGAAGCATGAGAATCACTTGAACCCAGGAGGTAGAGGTTGCAGTGAGCCAAGATCACACCACTGCACTCCAGCCTGGGTGATGGAGCGAGACTCCGTCTCAAAAAAAAACAGCCATCATGTAATTACAGACAAATAACACAGTAAAAAGACCCAGAATCCAGGTAGTTGGTTTCACTATAGAAATCTTTCAACTTTGCCAGAGGTTTGAAACTTTTTATAATAAAATATTGGAGGGAAAAGACCACATGGTAATGGTCAACAGGAAACATTTGTAGAGGACATTTTAGGGGCATGTACAGACATCCCTCTGAATTAGGCAGTCAGAAAAGCCAACCAAGACAGTGCAACACTGGCTTTTCAGATTCCCACTCTCTCCCCTTCCCAATGGCCATGAACACTCAAGCTGTCACATTTCCAAAAATTTCCAGATGACTGCATTTATCCCCAGGAAAATAAAGGCACCCCACCCCTACCACAGGGTGAACAATCCCATATCCGTATCTAAGAATAGTAGTTCTCAGCCCTAATGGAGCCTTGATCATCCTTGAAACAGTATACACAGATAGGGAAGCCCTGACGACACCATGGAACGTCTAGAGAGCAGCTGAAGTGGCTCCCTCTTGAAACACATACAGCACATTGCTTGGTTTTCCTACAGAAGAACTAGCGTTGGTTTCCGATCTGTAATCAGATTTAATAAGGAATCTCTCTTTTCTTTTACTAAAAGTAGCCAACTACACTTTGTCAAATGAAAACTATACTGTAATTCTGCAGAAACGTACAACCTAATGTAGCTGTCTGCTGAATGAATCACCATTCAGTTGGAACTTGAAAAACAAGAGAAAGGATTGAGGGGGAGAAAAAGTACTGGTTAAAAGAAGTAACAGAGACCGCAAGGGATCAGCTAGTGCTAGAACGAGCTCATCCATCTCAAATAAAACTCCATTCTTTGTGCCACCCTCGCTCTGCAGCGCAGCAAAAGCCCTTCCCTGCAACATAGCTCTGCATCCTGCCTGCTTAATTAGATGAATAGGACATTGAATGGGCCTAGCAAAAGGCAAACATTGTTGGAAAAATATAAGCTATGATTGTGAAGATTAATACACAATCGTGATAGAATAACTTGTGACAAAAGATTCCATGTGTCTGTGCCATGGAGCTAGCTCTGTGTTTCCATGATAGCCCATAACAACCCTGCTTTAATTCTCACTTTCATTCAACAAGTAGTTTTGTTTGTTTCTTTCTTTTATTTCCCTACCTAACACCTTGAACAATCAACATGTATTTTTGAGTCACCAAAGTTAATTATGATATCTTAGTAAGGTGATTGGATCAGAGGGTGGGGTCTGAACTGATTCTCAGGCTTGATTGCCTGTCTCTACTGTGCCCGCACACCGAGAAGGCAAAGCAGAGTGCAAGGAGCTTATCAGGAGAGAACCCAGAAACCATCTGTTTCTTTTTAAATAAAATCATTTCTTAAGCATCAGTTTAACCACTGGCCACAATTATTTTGCCACTCTTTACAAGACATTGTCATGTTCCAAATAGCTTGACACCATGATTGATAGCTGCTGTTTTAAAAAAAAAATTTAATGTTATGGGGATATATTAATATATATTACACATATTTTAACATATATTACATATATATGTATGTGTGTGTATATATAGATATAGATATCTATATGTACAGATCTATATATATATCTATATATAGATATACAGATATATATAGATATATAGATATATATCTAGATATCGATATCTAGATATATATAGATATATATGTATATATAGATATCTAGATAAATATCTCTATATATCTATATATCGATATCTAGATATAGATCTCTCTATATATCTCTATATATCAATATCTAGATATAGATATATCTCTATCAATATCTAGATATAGATATATCTCTATATCTATATATATCCATATATCTATCTATATCTCTATATATCTCTATATAGATATCTCTCTATATATCTCTATATAGACATCTATCTATATATCTCTATATAGACATCTATATATCTCTATATAGACATCTATCTATATATCTCTATATAGACATCTATCTATATATCTCTATATAGACATCTATCTATATATCTCTATATAGACATCTATCTATATATCTCTATATAGACATCTATCTATATATCTCTATATAGATATCTATATATCTCTATATAGATATCTATCTATATAGAGATATATAATCTATCTATATATCTAGATATATCTAGATATATCTAGATATATATCTATATATCTATATTTATATCTGTATATCTAGATACAGATCTCTATATATCTAGATATCTAGATATCTAGATACAGATAGCTATATATCTAGATATCCATATATATATATCTAGATATAGATCTATAGAAATATATATCTATATATAGATCTATATCTATATAGATCTATATATAGATATAGATATATATCTATAGATATATAGATAGAAATATATCTATCTATATAGATATAGATATATAGAAATTAAGTAGGCCAAGCACAGTGGCTCATGCCTATAATCCCAGCACTTTGGGAGGCCAAAACAGGTGGATCACTTGAGCCCAGGAGTTTGAGACCAGCCTGGGCAACACAGGAAGACCCAATTTCTACAAAAAAAAAAAAAAAATTAGCTGGGTATGGTAGCGTGTACCTGTAATGCCAACTATTCAGGAGGCTGAGGTGAGAGGATCACTTGGGCTGGGGAGGTTGAGGCTGCAGTGAGCAATGATCACACCACTGCACTCCAGCCTGTGTGACAGAGCAAGACCCTGTCTCAAAAAAAAACAAAAAAAAAACGAAAAACAAAAAAAAAAACAGAAAGAAAGAAATTAAGTGAAAAATCTATTTGTAAAACTGGAAAGACATATACCAAAACTTGAATACTGTCTCCAGATATTCATAGTGAACCTAAGGCCAGGCACAGTGACTCACACCTATAATCCTAGCACTTTGGGAGGCCGAGGTGGGCAGATTGCTTGAGCTCAGGAGTTCGAGACCAGCCTGGGCAACATGGTGAAATCCCGTCTCTACAAAAAAATACATAAATTAGCCAGGTGTGATGGCACAGGCCTGTGGTCCCAACTACTCGGGAGGCTGAGGTGGGAGGATCACTTGAGCCCAGGAAGTCAAGGCTGCAGTGAGCCAAGATCACTCCATTGCACTCCAGCCTGGGTGACAGAGCAAGACCTGTAGAAAAAAAAAAAAAGAGTGAACCTAGTAAATAGTTAATGTACTTTACCATTGGTAAAATATACGATGATGAGGGGGGCGTGTGTGTGTGTGTGCTGTGGCCAAAATGATGGCTTCACAGAACCATCCCTCTGTTTTAAGAGCCTAAACTATTTTTTTTCCCCCAAGACAGAGTTTTGCTCTGTCACACAGGCTAGAGTGCAGTGGCACAATCTTGGCTCACTGCAACCTCCGCCTCCCGGGTTCAAGAGATTCTCCTGCTTCAGTCTCCCAAGTAGCTGGGATTACAGGCATGCGCCACCACACCTGGTTAATTGTATTTTTAGTAGAGATGGGGTTTCACCTTGTTGGTCAGGCTGGTCTCGAACTCCTGACCTGGTGATCCACCTCCCATGTTCAAGTGATTCTCCTGCCTCAGTCTCTCGAGTAGCTGGGATTACAGGCACCTGTCACCATGCCAGGCTAATTTTTATATTTTCAGTAGAGTCAGGGTTTCACAACGTTGGCCAGGCTGATCTTGAACTCCTGACCTAAGGTGATCTGCCCACCTTGGCCTCTTAAAGTGCTGGGATTATAGGCGTGAGCCACCGTGCCCCTCTCAGCCTCAAAGTGCTAAGATTACAGGTGTGAGCCACCACGCCCAAGCCTGGACTAATTAACTAGGATAATTGGAGATGTTGGTGGGGTGAGGGGTGTAGTGCACAGGTATCTCAAATCACAGTTACAACAAAACCAGGCAAAATTTAGCACACACTTCTCAGCTATATGCATAATCCAAAAGTGTAAAAATAATTCCAGAACAATTATTTAGAACATCACAGCAAAGTTGATAAAAGAGCCTGTTAACACTTTCTGCTCCTCAGCTAACCTCAACTTTGTTCAAAAAGGAAGAGGGGCGAGACCCAGTCGTGGCTGCAAATATCCTTGAATTCCTTCCTTTTCTCTCATTTCCTCCTCCCTCTCTGTGTCCTGAATCCACAGCTACACCTTTTCCCCTGGGAGATCATCCACTCTTTGCTCTCTGGAAGGAGAATTCTCAGATGCAAGGGATTCTGGAGATCTCCTAAATGACAGCAGTGGAAAGGGCCTTTCGCTATCCCAGCAGCCATGTGGCATATCCTGATTAGCAAGTGTGAACCGTAGACACACCCTCCAGTATGCAGTATTTTCATTTTCTCAGAGTGAATTGTTTTTCCAAAATGTGCACTCTTTCACTTAACTCTGTATGAACAAGAGTTGACTACTGCATCTCCTCAAATCTAAGATACACCAATTATAAGATATATTATTATTTTATGTGCCACTAAGAAAGGAAACATGCTGCTAATTATAGAACTTAATGCTTTCTTTTTGGTTGTGTGTGTGTGTGTGTGTGTGTGTGTGTGTGTGTGTGTGTGTGTTTTGAGACAGAGTCTTGCTCTGTCGCCCAGGCTGGAGTGCAGTGGCACGATCTCAGCTCACTGCCATCTCCGCCTCCCGGGTTCAAGCAATTCTCCTGCCTCAGCCTCCCAAGTGGGCCTATATTGAGAGACCTCCTAGAGAGGCCTTTAGAAGTAGCTGAGACTACAGGTGCATGCCACCACACCTGGCTAATTTTTGTGTTTTTTAGTAGAGATGGGGTTTCGCCATGTTGGCCAGGCTGTTCTCGAACTCCTGACCTCAGGTGATCCACCCACCTTGGCCTCCTAAATAATGCTTTCTATGGGAATTTTCCCACACAATATCTAGCTGTTGTTCCTGTGCCATCATCCTCTGTGCATTTCTTAAAGGGCTCCACTCTAGTCTTTAGGACCTTCTTCTAAGCCTCTGACAAGTTTCATACTGGAGCTTTCTTTTTCTTTCCTTTCTTTTCTTTTCTTTCTTTCTTTTTTTTTTTTGATGGAGTTTTGCTCTTGTCGCCCAGCCTGCAGTGCATTGGCACAGTCTTGGCTCACTGCAACCTCCACCTCTCATGTTCAAGTGATTCTCCTGCCTCAGTCTCCCGAATAGCTGGGATTACAGGCACCTGTCACCATGCCAGGCTAATTTTTATATTTTCAGTAGAGACAGGATTTCACGACGTTGGCCAGGCCAGGCTGATCTTGAACTCCTGACCTAAGGTGATCTGCCCGCCTTGGCCTCTTAAAGTGCTGGGATTATAGGCGTGAGCTACTGCACCTGGCCAGGAGCTTTCTTAATCTTACTAGAAGATGTCAACAAAAGGTTTTCAGGTAATCGTAAGGAGCACACTTTAAACAGCAATTAAATGCAACCCAGGTAATACAGTCTGTACTGCTTCCTTTGCCACATTATCAAATATCCTCATTGGCCATAGGAGCTCAGGATTCCACTGTTTGGCAGTTTCAGGCCAATTATGAGCTATGGACTCATGACTCTGGTTCCACTCACCAAAAGACCACGGTGAGGATCATCAACAACAGCTCAGCTCAGACATAGACAGCAGCCTCGGACTCCGCTTCACCTACCCAGTATACTTACAAGAACTCTAACTCTTTCTGAGGCCTTGACCTCACACTTGAAATAACAGTAAGGTTTAGAATTGAAATTAGTTTCTTTTGTATACAAATTAGTGCTTTTTTTTTCTTTTTGAGACAGGCTCTCGCTCTGATGCCCAGGCTGGAGTGCAGTGACAAGATCATAGCTCACTGTAGCCTCAACCTCCCAGGCTCAGGTGATCCTCCCACCTCAACCTCCCAAGTAGCTGGAACTATAGGCATGCACCACCACACCTGGCTAATTTCTGTATTTTTTGTAGAGACAAGATCTTGCTATGTTGCCCAGGCTGTTCTCAAACTCCTGGGCTCAAGTAAGCGGCCCATCTTGGCCTCCCAAAGTGCTGGGATTATAGGTGTGAGCCATTGTGCCTGGCCTGTATACATTTGATTTTCTTTTTGTTGTTTCTTTTACAAAAGATTTCATCATGAAAAGGAGGAAGCTCAAACTGAAGTGAGTTAAAAACTTCATCTCCTAGAGAGGACTGTGGCTCGGCCTGAGTTGAGGTGAGATTTGATGGTTCTTACAGATAAACCATGTGGGCTGCATGGCCACATCCTCTCCTGCCCTTTTCTCTTTTCCTTCCTTTCCCTCTTCCTTCTTCTACTTACTTTACTTTCCAAGATTTATTTTCTTCTTTCTCTCTCCTGGAGACTTAATATACTGAAGATGCTGCCTATATCAGTGGTCCCCTTGGCAGCAGGGACCAGTGTTGTGGAAGGCAATTTTTCCACCGACTTAGAGTCTCATAAGGAGCGCGCAACCAAGAGCTAAGCCTCAGTTATGGGTGAATAGTCTGGAAAAAGTGTTCTCAGTTTAGTATAGCTTTGATACCCTGCTTACAAAAAGGGATTGGAGAATCCTGCATGATGAAGAGGGTACCATCAATTTGGAAGATAGAAAATAATGGTCTGTGGGGGAATATATTGAGAGACCTCCTAGAGAAGCCTTTCCTGCTACCCTAATAGGTGTCTCCAGCCCTATACTCTGGTCATTTTTTACTATATGTATCTGTTTTCAAGTCCTGATAGTCCCTATCATCCAACATCTTGTCTGAGTTTCTTTTGGCTTGCTTACTACCTGTCTCCCCATAGAGTGTAAGCTGAATGAGGGCAGAGATCTTATCAGTCCTGTTTAGATGTATGTATTAATACAAGTGCCTGGTGCAGTGCCAAGCATATCACAGATATTGATAAAATTTGCTGAATTAATAAATAAATGAAGCAACTTAATTATGATATTAAATTCTCTCTGTATCCACTAATTGTGTTTCCATTCCCTCAGTTTTTTTATGTTTATGTGCAAGCGCAATGAAGAAGAACACCAGCAAGACTACCATGAGGATCAATAAGCAAGATGCTCTCTGCACCCCACACTCCCATGATCCGAGAGATCTTCAAAATATGTTGGATGGAGGAGAGTATGCCCCTTTTGTATCTCCTCCCATGTTAGAGAGCAATTTTATCCAGGTAAATCATATTCAAGGCCTGAGTTAAGTTCCAATAACTTCAGTAATTTTCTCAAAGAAAACTGAAAAGGATGGTAGGAGAATTGTTTTAAATGTGCCGAGGGAATGTGTGATACTACAAAAGAGAACAGTTTGGGAACTTTAAAAAACCTGAAATAATTACAATGTTAAAGGACATTTACTTCAAATGTCCCCAAAACTCTTGTGAAGGACTTCTGTCTTAACTCTACCATAATTGCCATTCCATCATAATCTTCCCAAAATTACATGAAGCCGTTTTTGGCATTTCCCGCCACAGGGAAACATACAGATAACTTCTTTCTTAGGCGTAGAAGACATTCTAAAGAACATCTATGACTAGGGATTACAATGAATCTTAACTCCTAGTTCTGAAGGTAAATTGTCAGATGGTGTCGGGGAGAAAAGCTCCCTTCTCATAAGAATGTCCCTACATTATGAATGAAACTGCATTTCTATGCATTTGGGAGCAATGCTAACTTTTCTCTAAACATTCAACATTAAAATATTCAGACAAAGAAATGGTGAAATGAGTTCAATGATAGGGGTCATACCTCTAAAGTTCCTAGAAATTCCATAACAAAGTCTAACACTAAACACTGAGCTATTACCTCTAACTCTTAATACATTCGAGAAGCTGCTCAGCTGATTTCACAGAGGGGTGACAAGGGAGGACAACAGACACTTCAAAAGGCAAGAAGAGGATGGCAGGAGCTCTTTTGCCATGGCTACCAGGCCGATCTCCGAGCGGAACCAGGATGCCACTGTGTACGTGGGGGGCCTGAATGAGAAGGTTAGTGAACCGCTACTGTGGGAACTGTTTCTCCAGGCTGGACCAGTAGTCAACACCCACATGCCAAAGGATAGAGTCACTGGCCAGCACCAAGGCTATGACTTTGTGAATTCTTGAGTGAGGATGATGCTGACTATGCCATTAAGATCATGAACATGATCAGACTCTATGGGAAGCCAATACGGGTGAACAAGGCATCAGCTCACAACAAAAACCTGGATGTAGGGGCCAACATTTTCAATGGGAACCTGGACCCTGAGATTGATGAGAAGTTGCTTTATGATACTTTCAGCGCCTTTGGGGTCATCTTACAAACCCCCAAGATTATGTGGGACCCTGACACAGGCAACTCCAAAGGTTATGCCTTTATTAATTTTGCTTCATTTGATGCTTCAGTTGCAGCAATTGAAGCCATGAATGGGCAGTACCTCTGTAACCACCCTATCACCGTATCTTATGCCTTCGAGAAGGACTCCAAGGGTGAGCGCCATGGCTTAGCAGCTGGACGACTTCTGGCAGCTCAGAACCCGCTCTCCCAGCCTGACCGCCCTCATCAGCTGTTTGCAGATGCACCTCCTTCACCCTCTGCCCCCAATCCTGTGGTATCATCATTGGGGTCTGGGCTTCCTCCACCAGGCATGCCTCCTCCTGGCTCCTTCCCACCCCCAGTGCTGCCTCCTGGAGCCCTCCCACCTGGGATACCCCCAGCCATGCCCCACCACCTATGCCTCCTGGGGCTGCAGGACATGGCCCCCCATCGGCAGGAACCCCAGGGGCAGGACATCCTGGTCATGGACACTCCCAAGCTCACCCATTCCCACCAGGAGGAGTGCCCCATCCAGGGATGTCTCAGATGCAGCTGGCACACCATGGACCTCATGGTTTAGGACATCCCCATTCTGGACACCCAGGCTCTGGGGGACAGCCACCACCCCAACCACCACCTGGAATGCCTTATCCTGGACCTCCTCCAATGGGCATGCCCCCCCGAAGGCCTCCATTCTGATCTCCCATGGGTCACCCAGGTCCTATGCCTCCACATGGTATGCGTGGACTTCCTCCACTGATGCCCCCCATGGATACACTGGCCCTCCACAACCCACACCCTATGGCTACCAGCCTCTCCCTCCAACCAGGCCCACTCCCCAGCCACCAGTTGCCCCTCGAGGCCCGCTTTGGAGCCCTCTCCCTCAGTAAATTCACATTTTCCTTCCTCCTATTACATCTTCCCAATATCTTTTCGATACCTTGGACCAATCAGAGATGCTGTAGCTCCTTGGGGCTAAGGCACTAATCCCTTTCAGCACCCCCACCCCATTCCCCTTTTTAATGTAACTTTTTCCACAGGAGGTATTTCTTTTTTATGTTGGTCCTGAGTATTTTGCAAATGCACAGAGAAAATAAAACTAAACTCCTTGTTTAAAAAAAAATGTAAGGAGACTTCATCTTCCATTAACACGTTCTCTGCACTCATACTTGAGTACTAGTGTGAGCTACCCACCTCCAGTATACCATAGGCAGGAGGTGAAACCTCCCAAAACATCTAATGTTTTACTGATGTCCCTAGAACGCATGTGACAAGTCATGATTTGATGTACTTTACCTTATACATACTTCTTTCCTACTAATAATGTTTTCATTTTTTCACCTTTCATCCTGTGCTGTTTCCAAGTTAGTTACCTTTTGCACACTCTAATAAAATTACATAGTACTTGTCCAACATTGGGGGTAGTTAGCAGTCTATAGGTCAGACGTTGCCCCCATCGTAATTTGATAACTCATATCCTTCAAGATGCACAACCCCACCTGGTTAGCATGTCTTTGGCAGCAAGTTACCAAGATTCCTGACTGAACAGGTTTAAATGAAAAAAGAAAAACAATTAGGCTGGGTGCAGTGGCTCATGGCTATAATCCCAGTACTTTGAAAGGACAAGGCAGGAGGATCGCTTGAGGCCAGGTTCAAGACTGACCTGGGCAACAAGTGAGATCCCATCTCTAAAAACACTTTTAAAAATTAGCAGGGTGCAGTGCTGCACACCTGTATTCCTAGCTACTCGGAAGGCTGAGGAGGGAGGATTGCTTAAGCCCAGGAGCTCCAGGCTGCAGTGAGCTAGGATGGCGCTACTGCACTCCAGCCTGGATGATAAGACAAGACTTTGTCTCTAAAAACAAACAAATAAATATTTTTAAAAAAATTTAAAAGAGAGCAATTATCTCAAATAGAGTGAAAGAGCCCCAGGGCATCAGCTCACTCCCAGTAGAAGACCCCAATTCTCTCTTTTTGCTCTGTCACCTTCAAGCCAGCTCCCCTCAGGGCCTCACATCTAAACAGGACAATGATAGCTGCCAGCAGTAGAAGATATTCATCTCATCCTGGTGGCTCTGTCTCCTGGTGGCTCTGAGAAACGTTTTCCAGGGTTGGAGGATACCTCCTGTATGTCTTGCTGGTCACATGCCACTGCTGAAACCAGTCACTGGCAAGGGGTGTGGAGTGGAACCACCACTACCCATTTAAGTTAATCAGGATTTAATCCCTGAGCTGGGTCATCATCCCTGAGCCATGATATTGGACAAAACCAGGATTCTGTTAATCCAGAAGAAGAGGGGCACAGTTTGGGTAAGTTATCAATAGTGTGAGCTACAACCTCTTTCTTTCAATGATGTATTTTTTAATTGAACCAATTATCATACAGCTGAGAAACTACAGTGTAGCTCCTCTCTGCCTTCCTTCATTTCCCTGTCTGCCCATCCTCCAGTCTCTTCTTCTACCAAGTGGCAGAGATTTTACTGGCCAAGTTTCTTGGACTTCAGGGTTTTTATACATGCTGTTCCTCTGCCTGGAAACCTCTCCTCTCAACCCAGCCAGTTTATTTCCCACATAGTTCAGGTATCAGCTAGAGGTCTCTTCCTCAGGGGAGACTTCCATGAGTCCATATCCAGGGGTGTGCCAGAACTGGTCGATTGGTACGTGTTCAGGAAATTTGCAAGTCAGTTGTTAAACACAGCCATTATTAAAAATTAAATTATAGGCCAGGCACAGCGGCTCACGCCTGTAATCCCAGCACTTTGGTAGGCTAAAGTGGGTGGATCACCCGAGGTCAGGAGTTCGAGACCAGCCCCACCAACATGGTGAAGCCCCGTCTCTCCTAAAAATACAAAAATTAGCCGGGCTTGGTGGCATGTGCCTGTAATCCCAGCTACTTGGGAGGCTGAGACAGGAGAATCATTTGAACCTGGGAGGCAGAGGTTGTAGTAAGCCGAGATCACCCATGGCACTCCAGCCTGGGCAACAGAACGAGACTGCACCTAAAAAAAAATTAAATTCTTAAAAATTAAATTTTATAAACTTACATTATATCTAAAATAAGGGCAATAAATATTCAAAACTCATCATTCCTATTCTTTTACTACATTTTACTGTTGTCTATACTTCTAAGGTTATAAATATAAGAAGAGTTTGGCAAGAGTTTGTGGAATTTATTAATTGGCTCTATGGAATTTAAACTAAAGACTAAAGAATATTGCATATTATTTGTAAATTTGTATGCTACTTGTCTTTTATGTCAGTAACACTTTAAACTTATGTGTAAATGTGTGTACCTCCCAAGACCTAACTGTTACCAGAACATCACTGCCTGTCTCCCCACTCTAAGCTAAGTCAAGTCCTCTGTTATGTGCTCCTGTAACATCCTGGACTTGTACTTGGTAAAACTTCTTATAGTAATAATTAGTCACATACTTAAATTGTTTAATGTTTGCCTTCCCTGGTAGGCCCCCATGGGTCAGAGGCTGTGTCTGTTCCCTGCGGTATCTCCAAGAATTAGCATGAGCAAGTGAAGGAACAAATATATCATGGTTCATTCCTCCTTTATTTCCTACCCTCTCTTACACTTCTCAGGCAAGCAAGGTTGTCAAAGCCACACATTTCATCATATAACGCCTTTTCCTGTTTTCTGCACTCAGGTCAACAGAAGAGGTGAATCCATTTACCTTCATAACCGAGCCAACTGGGTGACCGTAGGCATCTGTTTTTCCAGCTCCACCCACAAGATCCCCAATGTGATGCTACTGGCCCATCTGACACCTGGTGCCCAAAAAGATACAGAAACCCTGTTTAAAAGTCTCCTGACATCTCCTCCTGCAGAGAAACTAGTGCTCACCAGGTGAGTTACAAAGAGAAGAGGTTAAAGATCTCTCAGAAGATGTGCATTAGCCCTGTGGATCTGAAAACGGAAACACTGATGACAATTGCGCCAGTGGAGCATGTTACTCGCACTCCCTGCTGCAAATGACAAAGAGGAGCATCCTTGAAGACGGGTGAAATCATGTATGACAATGGGTATCCAACAGGCAGTTAATTTTTAAAAAACTAAATCTAATTAACAGGAACTGAAGACTCATAATAAACTACCTTTCTAGAACATGCCTCCTCTTCCACAGCATCCCAGCTTCCAGCAGAATTAGCTCTGGTCCTGTCTCAGCCACTAACTTGGTCTATGATCATGAGCAAATTGCTTAACTTTAAGTCAACTTTGAAGGATTAATTTAAATGGACGCTTTCTCATGGTAAATAATTGACATTCTGACGTGTTTTGTTTTTGAGATGGAGTCTTGCACTGTCACCCAGGCTGGAGTGCAATGGCACGATCTTGGCTCACTACAACCTCCACCTCCCAGTTCAAGCGATTCTCCTGTCTCAGCCTCCCGAGTATCTGGGACTACAGGCACACACCACCACGCTCAGCTAATTTTTGTATTTTCAGTAGAGACAGAGTTTCACCATATTGGTCAGGCTGGTATTGAACTCCTGACCTCAGGTGATCCACCCGCCTTGGCCTCCCAAAGTGCTGGGATTACAGGCGTGAGCCACTGCACCCAGCCCATTCAGACGTTTTTATACATCAGAGCCTTAGGCATATGATTAAGATGAGATGGTTCTCAGGAGCCCCTACCCAGACCTATCTGGGAGGCAAGTCTGGTGTCTTGAGTCTCACTCTTCAAACTACTATAAAATATAAGAAAGAGGCTGGGCATGGTGGCTCACACCTGTAATCCCAGTACTTTGGGAAGCCAAGGCAGGTGAATTGCTTGAGCCCAGGCATTCAAGACCAGCCTGAGCAACATGGTGAAACCTTGTCTCTACAAAAAAATGCAAAAATTAGCCAGGCATTGGTGGTACATATCTGTTGTCCCAGCTACTCAGGAGGATGAGGTGGGAGGACCACTTAGGCACAGGAAGTCGAGGCTGCAGTGAGCCATGATCGCATCACCACTGCACTCCAACGTGGGCAACAGAGTGAGAACTTGTCTCAAAACAAACAAACAAATATATATATATATAAGAAAGGCCTTTTTATAAGCCTCCCATCAGGTCTCCAGATGATGTTACCGTGTGCTTGTTTGCAGGTTTCTCCCTCTGCAGTTTGTGACTCTTTCTGTGCATGATGCGGAGAACATGAGCCTGAAAGTAAAGCTGGTGAGTGGTCGAGCCTACT
This sequence comes from Homo sapiens, assembly GCF_000001405.40. NCBI lineage: Eukaryota > Metazoa > Chordata > Mammalia > Primates > Hominidae > Homo > Homo sapiens. Next base: position 67,204,626 of record NC_000014.9, read on the forward strand.
ACTTACAGCTCTGCACCTCTGCATATAAACAGGACACCTTGTTTTCTCAATGGGTGGCCCTCATCTCCCTCTTGAATCAGGAGAAAGCCAAAGTTTCCAAAGTGTCGGAGGTTTCAAGTCTCTCAGGAATTACGAATAGCACAGACATCACAGGCTCCATGGATGTGACGGATGTCACCACGTTCACAGCCATCCTGACCCCGTACATGTATGCAGGTACAGGCCCTGAACATGTCAGGGACAGCATAGATTTCCCAGAATTCACAGACATCACCGACATCACAGATGTCACAGATCTTCCAGAAAATGAGGTCCCAGAGGTCCCGGATGTAAGAATTGTCACAGAAGTCATAGAAGTCAGAGAAGCCACGGAAGTCACAGACAGCTCTGATATTACAAACTGCTCGGGAGTCACAGTGGTGTTTGAAAACAATGACTTAATCAGGGCCAAGCAAGAGGAGAAGGTATGTGTCACTGAAGACTTTCATGCTTTAATAATCGAGAACTAGAGGGGTTACCGAGATCACACTTCTTGGTTAGCTGACATTGATTATCAAAATGCTATGGAACCTACCTACTCCGAGAAACCTAATTTTAATAGTGAGATTAAATCTCTGAACCCTGGTGTAAAGGAGTTGTAAGATGTCTCCTGAAATAGGCAGTGACAACCCTTAACATAAATCTTAGCCCAGCATCAGAAATGGAAAGAATTTTGGAATCAGAATCAGAACCAAGTTAGACTCTCAACCTGCGGCTCATATTACTTGTGTGACTTCACCCAAGTCACAGAATCCACATGAGCCTCAGTTTCCCCACTTCTAAAGGATATTAATACAATGTAAGGGTTAATTTCTGGTTTAAAAATATATAGCAGTACCCAGTACCTTGAAGGATGGGATGGAATTTCGATGGGTAAACATGAGGATGGAAATAGGATAATAAAAAACAAAACAAAGTGAGTGGCTTTAGAAAAGGCCAGAGAGTGGAAAAACAGAGAGTCACGTCCAAAAATGTTTCATTCAGTTGGGCTAGAGAATAATATATGTGGAGAATAGTAGAATATAGGACTGGAAAGTTGCTTAAAAAACTTGAGAGCCAAATTTAAAAATGAGATCTTCACTCTTTGGGCAAACGTTAGTGACCGAAGTCTCCTGTGTAAGGGAATGAAGGAGCTGTGTTTTTAAAAGATTAATCTAATGGCAGGATGGATTATAGGTAAAGAGATCTGTTTGAAGACTACTGCTGAAAAACTTCCTCTAGGTCCACAATAGAAAAAAGTCTGGTGCAGTGGCTCACATCTGTAATCCCGGCACTTTGGGAGGCCAAGACAGGTGGATTGCTTGAGCTTGGGAGTTCGAGACCAGCCTGGGAAACATGGCGAAACCCCATCTCTACTAAAAATACAAAAATTAGCTGGCCATGGTGGTGTATGCCTGTAGTCCCAGCTACTAGGGAGGCTGAGGTGGGAGGATTACTTGACCCTTGGAGGCAGAAGGTGCAGTGAGCCGAGATCATGCCACTGCTCTGGAGCCTGGGTAACAGTCACACCCTGTCTCAAAAAACACAAAACAAAAGAAAAGAAAGATGGTAGGGATGGGCACAGTGGCTCATGTCTGTAATCCCAGCACTTTGGGAGACCGAGGCGGGCAGATCACCTGAGGTCAGGAGTTGAGACTAGCCTGGCCAACATGGCAAAACCCTGTCTCTACTAAAAAATAAAAATTAGCCGGTGTGGTAGTGGGTGCCTGTAATCCCAGCTACCTGGGAGGCTGAGGCAGGAGAATTGTTTGAAACCGGGAGGTGGAGGTTGCAGTGAGCCAAGATTGTGCCATTGCACTCCAGCCTGGGCAACAGAGTGAGACCCTGTCTCAAAAAACAAACAAACAAACAAAAAAACCTAATTTTTAATTAGGAAAAATTCACATAGTTCTACACAATTTTTAATGACAGGAGAAAATGCTTATAATAAAATGTTAAGTGAAAAAGGTAGGAGACAGAACTTCAAGATGATCTAAGTAGACGTAAAATAAATAGAAAGATCAGAGTGAAATGTGCATAGAAGTAGTTGTTTCTGGGCAGTGGCATCAAACAAGCAATAATTTATTATTATTATTATTATTATTTTGAGACAGTCTCACTCCGTTGCCCAGGCTGGAGTGCAGTGGTGAGATCTCGGCTCACTGCAACCTCCACCTCTCAGGTTCAAGCGATTCTTATGCCTCAGCTTTCCAAGTAGCTGGGATTACAGGTGCCCACCACACGCCCAGTTAATTTTTGTATTTTTAGTAGAGATGGGGTTTCTCCATGTTGCCCAAGCTGGTCTCAAACTTCTGGCCTCAAGTGATCCACCCACCTTGGCAAGCAAAAATATTCTACCTTTAGCTTTATTCATTATAGGATTTTCCAAATACGCTATAATAAATATGTATGACTTTCATTGTCAGGGAAAAGTGAAGTTTTATCCTTAAGGAAGAAAATTATTACATCATTTTTAAGGAAATGTAATAGAGGTGTATTAGGCCATTGTTGCATTGCTATAAAGAAATATCTGAGGCTGGGCAATTAATAAAGAAAAGAGGGTTAATTGGCTCATGGGTCTGTAGGTGGTAAAGGAAGCACAATGCTGGCATCTGCTTCAGGTGAGGGCCTCAGGGAACTTACAATCGTGTGGAAGAGAAGGGGAGCCAGCACATCACATGGCCAGAGAGAGAGCAAAAGAGAGAGGAAGGAGGTGCCAGGCTCTTTTAAACAACCAAATCTCGCATCAACTTAGAGTGAGAACTCACTCATTATGGTGAGGACAGCACCAAGCCATTCATGAGGGATCTGCCCCCGAGACCTAAACACCTCCCACTAGGCCCACTTCCAACATTGGAGGTCACATTTCAACATGAGATTTTCAAGTGACAAAACATCCAAACCATATCAAGAAGTAATGGACTAGGCAGGGGCAGTGGAAAGAAGAAGGTGCAGACATGAAGGACATTAGAAAGTTGGCTTTAGGGCCTGCTGACCAACTGCCTTGAGCCCTAAGTGATTCTGAGCGAATCAGAGAGTGGCTAGGAGAGGTGAGACATTAACAGAAATTGGGAAATTAGGAGGAGGGGGGGATTTTAGAGTATTAAGTTTTAGATACAGGTTCTAAGTCTTTTGACAAAAAAAAATTTCTTTTATATTATGAGCCCCCAGCCCCTGTAACCTATCAGATGCTCTAATTAAGACCAAACTCAGACTGGGGAATCAGTGGCATTTCTGGGAAACTTTTCTTGTGCTGACAATTCACAGAGAAGTACTGTAATTAGATGCCAACTGTCTTCTGTGAAGTGACAACACGAGCTGGGGAACATGTGTCAGGCTGCAGTGGCGCAGTCCCTGGCTCCCACACAGCCTGCCGCCAACACACCCGGGGCTCTCCCAATGGTCGTGCCATTCTAAGCCTCACTCCCTCCTTACTACTCCTCACGGGTGCTCAGTGACGATGAATGAAATGGTGCCTGTATTCGATACTGTTCCACAAACACCTATTACCTGATGCTCTTCTGTTACCTGATTTGCTGCTGCTTTTTATTTTTAAAGGAAAAATTGAAAAACATTCTGAAGCCTGGGTGTTTACAAGATACAAAAAGTAAGAGTGAGTTGAAAGAATCCTCAAAACATGTCACCATCTCAAACATAACACTGACTTTTGAAGGTAAAAGATATTTTCAAACTACCTTGACCCCAGTAGAAAGTGAGGCAAATACATCCAAGGAGATGAAGGATAAGACCTCTGAAGAAAAGATGCCTGATTTTCAGAGCACAGCTCTCAAGGCTGAAGAATCCAGGTATGTGAGGCAGGAACATGCCAAAGGAATTCTAAGACATGAAATATTAATAAAGAAATATGTGCTTTAGTCTCTTAACTCAGGCATCTGCCACTGAAGATTCTCAGAGACAGATGTAGTGTAACTGAATGATGATATAGTCAACTCTGAATGACCCACATTTGGTTCAACTTTGGCTAATTTTTATTTTCATGGCAACTTGTCACGTTACTCAGCTGGCATTCTGGGCTGTCTACCTGATGTCAAGACCAGCCTGGCCAAGATGGTGAAACCCTGTCTCTACTAAAAACTACAAAAATTAGCCAGGCGCGGTGGCGGGCACCTGTAATCCCAGCTACTCGGGAGGCTGAGGCAGGAGAATTGCTTGAACTCAGAAGGCAGAGGTTGCAGTGAGCCAAGATCACGCTACTGCATTCCAGCCTGGGTGACAGAGTAAAACTCTGTCTCAAAAAAAAAAAAAGAAAAGAAAAAAAAAAGAAGCACGGAAAAAGCAAAATTCTAGGAAAATGTTGGTCAAAGATTTATGATGTACCATAAAAAAATTTCAGATAGGAAAAGAGTAAGTTATTTTAAAACTAAAATGAGCCAGAAGAAAATGAAATGGTATCATTGCCTCATTTACAGAGGAAAGATCATTTATTGTCCGCTGATACAATAAAAGTAATTTTCAATGGCAGAGTTTACGTGATTCACTCAAAAATATTTATGAGCACTTCCTATGCACTAGGCATTGGGGATACAGCAGCAAAAATGATCAAGTCCATATCTCATGGAGTGTTTTATTCTAGTGGGGGACACAGATAATAAACCAATACAATATATTATGCCAGCTGGAATGTGCTGTGATGAAAATAAAAAGAGAGAGAGAGAATAGAGAGTGAGAGTAATTAGAAGAGGGTGGAGAGATATTTTATACAGGTGGTCAAGGCCATTTGAGCAGAGACCTGAGCAAGTGTGAACCTCTGGGGGAACAGAGTTCCAAGTTGATTGATTGCATAACAATTACAAATCTCTGCCAAATAAATCATTTTAAAAAAATAAATACACTCATATATGTATGATAACAGAGTGGAGGGAAAAGCATAATAGGCCGGGTGTGGTGGCTCATGCCTGTAGTCCCAGCACTTTGGGAGGCTGAGGCGGGCAGATCATGAGGTCAGGAGTTCGAGACTAGCCTGGCCAACATGGTGAAACCCCGTCTCTACTAAAAATACAAAAATTAGCCAGGTGTGGTGGCAGGCGCCTGTAATCCCAGCTACTCGGGAGGCTGAGGCAGGAGAATTGCCTGAACCCGGGAGACTGAGGTTGCAGTGAGCCGAGATCGTGCCATTAAACTCCAGCCTGGGTGACAGAGCAAGACTCCATCTCGGAAAAAAAAAAAAAAAAAAAGAAACGAAAAAGTATAATAGATTACCTTTATATATAAGTAGTTGGTAGGAATTTGTAAGGGATCCAATTAACAAATGATTTAAGGACATAAATAGAAAATTTACTCCAGAAGACAACTACTTGAGAAGGAATCAACCTCACTAATAATTAAAGAAATACAAGTTAAGCAATTACCAGTTAGCTTTTCATTAGGTGTCAACAACACTCTTAGTGTCACTGTAAATGGTTGTCAATTCAATTCACACCCCTAATGTTTGTATTCCTTTACTTATGGTAACATGTCAAAGAAATCATTCAAAGGGGAAAATAACTTATTTGAATGTAGCGTTTCATATGGAAAACCTGTAAGTAATCCAAATGCTCACAACTGGAAAAATGGCTAACCAGGAAATAGTATGTCGATTTCGTGAAACAACAGAACCCCATTAGAAAAAGCCATGGGCAGAATTTCAATGAAAAGAGCTATGGCTGGCATGGTGGCTCCTGCCTATAATCCCAGCACTTTGGGAGGCTGAGGCAGGAGGACTGCTTGAGCCCAGGAGTTTGAAACCCACCTGGACAACATAGGGAGACCCTGTCTCTATTTAAAAAAAAGAAGAAGAACAAAGAAAAAAGAAAAGAGCTATGTTAGTAATAAGGAATTATAAGCTGGAAAAGCAAAATTCCAAAAAATGTAAATACAATGGTATTTTATTTCTATAGTCTGGGAAGAAACCACAGTTTGGGCATAGTTGATGATAAAAGGAATAAATATTTGTTGTAGCTATTGATAGATGTTTCTATTAAACTTTCGTTATATAATTGATTACACATATAATTGTAAAAGTAAATTGAATCTAGGATGCATTCATTGGGAGACAGTTTAACACAGCCAATAGAGAATGAACTTTGCCACAGGTCATGATGGCTCAGACCTGTAATCCCAGCACTTAGGGAGGCCGAGGGATGCAGATAGCTTGAGTCCAGGAGTTCGAGACCAGCCTGGGCTACATGGTGAAACCCTGTCTCTACAAAAATTAGTTAGATGTGGTAGCATGTGTCTGTAGTCCCAGCTACTCAGGAGGCTAAGGTGGATCACCTGAACCTGGGAGGTGGAGGTTGCAGTGAGCTGAGATTGCACCACTGCACTCCAGCCTGGGTGATGGAGTGACACCCTGCCTCAAAAAACAAACAAAAACAGAGAATAAGCTTTGCAGTCAGATCTCTGGGTTCAAATCCTGGCTTCTCTATCTCATTAGCTCTATGATCTTGGGCAAGTTACTTAACTTCTTCAGGTCTGTTTCCTCATTTGTAACATGGGGATACTATCTACCATGTAGAATTGCTATAAGGATTAAATAGCTGATATTAAAACCCTCACAATACCAGGCTCATGGTAACTGTTCAAAATACATCTAGGTATAGATATAGATAAAATATAGGTGGGAGGAAGGAAGGAAAGAGAGAGGAAGATAGGTTCAAGCAAACTGAACAAAAAAAACCTAATGTAGATTTGACTCACATTGAATACAGTACAAACATGGTTCTGTACCACACAGGATGTCTGAAGTAATCTTTCCACTATACTACCCAATAAACTGAACCTAGAGGAGAACTGGGGAAAAGAGCACAAAACTGATTAAATATTTTTAATGTAGTAAAAAATAATTGAGGTGATAGGAGAATGTTAATAGGTGACAATGACCATATTCGAATGTATGAGGAAGTTCACAGAAAGCTACATTTAAAAAGTAGACTTAAAGTAAAAATTATTTTAACACAGGAAAATTTTACTATTAGGTAATATAGCAATCAATTTAAAAAATAACCTGGGCAAAGTGGCTCACACGCCTGTAATCCCATCAACTGTGGAAGCTACAGTGGGAGTACCATCCTGGGCAACTTAACAAAACCCTGCCACCAAAACAAAAGTGGGAGGGTCACTTGAGCCTAGGAGTTTGAAGTTTTGGTGAGCATGATCAAGCCATTGCACTCCAGCCCGGGTGATGGAGCAAGACACTGACTCTTAAATAAATAAATACTTATCATTTATTATATATTGATAAAAAACAGAACCAGTTTCTGTAGGTTCTGTACATTGTGAAGTCTGTCCCTGCAAAACTTCTCAAAAACGAACATTAAATCATTTGTCCTGGATAGACTTTAAGCATTCTTCTGCCAGGAGACCTTTTCATGTTTCTTATAATGTAATCTTAACCACTGTGAAGATCTGCTAAAATGAATAATAGAATGCATGCTAAAGTCAAATATAGGTGTGCTCTAGGGAATTCCTTGAAAGAGTATAATGAAATGAAAACAGTAAACACACTAGGTACATTGTAAGGTTCTGAGAAGCATAGTGATGAAAGTACATAGAGGACTTTGGACATATTAGTTGCTCAGTAAATGATCATTATTGTCACTAATAATTCATTTTTAACAGTGTAGATTAAAGAAAAAAATGTATCTTCTTTAAAATGGCTCCTCTGACAAAAAATGTATCTTAGGGCCAGGCGCAGTGTCTCACACCTGTAATCCCATGGGCAGATCGCTCAAGCCAAGGAGTTCGAGACCAGCCTGGGCAACATTGCAAAACCCTGTCTCTACAAAAAAAATACAAAAATTTTGCAGAGCATGGTGGCATGTGCCTGTAGTCCCAGTTATTAGGGAGGCTGAAGTGGAAGGATCACCTAATCCTGGGGGGTTGAGGCTGCAGTGAGCCATGATAGAGCCACTGCACTCCAGCCTGGGTGACAGAGCAAGACCCTGTTGAAAAAAAAAATATATATATATATATGTAATATATATTATATATAATATATATTACATATATATATAATATATATTTACACATACATACAAATAAATGTATACACAAAAATATCTTATTCAACTGAGGATTAACTACTCAAAGCTGGTTTTTCTAAAAAGTCTTCTTTCCTAACAAAGTATAGGCCAAGGGAAACAAAGGAAAATGGGTGATCCTTAGGAGAGCCACAAACCTTGAAATCAGAGTAGTTTGCTTTAGCTGCTTGAGCACTGCATTTTTCACAATCCCAGAGCCTCTAGATACAAGTGCCAAGACATTCAAAGTGTTGGTTCTTGGCTGTTCAAGCAAAGCATCGTTAACTATCTAAGGTTTCTATATGAGTTGTTCTCAAAATGAGGACGCTGGACCAGCAGCATCACCTGGGAACTGGTTAAAGATGTAAATGCTTAGGCCTCACCCCATCTTACTGAATCATAAGCTTGGGGATGGGGCATAGAATTCTGTGGTGTTTTTTTTTTTTTTTACTTCTCAGATAGCTGTTCTGCATGTAGAATTTTTTTTTAAATGTATTTTATTTTATTTTATTATTATTATACTTTAAGTTTTAGGGTACATGTGCACAATGTGCAGGTTAGTTACATATGTATACATGTGCCATGCTGGTGTGCTGCACCCATTAACTCGTCATTTAGCATTAGGTATATCTCCTAAGGCTATCCCTCCCCCCTCCCCCCACCCCACAACAGTCCCTGGAGTGTGATGTTCCCCTTCCTGTGTCCATGTGTTCTCATTGTTCAATTCCCACCTATGAGTGAGAATATGCGGTGTTTGGTTTTTTGTTCTTGCGATAGTTTACTGAGAATGATGATTTCCAATTTCATCCATGTCCCTACAAAGGACATGAACTCATCATTTTTTATGGCTGCATAGTATTCCATGGTGTATATGTGCCACATTTTCTTAATCCAGTTTATCATTGTTGGACATTTGGCTTGGTTCCAAGTCTTTGCTATTGTGAATAGTGCCACAATAAACTTACGTGTGCATGTGTCTTTATAGCAGCATGATTTATAGTCCTTTGGGTATATACCCAGTAATGGGATGGCTGGGTCAAATGGTATTTCTAGTTCTAGATCCCTGAGGAATCGCCACACTGACTTCCACAAGGGTTGAACTAGTTTATAGTCCCACCAATAGTGTAAAAGTGTTCCTATTTCTCCACATCCTCTCCAGCACCTGTTGTTTCCTGACTTTTTAATGATTGCCATTCTAACTGGTGTGAGATGGTATCTGATTGTGGTTTTGATTTGCATTTCTCTGATGGCCAGTGATGGTGAGCATTTTTTCATGTGTTTTTTGGCTGCATAAATGGCTTCTTTTGAGAAGTATCTGTTCATGTCCTTCGCCCACTTTTTGATGGGGTTGTTTGTTTTTTTCTTGTAAATTTGTTTGAGTTCATTGTAGATTCTGGATATTAGCCCTTTGTCAGATGAGTAGGTTGCGAAAATGTCCTCCCATTTTATAGGTTGGCTGTTCACTCTGATGTTAGTTTCTTTTGCTGTGCAGAAGCTCTTTAGTTTAATTAGATCCCATTTGTCAATTTTGGCTTTTGTTGCCATTGCTTTTGGTGTTTTAGACGTGAAGTCCTTGCCCATGCCTATGTCCTGAATGGTATTGCCTAGGTTTTCTTTTAGGGTTTTTATGGTTCTAGGTCTAACGTTTAAGTCTTTAATCCATCTTGAATTAATTTTTGTATAAGGTGTAAGGAAGGGATCCAGTTTCAGCTTTCTACATATGGCTAGCCAGTTTTCCCAGCACCGTTTATTAAATAGGGAATCCTTTCCCCATTGCTTGTTTTTCTCAGGTTTGTCAAAGATTAGATAGTTGTAGACGTGCGGCGTTATTTCTGAGGGCTCTGTTCTGTTCCATTGATCTATATCTCTGTTTTGGTACCAGTACCATGCTATTTTGGTTACTGTAGCCTTGTAGTATAGTTTGAAGTCAGGTAGCGTGGTGCCTCCAGCTTTGTTCTTTTGGCTTAGGATTGACTTGGCGATGCGGGCTCTTTTTTGGTTCCATATGAACTTTAAAGTAGTTTTTTCCAATTCTGTGAAGAAAGTCATTGGTAGCTTGATGGGGATGGCATTGAATCTATAAATTACCTTGGGCAGTGTGGCCATTTTCACGATATTGATTCTTCCTATCCATGAGCATGGAATGTTCTTCCATTTATTTGTATCCTCTTTGATTTCATTGAGCAGTGGTTTGTAGTTCTCCTTGAAGAGGTCCTTCACATCCCTTGTAAGTTGGATTCCTAGGTATTTTATTCCCTTTGAAGCAATTGTGAATGGGAGTTCACTCATGATTTGGCTCTCTGTTTGTCTGTTATTGGTGTATAAGAATGCTTGTGATTTTTGCACATTGATTTTGTATCCTGAGACTTTGCTGAAGTTGCTTGTCAGCTTAAGGAGATTCTGGGCTGAGACAATGGGGTTCCAAGTGATTCTAATGCACACTCAGATTTGAGAACCATTTCCTTAGGAGAAGCCAGTCATATCTATCAAGCAAGGATTCCCCTCTCATAATGGCTTCTCCTGAAGCCCTACAGTCAAAATAAGTATTCTGCTTTTATAGCTGTGGAAAGAACTATAGGCTCACCAGGAATCTTCTAGGGAGCTTTCTTCCAGGACTAGGAGCTCAAAAAGATAAAAAATGGTTCAATGTGGGAATTGCTGTTATCACCTACAGACATTTTCCTACTTTTACCGAGGGCACAGAAGTCACTGAAATAAATTTCTCCCCAGAACACTGATCTATTGTTTTTTTTTTTTATGATAACCACTGAGCTATTTCAGTGTAAGTAAACAATGACAGAAGGGCAACTTGTAAGTCTGATGTGTTAGAAGAGAAAGTACAAAGATTAAAAAACAACAACAACAACAACAGGAGAGAGTGAGAGTAAAGTAGGAAGAGAAAAACAGAAACCAATAGTCAGAAATAGGAAAGGGATACGGGAATATAAGATGCAGAAGGATAGAGGCAGGTGCTGCTCAGTGGAAAACATACCTTTCACTACAATAAGTGAGTATGACTTTATTAGAAAAGCGTAAGGTTTATTTAAAAAAACAAGATTAAATGAATCCATCCAACTTAGCAATTTGTCCTAAATAATCATTGATCAGGTCTGGTCACTCTGATGTCTTCCTTATGTTTTATTTCATTCTTATGTCTCAAATCCAGTGCCCCCAACCCTTGTCTAACACTTCAAAATCATACCACAAATCAAAATCTCACAAAGTTAACTGAATCATTTCAGCTACTTCTTTCCTTGCCCAAAACAAATGCCCTAAACCATTAGATTCGCTTTTAATGCCTTTTAAAAAATTGATGAAAAATAATTAATAAACTTTATTTTTTGCGTGCAGTTTTAGATTTACAAAATAACTGAGCAAATAGTGCATAGAGTTCCACACACGCCTCCCACCGTGTCCTCCTACCAATCCCCCATGGTATCTTCTATTAACATCTAACATGTGGTACATTTGTTACAGTCAATGAACACATATTAATACATTGTTATTAACTATAGTCCATAGTTTACATTACATTAAGATTTACTCCTTGTGTTGTACAGTTCTGTGGATTTTGTTTTCTTGAGGATTTTGTCATCTATATTCATCTGGGATACTAACCTGTAGTCTTCTTTTTTTGTCATGTCCTTGTCTGGTTTTGGTATCAGGGCAATGCTGGCCTCATAGAATGAGTTAATCACGTTTTGTTAATATTTTGGGGTTTTTTTTCAGTCTCCATTTCATTTATTTCTGCTCTGACTTTTATTATTTCTTCTACTAATTTTGAGTTTGGATTATTCATGCTTTTCTAGTTCCTCAAGGTGCATCATTAGGTTATTTATTTGACATCTTTCTAGTTTTTTGATGTAGGTATTTATCACTATAAACTTGACTCTTAATACTGCTTTTGCTGTGCCCCCATAAGTTTTCGTATATTGTATTTCTATTTCCATTTGTATCAGTAAATTTTTAAATAGCATCCTTCATTTCTTCCTTCACCCATTGGTCATTTAGGAGCATGTTGTTTAATTTTTATGTATTGTATACTTTTGAATGTTCCTGTTGTTATTGATTTCTAGTTTTATTCCATTGTGGTCAGATAAAATACTTGATAAGATTTTGATTTTTAAAAATTTTGGATAAACTTTTTGACATTTGTTTTGTGTCCTAACATATAGTCAATCCTGGAGAATATTCCACATGCTGATGAAAAGAATGTGTACTGTGCAGCTGTTGGATGAAATGTTCTATAAATGTCTGTTAAGTCATTTGGTCTGTGATGCAGTTTAAATTCCATGTTTCTTTGATGATTTTCTGTCTAGATGATTTGTCCAAGGCTAAGAGTGGGTGTTGAAGTCCCCAGCTATTATTGTATTGGGATCTCTATTTGCCTTTAGATCTAATATTTGCTTTATAAATCTGGGTGCTCCAGTGTACATGTATATTTACAATTGTTATATCTTCACGTTAAATTGATCCGTTTATAACTATAGAATGACTTTCTTCATCTTTTTTTTTTACAGTTTCTGACATAAATTCTGTTTTATCTGATATAAATATGGCTACTCTTGCTTGACTTTGGTTTCCATTTGCATCGAATATCTTGTTTCATTTCTTCACTTTCAGTCTATATGCATCTTTACAGGTGAAGTAAGTTTCATGTAGGCAGCATATAGTTGGGTCATTTTTTAAAAAATCCATTCAGCCAGTCTATATCTTTTAAGCAGGGAATTTTAATCTATTTACATTTAAGGTTATTAGTGATAGGTAAAGACTTACTCATGTCATTTTGTTACATGTTTTCTGGTTGTTTTGTATATCATTTGCTCCTTACTTCTCTTATTGTTTATTTTTGCAGTTGAGTGATTTTCTGTAGTGATAAGGTTTTATTGCTTTCTCTTTCTCCTTTGTGTATCAGCTCTACCAGTGAGTTTTATAGTTTTGCATGTTTGCATGATGGTGGCTATCATCTTTTCATTTCTATATATAAGTCCCTTGAGCATTTTTTGTAAGGCCAATCTAGTGATGATGAATTTCCTTAGTTTTGGTTTATCTGTAAAAGATTTTAATCTTAAGAGTTTAATCTTAAGAGTTTTCTTAAGATTATTATTTTAAATTCTTTTTCTGACATTTTCTATGTTTTCTTATTATTGATGTTTGTTACTGGAGAATTATTGTTTTTCTTTGGAAGTGTCATGTATCCTGTGGTCCTATGTTGAGTTCTGTGCATCTAATGGAAAAAATGCCTCCTCCAATTTTATGGAGTAGTGTCACAGGGAAAGACTTATTTATATGAATGGGTCTTGGGATGTCAGTTCAGTGGGTTGCATTGGCTTTGGTTCTAAGTGGATGCAACAGTGTAGTCTCCATGTAGTTTCTTTAGTGTTTGCAAGTTTCTCAGTGGCCTAGGCTTAGAGAGTTTGTGGCATCAGTGGTGCAGCTTTGCCAGGGGTAGGCTCACCAGGCTGTTTCTCAGGTCAAGGACAGACAGGCACATACACACAGTGGGTTGGCCAACCTGAGGTCTGGCTTGCTGGGTTTGGGGCCATGGGGCTGTTACTGTGGCCAGAAGCATGATCACACAGTTGTTGTCTATGAGTAGCAGCCTACAGAGCTGTTTCTCAGGCCTGGTGTTTCTCAGAGCTATGCACCAGGGATGTGGGTGCACAGCTGCTTGGGTGTGGGTGATCTGGGGGCATGTTTACTGGGTGGGTGGCCCACAGAGCCGTTTCTCAAATCTGGAACACAAGTGCAAGTCTGCTTGGCTGACTCAGGGACGTGCTCACTGGGGACAGCCTGTGGGCTGTTTCTGAGGCCTGATATGTGGATACAGGGCTGCTTGGCAGCCTGGGGCATGTCAACCTGGGTGGCTTATGGGACTGTTTCTCTGGTCCAGGATATGGGTTCTTGCCTGTTTGGCTGGCCTGGGGGCATGTCCGTCAGGAGCAACCTGCAGGACTATGTCTCAGACCCTGATTTTGGGTGCAGGGTCATTGGGCAGGCCAGAAACATATCTGTAGGGGATGGAGGCACTGCGGAACAGTTTCTTTGTGCCCTAAGCACAGCACATAGCCATTCTGCTTGCCCAAGGGTATATCAAGCTGTTTAGAGGTTCAGGGGTCTCTCTCATTTGAGGGTGTGTATGCAGCAGTTTGGCTGACTCAAGGGTGGGTTTTCCATGGATAAGACTGTCGTACTCTCCCTCTGGCTAGAAGTGCAGCAGTGAGGGTTGGTTTCCCTGCTATGTAAAGCCAAAGCCACAGCAGATCCTGGCCCAGGTTCTGCACAGGTGGTGTTGTCGTGTTCAGCCACCAGTGTGGGCTTGGTGGAATGGAGATGGAGCCCTAGGGCTGGAGAGATGCGGTGGCCAGTGGCCCCCCAGAGCAGGTTACTCTCCAGAGGTGGCTCTGGTCTCAAGCAGCAGTTTGGCTCACAGGTGGTGATTGGGGAGTAGGAAGTGCATACCTTGTGCTCTTAACCTGGGGCAATGCAGCTGTGTGAATTCCTAGCAACTCCCAAAACTAGGCTCAGGGCTTGTGATGACTGTGGGATTCTCCTGTTGTAAGGACTGTAGGTGTTTTTGGTAGCAATGGGGGCTGGTGGGGCTCTTCTGCTTACGTTTTCCCTGCAATGGGAGGTCTCTCCTGACTCTGGGCAGATCTAGTCCACATGGGTGATATAGGTGCCTCCACACTACCCTCCTGGACTTTCCATCACCACAGACATGTCTCTGCTCCCCAGCTGCCCTCCAGTGACCTTCCTTTGACACTCCAGTCACATCTTAGCAGTTTATTCATTGCTTTGGTCCTTTCTTGTGGGAGAAGGATGAATGACAGGTGTCTCTAGTCAGCCATCTTGCTGACATCACTCCCTGAGAATTTTTCTACACTACCCCTTAATAGCTTTTTAAAACATTAAATATTATAAGAATAACTTTGTTAGGATGAAAAAGGCTCAGCAGGTACTGTTTCATTAGTCTCACTATTATGATCATTATTAGAAATGATAAAAAATGAATCCCTAAATAAATAGCAAAAATCATAGAATTTTAAAGCTATAAAAGATCTTGAGAATTAACAAATCTCAAATTCTTCAAGGTCTCACCCCTCCCTTCTCAGCTCCCTACGCCATTTATCAGCTGACTCTACTGGAGAGAAATAAATAGATGAAGAAAAACAAAACAAAACAAATTTTGGTTATAAGTAATCCTCTTAAGCCCAATTTAATAAAGCATGGATTTCTTTTTATTGCCTATTTGCATCAGGAACATAATTACTAGCTAGAGTCTAATTTGAGAATGTTAATTATGGATGAAAGATGTAATATTCTAAGAACAGAATGGAATTCACTACTGCTGTATTGCAGAGACATTAGTGGGATTTAGTAATGCTAGTGAGGTTGAAAAATAAGTTATATATATTATTTTTCTTTTCCAAAACCATGGATTTCAGTGACACTTTATAACTGTGTACTTTGGAACACTGATAAAAAATTAGGCTGCGTGCAACGGCTCATGCCTGTAATCCCAAAACTTTGAGAGGCCCAGGCGGGAGGATGGCTTGGGCTCAGGAGCTCAAGACCACCCTGGGCAATATGTCAAGACCCTGTCCCTACAAAAAAGAAAAAAGAAAAAAGTTATCTGGGCGTGGTAGTGCACACCTGAGGTCCCAGTTACTCAGGAGGCTGAGGCAAGGGGATTGCTTGAGCTGGGAGGTCAAGGCTGCAAAGAGCCATGATAGAGCCACTGCACTCTAGCCTGGGTAACAGAGAGAGACCTTTTCTCAGGAAAAAAAAAAAAAGGTAAATGATGACCTTGTTGAATATTGTGCCCTCAGATTTACTAGTCTTTAAAATTTAAATTGAGCATCTTAAATCTAGATGAGTGAAAAATGTTGGAAACTTAAACTTATCTATACTGTCACTTTAGTTCCTTTAGAAATGAAGAATTTACTTTATAAAACATTTATATTTTTTTCTCATATCTTGACAGTAGTCCTACCATGGCTCTTTCCTTTGTTTCAAAGAGGATAGTGGCAGGCTTTATTTTAATTTGCATCTATTTTTCAAGGTACATTTACCTGATGCTTCTCAGTCTCGCTTAACCTTCATTTAAGTCATCAGATCTATTTGATAAAGACTATATGAATATTTGCAAACTGTATAGAAAATTACGATTTTAACATTTACTTTCTGAAAGATCCATTGTAGAACTTGAACTGGGTGTATTTGCCAGTCCCCTTAAAATGGACCACAATTATGTCTTTGCATGTTTATTTTGTAGGATAATAGCTAAGATAATTATTCTTCCTAAACTATTTGTTTTATTCAATACTTCCAAAATACTTATTGAAAATGTGTCAAGAAATAAGAATTTGGTGAAAATTATGTGACTTAAGTTTATGTTTTAGTATGCCAATGAGGTTAAGGAAATAAGTATTTTGATTATTATCAGTTTTAAAAATCAGGAGCACAGAAAATAAGCTTCTTTATCCAAAGACATTTCTGAAAGTGAAATCTAAAAAACTGCTAGCCTCTTCTTTTATCCAACAACCATAAGAAATGTTATTAAATGTAAATAAGTTACATTATTTGCTACAAGATTCCCAAGCATGGCCACCCCTGGTAAAGCCAAAGACTTGGTGGTAAAGAAGCTACCAGAAGTTGGTGATTTCTCCTAACCATCCATTTCAGAATTTATCCCCAGGTCTCTTTGAAACCCTATATTCCCAACATAGTTGACCTTATTTATTTACACGGCTCAGCAGCAGCAGTTAACTTCTCTCAGCCTGATAAGGGAAGGACAAGGAGGCGGCAGTGTTGGGGATGCCAGCAGCCCTATGGAGTGACTGGCAATAGATATAATAAGAATAGATTACATATTATTACGTACAATAAACTTTTACGGCTTTTACAGATTGAATAGTCCACATGTTGCAGAAATTTAGGTAATTTTATTCTCATATGTTCTATAATCAGCAATGGCCTAGGTTTGCTAAACGTGTTTCATTACTACCCACAGAGCATTTAAAGAATGACCGGTTATTTTATATCTAGTAGATCTTTTCTAAATATTTGTGGTTATGCTGGCAAATTTTTGAGATGTGCTATTTATTTTTACAGGAGCTTGAGAACTGAATCAAACACTTCAGGTATGGAACAAATTCCACTACATGTTTTATTGTGATCCCTGGTATTCAGTAGTCATCTCTGGTTCCTAGAAGAGTAGTGTGGCTAAGAGCAAAGGAATTCAGCTAGACTTTTTGATGCATTTCCTTTCTTCACTATGCTCCATTCTGAGAATCCTATACTGAAGAAACTCTTTCTCAAAGCCGATCCTCAGGCTATCTTTCAAGTGGAAAACATTATGGTACTTTACTACTTCAGTTTTCTTTTTCTGCACTGGTTTAGTTTCCCAGTTCCCTGTATCTAAATCATCAAGCATAAACCACGCCAAGCCTAGTTCTGCAGGCAGAATGCAAACTACAGCAATCATAGGACCTGCCATCCTTGCTGATATATAACGGGAATGGTCCACAACTAAATTTTTGGTAAATGTAAAATTATCCAGCTCCTCTTTGTTCCTCCTATGTCTTTAGCCTCTACCAGGTGATACTATTTAATGTTTTTGTTTGTTTGTTTGTTGTTGTTTTTTGTGAGGCGTAGTCTCTGTTGCCCAGGCTGATGTGCAGTGGTGTGATCTTGCTCACTGCAACCTCTCTGCCTTTTGAGTTCAAGTGATTCTGCTGCCTCAGCCTCCTGAGTAGCTGGGATTACAGGCGTTTGCCACCACGCCTAACTAAATTTTGTATTTTTCACCATGTTGGCCAGGATGGTCTCGAACTCCTGATGTCCAGTGATCTGCCCACCTGGGCCTCCCAAAGTGCTGGGATTATAGGAGTGAGCCACCACCCTGGACCTATTTAATGTTTGGGTTTTATTTGGCAGTGGGGAGTGATGATTTTTCTTTATATATTGCCATGTTCTAAGAATCTTTAGCCTGTAACGAACTTTTAATGTGGAGGTTGTCTTATAGGCACCTCTTATAGGTTGTCTTATAGGCAAATCTCTCTCTTTGCTGAGTGCTGAACCAGCTCTAAGTTACTTTCAAACCTGGGAGACAGACCAAGCCTCAGCTTCAGTCATGCACATAAAAGAACACTATGGAAGGAACATTTAACTTGGCATAAGTGAAGAGAAAAAAAAAATACTGCTTCAAAAAGCAAGAATACTTGAAGGCAGTTTTAGTCACACGTACAAGAGTCAGTCCCACAAAAAACAGCAAATCATTATAGAATAGGTTTTTACACAAATGGGATTTGTCTTTGGGCCTTCCCATTGGGCTTTTTTTTTTTTTTTTTTGAGATGGGGTCTCCCTCTTTCGCCCAAGCCAGAGTGCAGTGGCACAATCTTGGCTCACTGCAACCTCCACCTCCTGGGTTCAAGTGATTCCCCTGCTCCAGCCTCCCAAGTAGCTGGGATTACAAGCACCCGCCACCATGCCTGGCTAATTTTTGTATTTTTTGTAGAGATGGGGTTTCACCATGTTGGCCAGGCTGGTCTCGAACTCCTGACCTCAAGTGATCCCCCTGCCTTGGCCTCCCAAAGTGCTGGGATTACAGGCGTGAGCCACTGCGCCTGGCCCCCATTGGGCTTTAGTGTCTAAAAATATGAGATGAACTTCACTGTAATGTGGTTAGGCCTATATTCCAATCTATACTACTGAACCTGAGAACATTATAGGGAAATGCTATCATAGCTTACAAGAAAAGAGGAGGGCATGATTCGCTGTCTCAAAACCCTTTTGGTAGTTAAGATTCTATGAGCTGCCATGTTTGTAGTCCTGGGACTCATCTTCGACAATCTAGCAGGCAGCTTGAAATGGGGCTTTGGAAATCAGGAGCTAAGCAAAGATACAGCAAATGAGCAGAAAAATTCCACTCTGGGCTTGTTAAATCACAAGGGTGGCACAACTTACAAAATGGGCATGTCGTTTTCCACAAAGTATTAATTATTTTCCCTGTTTGTTTTCTCTTATGTATTTCTTATTTCTTTCCACCTTTTTCTCCCATGTTTTCCCACTTTTTTCTTACTTAGGCTTGTATAGTTTTTCAGTTTTTCCCCTGATTAGCATTTCTTTCCCCATTTTCACTCTCCTCTAAATCACCTGTTCCCCTTCCATACACTTTTACTCTCACTTAACACCCTGTACCCCAAGAAAAGCAAAGACTGGCTGAATCTTAATACCTCATTTTATTAAATGTAATTGGAGTACAAATTAAAAATGAGTCCGTAATTCTAATTTATATTATAGGCGGAAATCAGAATAATAACTGCTCCCCATAGTAGTAAAACAAATTCCTGGCATTATTAAGCTCATCTGATTCACATTCACCCAGCAATGCTAGTTAGGGACCATGATCTCAAATTCATCTCTCAAACCTCTCAGCAGTTTGCGAAAGTTAAATTTTTTTTCTCCTTTTCTGCATAAGGTTTTGGGATAAAGTGGCACTTCAAATGCACTGTTTTTATGACAACTTTATGCATGAAATAGGGTCCAGGTTAAATTTGTCTCTCTGGATCTGAGTTCATTTCTCTCTTTTCTTTTTTTTTTTTTTTTTGAGACAGAGTCTTACTCTGTCGCCCAGGCTGGAGCGCAGTGGCACGATCTCAGCTCACTGCAACCTCCGCCTCCCAGGTTCAAGCGATTCTCTTGCCTCAGTCTCCCGAGTAGCTGGGACTACAGATGCGTGCCACTATGCCTAGCTAATTGTTTTTGTATTTTTAGTAGAGATGGGGTTTCATTGTGTTAGCCAGGATGGTCTCAATCTCCTGACCTCATGATCCGCCCACCTCAGCCTCCCAAAGTGCCAGGATTACAGACATGAGCCACTGTGCCCGGCCCCATTTCTCTACTTTCTTAGCTTTAAGTTTTTACCTTTCTAGGCTTTATTCTCCTTAACTTTTAAATTTTTTTTTTTACAGTGAGCCCAAATTATGGGCTTATCTCTGATTCTTTGATATTTTTTCCAAGATGAAAAGAGACAAAGGATAGAGATTCAAGAAAAGAAGAGAAAGAAAAATCACATAAAATATTGGGAGTTTCCTTCCTACCCTTACCCATCTTTCTTTTCCATGTTCCTCTTAAATATTACAAACCAAATTCCTTGGAATCCTAAGCAGCCAGGTTCATTCTTTGTTTATAAAACCCAGGCTTAATAAAAAAGGAGGGAGCCCTCTAAAAGGGAACCTGCTTGTGAAATTCAACAATAAGCTCCATTGCAAAGAATAAATACATTTTTGATGAGGTGGTTAGAACATAATCTGAATTTAATATTCAAAATAAGCTCTTTCTCCTTCTGTGCCTTTTTTTTCCTCCTGCTTTTGGCTTTTTTTCTTTCTCACTTCCTCTCTATTGATCTCTCCTTTACTTTCCTTATTCTTTTTCTTTTTTCCCTCTAGTTCTCTCCCCTCATATCAAATCTCCTTCTAATTTCCTCAAACTTGTGCCTCATCTGTCTGCCCCTTTCTCAAGGGAATGAATGTGAGGAAAGAAAAGTAAAACAGAAAAAGACAAAGTTGATGGAAAAACATGTAAGACAAACTAAAGGTAACTTTTTAATTATAAGTCTCTATAGGAATACATGATAGCTATGATACTGTCACACAAAAAAGTTGTTAATAAGTGGGATCTTTTAACATTAAATCTTATTCTACTGTAGTAACAATATAAGTGGAATGAAATGTTAGGGGTTTGTTGTGGTTTCTGCTCTAGAATCCATCATGGGTCAAAAGATAACATCAGCACAGGGAGGAGGAGAGAGGGCTTCAGGTGAGGCACTGGAAGAGAATTATGTGCTGCACTACCATAGCGATTCTTCTCATTTCTGTACTTCTTTGTAACCTTATCATGCTCTTTCCCAACCTGCTTTTTAGATCAGCCAATACAATCAAGACCTCTTTTTTTTCATAGCAAAATGATACAGATATTCGTAGAGTGCCTGCAGGGCTGTCATGTACAGTTATGTAGCTTGTACACACCATACACACTGTAGTTTATGTGCAATTCATAATCTGCACAGCTGTATAGGGTGGCCCTGGCCTACTGTATTCTAAGTTTGTTCGAAACACCAGCTCTGCAGTGCGTTGCTGAAAAATGAAACTTCTCTCAGCCATGATAACAACACCCAGTAGCACAGAAAGAGTGGAAGCAATGCAATTTTAGGGCCATTGTGTCTTCTGTTGCCTCCTTCATAAAGCTAATGCTGTGAGTGTGTGTGTGTGTGTGTGTGTGTGTGTGTGTGTGTGCGCGCGCGCGCGTGCGCATGCGCGTGCATGCTCATAAGGGCTGAGTTCACAGTATTGAAGGGGGGAGGTTGGTGGACCACGGGTGGCCTGGGCAGTAACCCCTTGCCCATCTTGGCAGGGCCTTGCTGATGGAATCAAGGTGCTCACTCTTCTGTCCACCCTTCTGTCACTCTGCCACCAAAGCCAGCTTAGCACTTGAGCATTTTGTTTATTTACTTGTTTATTTATTTTTATTTTTATTTTTTTGAGACTGAATCTTGCTCTGTCGCCCAGGCTGGAGTGCAGTGGCGCAATCTTGGCTCACTGCAACCTCTGCCTCCTGGGTTCAAGTGGTTCTCATGCCTCAGCCTCCTGGGTAGCTGGGATTACAGACAAGCACCACCACAACCAGCTAGTTTTTTTTGTTTTGTTTTTTTGAGACGGAGTCTCGCTCTGTCACCAGGCTGGAGTGCAGTGGCACAATCTTGGCTCACTGCAACCTCTGCCTCCTGGGTTCAAGAGATTCTCCTGCTTCAGCCTCCCAAGTAGCTGGGACTACAGGTGCACACCATCACACCTGGCTAATTTTTGTATTTTTAGTAGAGACGGGGTTTCACCATGTTGGCCAGGCTGGTCTCAAACTCCTGACCTCAAGTGATCCGCCCGCCTCAGCCTCCCAAAGTGCTGGGATTACAGGCGTGAGCCACTGTGCCTGGCTGAGCATTTTGTTTATTAACAGGGCCCCCCAAGATGCACACTGTAGGTGAAAGGTAATGGACCAGAGGAGAACAATGTGGCTGAAAAACAACAAATGTCCACACTCCATAATTCCCTGGCCTCCACATACATTTCCTGATCTGTACCTGTTCCTTTGTGACTTCTTTCCCCCTTAAGAATGCTCCTAATATTCCCCTTAACTTGTTGTATGGTGTGGAGACAGCGATGGGTGGCATACAGGGTGACACGTGCTGGCTCCTACATCCACCTAGACAGAGTCTGAAGCTCTGCCATCTTTCAATATAATATAGAATTTAAAGAGAGAAATTTCTTTCAAGATAACTCAATATTTTACAATGATTTCAATCCCTTGATGGATATATTCAGCAACAAAATTTCAAATATTAGGGTCTCATTAACAGAGAGCTGCAAATGCAAAGAATGACAAAAAATTATACCATACTTAAATTTTGACTTATTAAATTGAAAAATTTGCTCCCAGCTGGGCGTGGTGGCTCACGCCTGTAATCCCAGCACTTTGGGAGGCTGAGGTGGGTGGATCACGAGGTCAGGAGTTCGAGACCAGCCTGGCCAATATGGTGAAACCCCATCTCTACTATAAATACAAAAATTAGCCGGGCATGGTGGCGCATGACTGTAGTCCCAGCTACTCAGGAGGCTGAGGCAGGAGAATTGCTTGAACCCGGGAGGCGGAGGTTGCACTGAGCCGAGATCGCACCACTGTACTGTAGCCGGGGCAACAGAGTAAGATGCTGTCTCAAAAAAAAAAAAAAAAGAAAAAAAAGAAAAATTTGCTCCCAAATCCTTATATTTTGAATTGCTGATATATGGGAAAAGGTAGATTTTTTTTAATGGTAGAAAAAGTTAGTTACTAATACAGACTTCATATTATTACAAATAATGTGAAAGACTTCATCTTATTACAACTGAAGTAATGTGAAAGTTATTTGGACTCTTATTTACTATAGCATATTATGATGTTTGTAGGTCTTATGACCAAATCTTAGGACTCAGTACAGCACAGATTAAGAACTTGCAAATAATTCAATAGCAGGTATAGAATTTTAATTTTATTTTTTGTTTATTTTTGCTAGAAATTTAAAAGAGTAAAAGCCCATAATCTTAATCTTAACATCCTGAATGGACAGGTTTTTCCTTGGGTAGAAACAGCTTTTAAAAACAACAATTTTAAGAAATTAAGTTTCTTGGCCGGGTGCGGTGGCTCACGCCTATAATCCCAGCACTTTTGGAGGCCAAGGCGGGTGGATCACCTGAGGTCAGGAGTTTGGGACCAGCCTGGCCAACATGGTGAAACCTCATCTCTACTAAAAAGACAAAAATCACCTGGATGTGGTGGTGGGCACCTGTAATCCTAGCTACTCAGGAGGCTGAGGCATGAAAATTGCTTGAACCCAGGAGGCAGGGGTTGCAGTGAGCCGAGATTGTGCCACTGCACTCCAGCCTGGGTGACAGAGTGAGACTTTGTCTCAAAAAAAAAAAAAAAAGAAATTAAGTTTAATAATGTTTTAATGGCTGGATTAAAAAAAAGAGATGTTATTCATCCAAAGGATCTTTATTTTTTATATCAAGAAGAAAAGTTGTAGTATAAATATAATTTTGTTTGTTTCAATCATTTATTTTACCTGTATTTAGTTCATCTTGTCTTATAGTTAACAGTAATAACACTAAAAATATTCTCTATTTCAGACATTTGAATTAAATGAACTGACTTCTCCACCTTTTTTTAAAATCAGATACAAACTACTAAACTAAAAAGCAAACACAGCTCAGGGAAAGACAATCAGTGCAAGAGGAAAACCAAGCAGTGTCTTCTACGTGGCAGAAATAAAGCCTATGACTAATCATTACGAATTCAAATCCATGTCAACCTAATTTCATAAATCTTAACTATTTTAATTGTGGGTATCTATTTTAAAGGAAGCTAGAGGATTATGCAAAACGGTAAGATTTTCAATTCATAAACTCAGTTTTTATGGATGGGGTTTCTTTTCTTTGGGATTGATGGAAAAATTTGTTATTCTCTTGGTTTCACTTTTCTCATTTGTATATTAGTCCAACACTGTTTTGTTTCTAACATTGGAGAATGTGAGGTCATTCAAGGTAGGGACTGTGTTCATTTCATCTTTTGTTCTAGCTGAGTACCTGGTGCTGAGAGACAGTATTTATTGAATCAGTGTGTCATTTTCAAACAGGTTAAAAAAAATCCATGTACTTTTAAAAATAAAAAAGAAACTACAGACAGTCCCCATCCAGAGAATGGTTTGACTTTTTAAAAGCCATCACTTATTTTCTAAATGCTGCCAGTCATGCTACAGCATGTTTTTTATCCATTATCTCACTTAATCTTCACAGTAATATGAGGGACACTACTATTTTCCCCTGTTTTACAGGTGGTGAAAGTGAAGCTTAGAGGTTAAAGTTACTTGTCCAAGTCACACAGCTAGAAAATGGTGGAGATGATCTTTGAACCCAAGAAGCCCAACAGCCAAGCTAAACGCAAATTTGCGATTCACATTAGAACTCATGCTTTTAAATTCAGAATAAGGGTAGTTAGGTTTTTTTAAAGCAATGGAAATCTATTTAACTCAAATTTCACACAAATAGTACTGGTTTTTCTACTGTGAACTGAGAATATCTCTTATCTCCATCTTTCCCTTCCTGGCCCACAAGCAACCCTCTAGAACTGTGCAGTCCCATATGATGGCCAGTAGGCATATATGGCTATTGAGCACCTGCAATGTAGCTAGTGTGACTGAGAAGCTGAATTTTAGATTATTTTTAATAAATGTAAATTCTAATTTTAAAACTAGAACAGTGTAGAATATTTTTCCATTAAACACAACTTTATTGTTTTGGTAGGGCTACATTTTTCACTTCAACTGTTGAAAATCTAGTGTCCAAATTGAGATATACCATAAGTGTAAAATATACGCCAGATTTGGAAGTCTTTGAGAAAAAAAGAATGTAAAATATTTAATGTGTATTATATTGATTATATGTTTAAATGATAATATTTGAATATATTGGTTAAATAAAAATATTTAAGGATTAATTTAATCTTTCTTTTTACTCTTTTGATGTGCCTGTTAAGCAATGTGTCACAAATTACACACAAAAAAATGTGGCTCATGATAGATTTCCATCAGACAGCACTGCTCTAGAGAAAAACCATCTACCTAGTCTCTTGGCCCACAGCCTAGGGAATTCCTCCTCCTCCTCTCCCTGCTGTTCCAAAGACAGAAGAAGTTTGTTTCCAACCTTCACAATCAGGAGTGAAAACAGAGATTCCATGAAACCAAGAGGAGACTAACGTTTTTAAGTTAGGTATATACGTAAACCAACAGTTTCTAATTTGGAGATGGCTATAGCATCATAGAAACTGTTTTCTTCATACAGATTATCTGTAACTTTTACTTTTGTTCACTTGGGGGGAAAAAGATTAATAAATTGATTCTTACAGGTAGAAAGCTATAACTATGAGTTATAACTTTCTATTTGTATCTAGCAACACAATCCTTCAAAAGGCAGCATACACTGTAGTTGGTGTACAACCACCCTGGAAAAGAGTTTGGAAAATTAAGTTAAGACATATGATCAGCTGGATGTGGTCTCTCATGCCTATAATCCCAGCACTTTGGGCGGCTGAGGCAGGAGGATTGCTTGGGCCCAGTAGTTTGAGATCAGCCTGGGTAACAAAGTGATACCCTGTCTCCACAAAAAATAAGCTGGGTATGATGGCCCATATCTATAGTCCCAGCTATTCAGGAGACTGAGGATGGAAGATTGCTTGAGCTCAGGAGGTCGAGGCTGCAGTGACCCATGATCATGCCACTGTACTGCAGCCTGGGTGACAGAGCAAGACCCTCTCTCAAGAAAAAAAAAGATATATGATCAAATTTCAAAAAAACTAAAAACATGTTCACAAGACATATATTCAAAATAAGACTCGTACACAAAGAGTCATAGTTTTGTTCATAATAGCAAAAAACTAGAAACACCAAAATGCCCATCAACAGGTGAATGACTAAACAAATTGTCGTATGGTCATACAGTGATACTACTTAGCAACAAAAAGAAACTTAACTATGGAATACAAAAGTCCTCCCTTATCCACAGTTGTGCTTTCCACAGTTTCAGTTACCTGTGGTCAAAAAATATTAAATAGTTCCAGAAATAAATAATTCATAGGTTTTAAATTGCATGCGATTCTAAGTAGCATGATGAAATCTCACACCATCCCACCTGGAACAGGAATCATCCCCTTGCAGCTATCCAGGCTGTATATGTTACCTGCCCCTTAGTCAGTAGCCTTCTCGATGATCAGATTGAAAAACACAGTGTATACAGGGTTCCGTACCATCCAAGGTTTCAGGCATCACGAGGGATCTTGGAAGATATCCCCTGAAGATGAGGGGTGGGTGGACTACTGTAAATGCAACAACACATGGGTGAACCTTAGAAACAGGTTGGTTACATGCTATATAATTCCTTTTATATGAAGATTTAGGAGACAAAACTAATTTATAAAGACAAATCAGATTAGTGGTTGCCTGGGGTTGTGGGTAGCCAGGAGGATATTGACTGCAAAGTAGTTTGAGGAAACTTTTTAAGGTGATGAAAATGTTCTTATTTTTTTTTGAGACAGGATCTTGTTCTGAAGTGCAGTGGCACTGTAACCTCATACTCCTGGGCTCAAGTGATCTTCCCACCTCAGCCTCTGAAGTAGCTTGAACTACAGGCATATGCCACCATATGCAGCTAATTTTTAAATTTTTCTGTAGAGACAGGGTCTTGCTATGTTGCCCAGACTGGTCTCAACCCTGTGGCCTTTAGTGATTTTCTCGCCTCAGCCTGAGCCACTGGGTCCAGCCTGACGTAAATATTCTATCTCCTGATTGCGGTGGTGGTTACATTAGTGTGTATATTTATCCAACTAAATACTTTAAAATAGGTGCCTTTTTTGCATATAAATTATACCTCAATAGGCCAAGCTCAGTGGCTCACGCCTGTAATCCCAGCACTTTGGGAGGCCGAGGTGGGCGGAGCACTTGAGGTCGGAGTTAGAGACCAGCCTGGCCAACATGGTGAAATCCTGTCTCTATTAAAAACACAAAAAAATTAACTGGGCATGGTGGTGGGTGCCTGTAATCCTAGCTACTAGGGAGGCTGAGGTAGGAGAATTGCTTGAACCTGGGAGGCAGAGGTTGCAGTGAGCTGAGATCATGCCACTGTACTCCAGCCTGGGTGACAGGGTGAGACTGTGTCTTTAAAAAAAAAAAAAAAAATTAACATGATAATTTGTGTCTATAGTACTTATCACACATTAGATTATCTGGTGGTTTTAAAAATATGTCTACAAATGCTTTATTCTCCTCCCTTCAAGGGATGGAGCCTATTGCTTCCTTTGGGTACAGATTGGACTTAGCGCCTTGCTTCTAGACAATAAGATGGCAGTGGTGGTGTGTGGTTTTGGAGACTAGGTCATAAAACAGCCCATAGTTTCTGTCTTTGTTGCTCCCTCTCTTAAGTCATTTGCCCTGGTGGAAGCCAGCTGTCACATCCTTAGATCATTTGCCTTGGGGGAAACCAGCTGTTCCTTACGACAAGAAACAGAGGCCAAGTCTTATGACAAGGAACAAGGCCAAATGACAAGGACAGAGACCTCTAGCTAACAGGTATGTGAGTGAGACTCCTGGAGGCAGATCCTTTAGTCCCAGTCATGCCTTCAGGTGACTGCAGTCCAGAGCTGACATCCTGCTTTTAACCTCAGAGCCACCCAGTTAAGCTGCTTCTGGCTTCCTGACCTGCAGCAAGGGAGAAATTACATTTGCATGTAATTTTGTATCACAAAATCTCATTTATCTCTACTTCTACTATTAAAAGAGCTTGTCCTTCTGTGTATATTTTAGATAAGAACTTATGAAATGTTGACTAAACTGCTGAACACCCTTTGAAATCGCTCCATTTTCTTCATTAAAGTGAATTCTCACATTTTACCAAGATCCTAGGTATATTCATAGCCTATATTCAGTCTAAACTTAAAAGGAAAAAAAATCAGTGCATTTTTATGCGTGTTGCCAAACTGTTCTCAGCTCTCCAGTGCCCTGAGCTGAGATAACAAGGCTTGGGAGACTTGTGTGCTGTTCTGCCTTCCTGCATTTGCTTGAAGTGTTACCCAGAGGCCATGAGGCCTGAAAGCTTTTAGTCTAAATATTTAGTCAGGTCCTAGCACCA
This sequence comes from Homo sapiens, assembly GCF_000001405.40. Classification (NCBI taxonomy): domain Eukaryota; kingdom Metazoa; phylum Chordata; class Mammalia; order Primates; family Hominidae; genus Homo; species Homo sapiens. Next base: position 67,232,936 of record NC_000014.9, read on the forward strand.
GCTACAGATTTACACAGCTACAAATTTAAAACCATTTATATTTCCAAATATGGTTTTAAAAGTTCTTCTAAAATTATTCTGGAAAATAGAAAAAAAAGAAAACAGTATCTATTTTCTCCAAGAGCCCTAAAAGGGATCCACTGTGCTGTTCCCATGTCTCCATTCCACCAACACATTTTTATTTTATTTTATTTTATTTTATTTTATTTTATTTTATTTTTTTGGAGACATAGTCTCACTCTGTCACTCAGGCTGGAGTGCAGTGGTGCAATCTCAGCTCACTGCAACATCTGCCTCCCAGGTCCAAGTGATTCTCCTGCCTCAGCCTCCCAAGTAGCTGGGACTATAGGCATGTGCCACCACGCCCGGCTAAATTTTGTATTTTTTGTAGAGACAGGGTTTTACCATGTTGCCCAGGCTGGTCATGAACTCATGAGTTCAGGCAATCTGCCCACCTTGGCTTCCCAACACACTTTTAAAAACCTGGTGGAATACCAATACCTATTCCAATTCTGCCATAGTCTATCACATGAGAAGGTAGGGCTTTTCCGTGAGAAAGAAATTTGCAAAGCCTCAGATAATCTGCTTCTACTGACAGGTTTTACAAGTTTCTAGTTAGCACTACCTCCTATATCTGATCTGTAATTTCCATCTGAAACTCCCTTCCTCTGGCTGACTTCCCCCAGTCTGTCTCATGACAGGTGGGAAGAAACCTAGTGCAACAATCCAGGCAAAAGATGATGATGGCCTGGAGGAGGGTGGTAGCAGTGGGGATGGGGAGAAGTGGTTAGATTCTGGATATATTTTGAAGGTAGATAAACAGGATTTCCTGATGGGTTGAACGTGCCATGTGAAAGAACACCTGGATAACTGGAAACTGTGTCAGAATCAATAGTTCTGCCATGTAAAATTTGCAATACTCATTAGAAATCTAAATGAAGATTCCGGCTGATAGTTGAATACAGGATTCTGGAATTCAGGGCAGAAGTTCAGACTAAAGATAAATTTGGAGTAAACAGTATATAGATGAAATTTGAAGCCATGAGATCAGATGAAAGGGAGTGAGTGATAAAGAACATCATGATAAAAATAAAGACAAACAGTTAATACATACTATGTCCAGCACTGTTCTAAGCACTGTCATATATAAATTCAGTTTGTCTTCACAAGCACTGTAGGAGGTAGCTACTTTTATTATACTCATTTTATAAATAAGGAAGCTGAATTTCAGAGAAATTAACTGACTTTCTTCTAATCAGACAGCTAGCAATTGACAGAGCTGGGATTCAAACCCAGGCAAAGAGAGAAGTAAAATATTCAATTTTAGAGCTTTGGGACACTCCAAATATTAGCATACAAAGAGATAAATAAGAGCCAGCAAAGGGTTCTAAGGAGGAGGTTCCAGTGAGTTGGGAAGGGAAGTAAGAATGGTGTTTCAGAAGCCCAGAGAAGAAAATGGAGAAAATTATCAGCTTCATCAGATACTGCAGACAGGTCACATAGGATGACTGAAAACTGACTTTTGCATTTAACGAAGTGGCTGAAATCAGTGACTTTACATGTCAAGTTGAGTGAGTTCAAGAGAGAATAGGAGAAGAGACATTAGAGTTCCACTCTTTGCTTGTTTGTTTTGAAATAGAGTCTCACTCTGTCCCCCAGGCTGGAGTGCCGTGGTGCGATCTTGGCTCACTGCAACTTCCTCCCACTGGGTTCAAGCGATTCTCCTGCCTCACCCTCCCTAGTAGCTGGGATTATAGGCTTGCACTACCAAGCCTAGCTAATTTTTGTATTTTTTGTAGAGATGGGGTTTTGCCATGTTGGCCAGGCTGGTCTCGAACTCCTGACCTCAGGTGATCCACCCGCCTCAGCCTCCCAAAGTGCTATGCTAACAGGCGGGAACCACTGCGCCCGGCCTACAGTTCCACACTTTAAAGTTCAGGCCGGGTGCGGTGGCTCATGCCTGTAATCCCAGCACTTTAGGAGGCTGAGATGGGTGGATCACCTGAGGTCAGGAGCTGGAGACCAGCCTGGCCAACATGGCAAAACCCTGCCTCTACTAAAAGTACAAAAATTTGCTGAGCATGGTGGCACACACCTGTAATCCCAGCTACTAGGGAGGCTGAGGCAGGAGAATCTCTGGAACCCAGCAGGGAGAGGTTGCAGTGAGCTGAGATCACGCCACTGCATGCCAGCCTGGGTGACAAGAGCAAAACTCCGTCTCAAAAAAAAAAAAGTTCAGGCCAGATACCATCCAGACCCAGTCAGTCACAGGTATTCACATGTAAATATTAATTAAAGTAGCACTGAAATTTTTCACACAAAACAAAAGTGTGATTGGGAGCTTGGTGAGGAAAAGATATAGGTAATTTTATAGCCCTTTTCAAGCAGAACAAACTTCGTCTCCTCTTTCTTAACATTTGGGCTTGATCTTTCCTTCATTATAAATTTTTCCAAGCCCTAAATTACCTACATCCTCTCTCGGAAATAAAATTTCTCAGGGCCAGGCGCGGTGGCTCACGCTTGTAATCCCAGCACTTTGGGAGGCCGAGGCGGGCGGATCACGAGGTCAGGAAATCGAGACCATCCTGGCTAACACGGTGAAACCCTGTCTCTACTAAAAATACAAAAAATTAACCAGGCTTGGTGGCAGGCACCTGTAGTCCCAGCTACTCAGGAGGCTGAGGCAGCAGAATGGCGTGAACCCACGAGGCAGAGCTCGCAGTGAGTCGAGATCGCGCCACTGCACTGCAGCCTGGGTGACAGAGTGAGACTCCATCTCAAAAAAAAAAAAATTCTCATAGACCCTATTTTATTTCTTGACACATCTCCAGACTGGCATAGGACCACTCAGATGGGTACAAATAAAAGAATGATAAATGATTGACATTCTAAATATTGAATATCCTACCCTGAGGCTTTTGTTGACTCTTGTTTCCATATTAAGCTCATGCTTCTTTTCTCTGTTTATATCACTCAGTCATTCACATTTAGAAAAAGTTTTATGTGTGTCTTTTTAAAATTTTTAAATTAAATTGATAAAAATTAGATATATTTATGACATACAACATAGTATTCTGAAATATGTTTACATTGTGGAATGGCTAAATCAAGCTAATTAACATTACCTCGCATACCATTTGTTTTGTGGTGAGAACATTTAAAATCTAGTCTCTTAAGTATACTAAAGTATACTATACATTGTTATTAACTATATACTCACCATGTTGTACAAATAGAGCTCTTGAACTTATTCCTCCTAACTGAAATTTTGTATCCTTTGACCAACATCTCCCCACTCCTCCCTCCAACTCATGTCTATTTTTTTAAAGCCATGTATAAGATCCTGATTTTCCTATTATTGTGAGTACTTTCAGAGCAGTTTATTCACTGTTCCCACCCGCACCTTCACTAGATAGTAAAGCTCCTCCTGGTATAAGACCTTTTCTTTCTTTGAGTCTAGCACACTTATGTTCATTCACCATGCTTTTCCTTGTATTTTATTTGTCTTATCGTGTCCTTTTTCCTACCTTTCCTGTTCCTCTAGGATAAGGACTGTCACACAGATTTCAGTGCCTATAGCACAATGCTTAGCCCATTAAATGAGTGAATAGTTGTTAAAGCCAATTAGGTTGAATAATACTAACCTGTACTGAATTACACTGGTGCAGATAGTGGGACCTTCCATTCCATATGACAACTGTATAATGTTCTTAGCTCAGGGATATACTATATTTAGCTAGATTTATGAAAGTTTAAATCCTCCTATAAAACATCTAAATAAGAATAACCCAATTAAATTAGAAAAGTTCATTGTTTGTTGGTTTGCTTTTTGTTATTTTATTATTTTATTTTATTTTATTTTAGATATTTGGCCAGACACGGTGGCTCATGCCTGTAATCCCAGCACTTTGGGAGGCCGAGGTGGGCAAATCATTTTAGGTCAGGGGTTCGAGAACAGCCTGGCCAACATGGTGAAACCCTGTCTCTACTAAAAATTCAAAAAAAATTAGCCGGGCATGGTGGCAGGTGCCTGTAATCCCAGCTACTGGGAGGCTGAGGCAGGAAAACCGCTTGAACCCGGGAGGCGGAGGTTGCAGTGAGCCAAGATCACACCACTGTACTCCAGCCTGGGTGACTGAGCAAGACTCCATCTCAAAAAACGAAAATATATTATATATATATATTTATTTACTAGAACTACTATTCGTAGGTAATTTTTGTTTCATAATTTCTCTTTTATCTGAGTTACTGAGTATTCTGCTTTTATTATACATTATCTCTGATCATCTGGTTCATACAATTATGTGATTAGGCTACTAATTCACTTATGAAAATTCTAAGTACTAATTCACTGAGGTACTAGTGAAAGCCAAGTTATGAAAACCATACTAGTGAAGACCTGGTTTTCACTAGTACAAAGAGGACATATAATAGCCTTAGTTAAGGCTACATAATTTGATATATAATAGGGAATAATAAATCTTGAAAACAAAAATTTCAGAACTTTTTACAAGTGGCTGAAATGCAACATGAATATGTTTCCTCCAAAACTTTTTTTTTTTAATTTTTAGAGAAGGGGGTCTTGCTGTGTTGCCCAGGTTGGACTTGAATTCCTAGGCTCAAACAATCCTCCCATCTTAGCCCCCTGATTAGATGACAGGCACATGCCACCATGACTGGCTTCCCAAAACTTTTAATGAAATAAAATAGTGTGGTATTTTATTACATAAACATTTAATAAGGGATATTGACAGACAATGGGCTAAGCAGATGACAAGATGAGGAAGAAGGGAGGGTATTTACTATGGTGACTGTCCACCTTACTCCTGGTTTTACAGTTAGGCTTTCACTACTCATCCATAATATTTAGTTACAAATTTGTTAGAGTGACTCAGCAGGTGAACTGCTTTCTGACGAGGATGAACAGCCCTTCTGACAGGGGGGTTTAAACCACAGATTGTCCATTTCATTCTATTTTGGGGGGAATATTATATTCTCTTAACCTCCTATGCTATCCATGTTAGACTCTATATGCAGAGGCTACCAAATCCTAAAACTAGGGGGAAAAAAGTAGTTAACCCCTTTACATTATAGATGAGAAAATTTAGGTCCAGGAAGCTTGTCACACATCTAAATCACAGAACTAGCTAGCAGCAAAGCTAAAACTTAATCTAATTACCATGCCTCCAGTTTCTATACCTTTCACTCTTTCAGCTACCCTTCAGTTTTTGCATATATACCAGTAATTTGTATGACTTGGAGATTCTGGGATTGGCTCAATTCACCAGAAAATAGATTTCTTTTTTCTTTTCTTTCTTTCTCTTTCTTGCTTTCTTTTTTTTTTTTTTTTTTAGACACGGTCTTGCTCTGTTGCTCAGGCTAGAGTGCAGTGACACAATCACAGCTCACTGCAGCCTAGATCTCCTGGGCTCAAGGGATCCTCCCATCTCAGCTTCCCAAGTAGCCAGGACTACAGGAGCGTGCCACCACACCCAGCTAATTGTTAAATTTTTTTGTAGAGACGGGGTCTCCCCATGTTGACCAGGCTGGTTTTGAATTCTTGGGCTCAAGCAATCCTCCCGCTTTGGCATCCCAAAGTGTTGGGATCACAGGTGTGAGTTACTGCACCTGACCCACTAGAGAGTAGATTTGTTATTTGCTGTAGGATCTGCCCTCTTTTAACATGAAAATATCTTTAGGAGGTAAAATAATAACTTTTTTTTTTTGAGACAGGGTCTCACTCTATTGCCCAGGCTGGAGTGCAGTGGTGTGATCTCAGCTTACTGCAGCATCGACCTCCCAGGCTTAGATGATCCTCCTGCCTCAGCCTCCCAAGTAGCTGGGATTATAAGCACACACCATCATGCCCAGCTAATTTTGTATTTTTTGTAGAGATGGGTTTTTGCCATGTTGCCAAGGCTGGTTTTGAACTCCTGGGGTCAAGGGATCCATACACCTTGGCATCCCAAAGTGCTGGGATTACAGGTGTAAGCCACCATGCCAGGCCATAACTAATATTTTTATAGCACTTCTTTTCCTGAAAAAAATGCCCTTCTGAATTGTTATAGCACTTTAAAAAGGAATTTCACATATTTTGAGATAAGCAGCTGGTCTGCTATCTCACACTCATACTAATAATTATTTTATTATGGTGGGGTCCTGTATGGGAATCTAAGCAGCTGAGGAAGCAAGGCTAGGTACTTGGCGGGTTCATTTGGGTGGAGGCTTTTTTTGTGTGTGTGTTTTGTTGTTTTGTAAAACTGCCTGGGGCCAAGAGATTGGAAGTTACGGATAAAGATATACTATCTTTCCAAAGAGGTCCTTTCTTTGAACAGCTAGATCTGCAGTCCTTACCTGAAGATGATTTTGCTCATTCCTCCCCATGACCTTTGGTGATGTCTGGAGACATTTTTGATTGTCACATTGGGGAGGGTGATGCTACTGGCACGTAGTGGGTAGAGGCTGGGGATGCTTCTAAACATCCTATGATGCACAGGACAGTCCCCACAAGAATTATCCAGCCCAAATGTCAATAGTGCCAAGGATGAGAAATTATAAGCTAGAGAAAGAAGAATTCATTGACGAGCTGGAGGAAGCTTCTTGAATTATTATTTATGTTATATATTTAAGAACTTAGAGGCGGGGCACGGTTGCTCACGCCTGTAATCCTAGCACTTTGGAAGGCTGAGAAAGGTGGATCACCTGAGGTCAGGTGTTCAAGACCAGCTTGGCCAATGTGGCGAAACCCCGTCTCTACTAACAATACAAAAATTAGCCGGGCGTGGTGGCTGGCACCTGTAATCCCAGATACTGGGGAGGCTGAGGGAGGAGTATCGCTTGAACCCGGGGAGCGGAGGTTGCAGTGAGCCGAGATTGCGCCACTTTACTCCAGCCTGGGCAAAAGAGCGAAACTCCGTCTCAAACAAAAACAAAAACAAAAGAACTTAGAAAAGGAAGTAAGTCACACACAGTAACCGTTTTTTCTTTTGGGGTATGGCTAGTAGTTTCTAGGAATCCTGGAGACTTTATCTGGATTTCAGTTAGGCATTTCACCAGTTCTCATGGCATCTTTATGGAGGAATATGGGCCAAGAAGACAGTTCGGTTGTGTCGTCCACCTGTATTCGAAGCCTACTGAGAAATTTTTGATGGCAGGAGCATTAAGGTCTTTAGTGGCATGCAGCAGAGTTCTGTCCTCCGCTCTGTCTTATTAAACACTTGGACAGAATGCTGATCAGATTTGAGAAGGATAACAAATCTGGGAAGGGTAGGCATCCCCAAAGATCTTCACCACCAGGAACAACGGTTTGCTTCGTTCAGGCCATCACAGTGTCCTTAGTGAGGGACACCACAACCCATAGGCTGTCCAGAGGAGCGTAATGGGGAAGAATGTGAAAGAGCTTGAAAATCAGGACCTGAGGACATTGCGAGATGGAAAAACACCGTGGGACAAAATGAGGAAAACCGAGAGAAATGGAAATGGCATATACGAAGGCTTTGAGGGAGGACTGTGCCCCTGGGGGAAACTGTGCCCCCGGGCTGGAGTCACAGGCATAGTTTGGCCTCATAGAAGGAGAGGTCGATTAACAAACCTTGCAAGTGTTCAAATGTGGAATGGGCTTGCTCGGAAGGTACTGTCAAGACAGAGACCATCCGAGGGCTTTTATTGCAAGTGTCGAGACACATTGCTGGTGTTTCTCCTTAGAACGTCCTCCAATCTGCTCTGACTTCCGCCCGCACCCGCCTGAGTCCTGCCCCATTCCAAGGGTGGCACATCCAGGTCCCGAGGGCGCCAGCCATGCCCGGAGCACGGGCTGATCTGCGTAACTCTGTCCCTTCGGGAGACTTCTGGGAAATAGTTCTAGTCCTTGCTATCCTTGCTTTCTGGTTTTCAGAAATCAGTGCAGCTGCTGGCTTTATGCAGTCTTCTGCGGGACACTGCACACATCCAGGTGTTTATGTCATTTTTTAAAAAAAACAAATGTTAGATTGGGTGACTAACTTGACAGGACATGAGGAATCTCTTCAAGAGGAATCAGATTTTCTTCAGGATACGTCATCCAGAGACAAGAGCCAAGGGATGTAGAAACCCAGGGAAGCCTCGCGTCCCCACAAAGCCCGCCGGCCAAATCCCGAAGGGGCTCTACCGGGCCAGCTAGCCCGGAGCAGTCCGCGTTTTAGACTTAGAGGCGCGCGACTGCGCGCACCCGGCTGGAGCTGCGGAGAGGACCAATGAGCGGGCGCTCTCTCCGCTCCGGCTCGGGATTGGGCAAGCCGCGCCAGCCTCTCACGGGCGGGGTGGGACTCGGATCCGCGCGCCCACTGCGCCAGAGTCCCGGGGGCGCGTGCGCGGTCTCGCGGCGGCCGCAGGGGCCGGTCTCGCGCGGTCTAGAAGTGGAGTTGCTGGCGGCTGCGGCGGTGACGGCGGCGACGGAGGAGGCAGGCGGTGGGGCGGGGGCGGGGACTAAGGATTCTGAGGTGGGGAGTCGGGAGTTTCTGGATTCTTTATCCGGAATTTCAAGGGCCGCCGGAGGGCTGTCGCTTCTGCAGTGCGTAGGAGCGGCCGGGGCGGGAGGCTCCGCGGAGCCGAGGCGTGGAGGTAAGAGGCGGATCGGCGGCGGCTGGGCTGTAGAGATCTTAATCAACAGGTCCCTGGGAGCGCGGCGGGGGAGGGGCGGGCGGCCGGGCTCCCCTTCCCCCACACGCTGCGCAAACTCCGGCCAGCGGGAGACCCCTGGCAGCCAGGCGGGCTTCCTCAGGCGCGCGAGCTGCGGCCGTGGAGGGTGTGAGCCCAACCTTTGTCCCTCGGAGCAACGCTGCCTGCGCGGTGCCCGCTCCTTCTGCTTGGCTGGGCATGCACCTTGGCGCGGGCCACAGCCAGCCGAGCCCGAGGTGCAGGGGGCGCGGCGGGGAGTCGTCTGCCCCCTGCGCCCTCTCTCCGAGGTCGCGACGCGCGGGACTCTCCCGGCCGGGTCTGGGAAATCGGCGAGGGAACGCTTTCCTTTAGAAGTCAGAATGTAGTCAGCGTTCCTCTGCCTGACTCAGCTGCTGGTATTCTGCTGCTCATTGCGTTCTTAAACACGCAAACAGTTCCTGCTTCCTTGTGACCACTTTAAAAGAAAAGCCTAGTTTTGTTCATGGTTTCTGATACTTTAAGGTTGCACGTTGAACTTTGAAGCATGTAAATTGTTATAACCTACGTTTAATGAAGTTTGCTTTAAACGATCTTTGTAGTAAATTATGTAACTTTCTAATGATCATAACTCACCTTCTGTTGATTGACATACAGTAATGTGTACGGAATGTAGGTTTCGGTCAAAAGGTTTTTCTTGGCAGTTTATGCTAAAATTAAAATCTGATGGCTAGGAAGTTTTTAGATGTAGTATGGAGTGTGTGTTTTGTCTCCATACTCGTTTAGAATAGTAAGAATTTAGATTTGGAAAGTCAGTTGAACAAAAATTTTGAAATTTTGATTTGACTGACGCAGTGAAAGGTGTTAATATTTCTGATTTTTTAAAAAAGCAATATCATGTTTTAATGATAGTTTACTAATTATGCTTTTGGATTATACCAGAAGTTAATAACCTGTTAAATTATGCAATAGGAACAAATGACGTGTTGGTTATTGGTGTCTTTGAAGTATTGGTGGTAATGAAACTTATTAAATAAGCTTCCTTGAATTAAGAACTACGATTTTTTTTTTTTACTAGATCCCTGTGGACATAGCTATTGTGGATAGGTTTTATAGGCTTTCTATTTGCGGCAGGATGAGCTATTAAATTATAATGTAAGAGATTTATAGATAAAACAGGCAAAAATAGGAAAAGCAATTCATTATTTTATCTTTAAAAATCTGGTAAATTTTACCATGTACCTGAATTAGTTTTGGCAAGACGGACTTGAACTTGACAAATTAAGGTGGATTGATTAACATTAATTTGTTTTAGAATGTTAAAACGGGAGAGAATATATAAGTTCTACTTGAGGGTGACCCAAGTCAGTACAGTGGGTTTAGCTTTTACATGATCTTGAATTATGATTTTGATTAAAAATCTCATCACAGGGGCACGTGTTTTCAGGATCTCCTGAGGGCTGTGTCATGGAAAAAATAAAATTTATCACCCATTCCAAGAAATTTGATCAATTTTATATATTATTTACTGAAATGCCCTATTTCTCTGATATTTTCTGATTTCAGAGTGTCTAGAAAAAAATAGTATCTTGACATATGTGCTTATATAGAATATAATTGTCTTTTCTTTTTTTTTTTGTGAGACATAGTCTCGCTCTTGCCCAGGCTGGAGTGTAGTGGCGCGATCTTGGCTCACTGCAGTCTCCACCTCCCTGGTTCAAGTGATTCTCCTGCTCTCAGCCTCCCGACTAGCTGGGACTACAGGTGCTCGCCACCACACCTGGCTAATTTTTGTATTTTTAGTAGAGACGGGGTTTCACCATGTTGGCCAGGCTGGCCTCGAACTCCTGACCTCAGGTGATCCACCCGCCTCGGCCTCCTGAAATGCTGGGATTACAGGCGTGAGCCACCGCCAGAATATAATTTTTTTTTTTTTTTTTTTTTGAGACGGAGTCTCGCGCTGTCGCCCAGGCTGGAGTGCAGTGGCGCAATCTCGGCTCACTGCAAGCTCTGCCTCCCGGGTTCACGCCATTTTTCTGCCTCAGCCTCCCGAGTAGTTGGGACTACAGGTGCCCGCCACCACGCCTGCTAATTTTTTGTATTTTTTTTTTAGTAGAGACGGGTTTTCACCGTGTTAGCCAGGATGATCTCAATCTCCTGACCTCGTGATCCGCCCGCCTCGCCCTCCCAAAGTGCTGGGATTACAGGCGTGAGCCACCGCGCCCAGCCCTTATGATTTTTGATCATATACTTACTGAATCATAGGATCGTTGAGTTGGAAGTAATCTTAGTGGTTATATAGTCTAACCTCTTCATTTTCCATGAAAAAGAAAGTGAGGCTTGCAGGAGTTAAGTAATCCGTAGTCTGACTGCTAGTTAGGGGCAGACTTGGAACTACATGAATGCTAAAATGCTGTTCTCCATATTCTAAGTCTCCATATTCTAAATTCAGTGCTCTTCTCAGGATGTCTCATTGTTAGATAAACCAATAAGTTGCCTTTTCCAAATCACTTAACTGGCAGGATTCTTTCTGTCATGGATTTTTTCCGTTTTCTTTTTTAATAACTACTAACTGCAATTCATTCCCCTACTGAAGAATTTTCAGTTTTTTAATATTTCAAACAATGTTTAATGAATATCTTTGTGTATGTCTCCTTGAGCGCATGTGTGGACGCTTTCCTAGAATGTATGTATACCTACCTATAAGTGGAATTGCTGATAATAGGTTGATATGTGTTTTCAACATTACTAGCTACAGCCAAATTACCCTTTTTAATGCTGTAATCATTTACATTCCTGCAAACAGTATGAGTGACAGTGGCTTCACATTCTTGCCCACACTGGGCATCGTAAGATTTTAAAATTTTTGCTAATCTGGTGGATGAGAAATGATATAATTGCTTCTTTTCTTTAAAAAATATTTAACTCTAATTTACATGAAATGAAGTTAACTTTTCATTGTACAATTCCAACTCAGAGAGCTGTGCAACTACCACAATCAAGGTAAAGAACAGTTCCATCACCTATCCATTCACCAGTTGAAGGACATTTGAGTTGTTTTCAGGTTTTTTGTGACTGAATAAAGTGGCTGTAAATCTTTGCAAATAGGTTTTTGTGTAAACCTAAGTTTTTGTTTCTCTTAAGTAGATGGAATATGGTAGGTATAGCCTAATTTTATCTTAAAATTAAAAAAAGACCTATCTGTGGTAGACAGAATAAAGGTCTTCAAAGATATCCTAATCCCTGGAACCTGTGAATATGTTTGCTTAAGTGGCAAAGGCTTATTTAGGTTGCTAATCAGATGACTTTAGGGAGATTATTGTGGATTATTCAGGTGGTCCCAGTGTATCACAGAATCTTTAAAAAAGGAAAGAGAGAGGCAGAAGAGTAGAGTCAGGAAAAAAAGATGTAACAATTGGTCAGAGAAGTGCAAAGTTGCTGGCTTTGAAGATGGAGGAGAGCAGGCCACAAACTAAGGAATATGAGTGGTGTCTAGAATCTTGAAGAGGCTCCAGAAAAGAAAGCAGCCCTGCCAGTAATTTTAGCCAAGGGAGACATATGCCAGATTTCTAACCTATAGGACTGTAAAATAATTTCTGTTGTTTTAAGCCACTAAATTTGTGGCAATTTGTTACATTGGCATAGGAAACTAATACATTGTCAGGCTGGGTTTGAAGTGGCTGAACCACTTTGCATTTCCACCAGCAATATATGAGAGGTCAGTTGCTTTACATTCCTGTCAGCACTTGGTATGGTCAGTCTTTAGATTTAGCCATTTTAGTAGTATCTCGTTGGGATTTTTCTTTGCATTTCCCCCATGACTGAGGATGTTGAGCATCTTTTCATGTGCTTATTTGCCATCTGTTTATCTTTGGTAAAGTGTCTGAAACTTTTGCCCATTTTTAAATTGGATTATTGTCTTATTGCTGAATTTATTATTATCTTATTATTTTTTCCTTTTTTCTTTAGGGATGGGGTCTCACTATGTTTCCCAGGCTGGTCTCAGAACTCCTGGGCTCAAGTGATTCTCCTGCCTCAGCCTCCCAAAGTGGTGGGATAACACGCATGAGCCGCTGCCCCAAAAGTTTTATATAGTCCTTTATCTTTGTCAGATAAGTGATTTACGAAGGTTTTCTTCCACTCTGGCTTGCCTTTTCATCCTCATAACTTCTATACTTCATTACTTTTGAAGTATAGAATTTTATATTTTGAGAAAGTCCAAATTATTAATTTTTAAAATTTGAATATTGTATCTAAGAACTCTTTGCTCAATCCACGGTCAGAGAGATTTTTCTCCAATTTTTTTTTCCAAGTTTTATATTGTAATTTTATTTTTAGATCTATGTTCCATTTTGAGTTTATTTTTGTATAAAATGAGAGAAGTACAAGTTGTTTCACTTATTTGTTTGTCCAGTTCCATGACCATTTGTTTAAAACATGATCTTTTTCCCATTGTATTCCTCTTGTCTCTTTGTCAAAAGCTATTTGACTGCATTTGTTTGGGTTTGTTTATGGACTCTTCAATTGATCTATTTTGTCTATCCTTTTTATTTTTTATTTTTATTTTATTGTATTTATATTTTTATTTTTTATTTAGAGACAGGGTCTCTCTCTGTCCAGGCTGGAGTGCAGTGGTGTGATCTCTGCTCACTGCAGCCTTGGCCTCCCAGGTTCAAGCAATCCTCCCAAGTAGCTGGGACCACAGGCGTGCCACCGCACTTGGCTGATTTTTAAATTTATTTGTAGAGATAAGGTCTTGGCTATGTTGCCCAGACTGTATTATTTAAAAATTTTTTGAGACAGGGTCTCACTCTGTCACCCAGGCTGGAGTACAGTGGTGTGAATATGGCTCACTGCAGCCTCAACCTCCAGGACTCAAGCCATCCTCCCACTTTCCCCAGTGGCTGGTACTATAGGTACATGCCACCATGCCAGGCCGATTTTTAAAATTTTTTGTAGAGACAAGATCTCCCTATATTGCCCAAGCTGGTCTTGAGCAGCTGAGCACAAGGGATCCTTCCACCTCAACCTCCAAAAGTGCTAGGATTACAGGTGTTAGCCACTGAGCCTGGCCTACTATAGGTTTTTTTTTTTTTTTTTTTTGAGATGGAGTCTTGCTCTCTCGCCAGGCTGGAGTGCAGTGGCACGATATCAGCTCACTGCAACTTCCCGCCTCCTGGGTTCAAGTGATTCTCCTGCCTCAGCCTCCCAAGTAGCTGGGATTATAAGCGCGCACCACCACGCCCAGCTAATTTTTGTATTTTTAGTAGAGGCGGGGTTTCACCGTGTTGGCCAGGATGGTCTTGATCTCCTGACCTCGTGATCTGCCTGCCCCGGCTTCCCAAAGTGCTGGGATTACAGGCGTGAGCCACTGCACCCAGCCTACTATAGCTTTAAAATAAGTCTTCACATTAGGTAATGTGACTCTTCCACTGTATTCTTTTTCAAAATTGTTATGACTATTTTTAGTTCCTTTGCTTTCTGTATGATATTTAGAATCATCTTGATAATTTATACATTCTGTTGGGATTTTGATTGAGATTGTGTCTAATTTAGAGATCAACCTGAAGATAATTGACATCTTAATAATTTGAGTCTTCTCATCTATGAACATGCTATTTCTTTCCATTTATGTGAGTATTGTAGTTTTCAATATGCAGATCTTGCAAATACTTTATTAAGTCTATACCTAATTATTTTAATTTTTTGGTCCTATTGTAAATGGTAATCTAAAAAAATCAGATTCCAGTTGATCACTGATGGTATATAGAAATTAATTTTTGTATATTGACTTTGTATCCTGACTTTCTGCTAAACTCCCTTATTAGCTCTAGGAGCTTTTTTATTTTAGTAATTTTTTTTGGAATTTTCTAAGTAGACAGTCGTGCTCAAAACTTTTCTTTCCTTCTAGTCTGTATGCCTTTTATTTCTTTTCCTTAACTTGCTGTATTGTCTTGGTTAGGACTTCCACTGAGATGTCGAATAGGAGAGATGAGAAGTAGCATCTTTATCTTGTTCACTTTTTTTTTTTAAGATAGGGTCTCACTCTATCCCCAGGCTAAAGTGTAGTGGCGCAGCACTGCTCACGGCAGCCTCGACTTTCTGGGCTCAGTTGATTCTCCCATCTCAGCCTCTTGAGTAGCTGGGACCTACTGCAAGTGCCACTATGCCCAGCTAATTTTTTGTATTTTTAGTAGAGACAGGGCTTCACCATGTTGCCCAGGCTGGTCTCAAATTCCTGGGCTCAAGCGATCTGCCCACCTCAGCCTCCCAAAGTGCTGGGATTACAGGCATGAGTCACAGTGCCTGGCTTCTTGCTCACTTTCTTAAAGGAAAAGTATTCAGTCTTTCACTTTTAAAAAATGATATTAGCTGTAGGTCATTTTGTGCATTCTGTTAAGGAGGTTAAGGAGGTTTTCTTCTGTTCCTAGGTTACTGAGGGTTTGTTTTTTAAATCATGAATAGATGTTGAATTTTATCATATGCCTTTTCTGCATGTATTGAGATGATTGTGTGAACTTTTTTCTTTAATCTGTTAATATGGTGAATTACACTGATTTTTCAAATGTTGAACCATATTTGCATGTTTCTGGGACTAACTCTGGGGTTATTTTAAACAAAAATCATTTTGGATTTTTAAAAACTAATATACATTAACATTTATTCTTAAAAATGAAGGAGCAATGTCACATGCCTGTAGCCCCAGCCAATTGGGAGGCTGAGGTGGGAGGGTCGCTTGAGCCCAGGAGTTTGAGTCCAGCTGAGCAACATAACAAGATCTCTTTTCTTAAAAAAAAAAGGAAACCAAATATAAGATTTTGTGAACTAAAATACTTAATGAAGTCAGTAGAGTCAAGGTATTCATTAACAGTTACCTACCTACATTTTACATTTTAGTAGGACTTAAATTTTCTTGATTATGATATAACATTATAAAAATTAAAACATTTGGCTTTCTGTCTCATATAATTTTATAGTTTCTTCTTCAGTTAATAGTCTCAAACACCCTCAAAGACGTTGAAATTTTGAGGCCTCCAGGGTTCTTGGCATTTTGCTTCTTTAAGGCAGGGGTCAACAACTTTCGGTAAGTATTTTAGCTTCGTGGGCCATATTGTCTCTGTTGCAAGTACTCAGTTCTGTTGTTAGAGTGGCAGAGGTAGCCAAACAAATGAGCATGACTTTTCCAATAAAACTTTACTTATAAAAATAAGGTGTGCCTGATTTGACCTCTGGACTTAGTTTACATACCAACATTTTTATTTTATTTTTTTGAGATAGAGATGGGGTCTCACTGTGTTGCTCAGGCTGGTCTCGAACTCCATGACCCAAGTGATCCTCCCAAGTTGGCCTCCTAAAGTGCTGGGATTACAGGCATGAGCCACCACGCCTGGCCTACATACCAATTTTTTTTTTTGAGACCAAGTCTCACTCTGTCCCCCAGGCTGGAGTGCAATGGCATGATCTCAGCTCACTGCAACCTCTGCCTCCCGGGTTCAAGTTATTTTCCCTCCTCAGCCTCCCGAGTAGCTGGGATTACAGGCACCCGCCATCATGCCTGGCTAATTTTTGTATTTTTGTGGAGATGGGGCTTCACCATATTGGCCAGGCTGGTCTTGAACTCCTGACCTCAGGTGATTTGCACGTCTCGGCCTCCCAAAGTGCTGGGATTACAGGCGTGGGCCACCATGCTTGGCCTCATACCAATGTTTTAAGGCAAAAAATCAGCAGGAGAAATGACAGTAATTGTAGTAATGTAGTAAAAGGAAGCTTGGGGTATTTATTTCATGCTGTAATTCTAGGCCAAGCCTCACTTTTCTCACCTATGACATGTAGCCACCTTGAAAGATGATTGAAAAATTCAAGCTGAGATATGGAAAGCACCTAGCAAAATATCTGACACATAGCAGATACTTAATAAATATTCACTTATTCACTTTTTGTTTCAAGACTGCACAGTGCTTTGTCACAAACCAACAGATGTGAAATAATTAAGGAGAGTCAGGTTTTTACAGTTTGTAGTATATCTAATAAGTTCAAATATTAGAAATTTTAATTATGTGTCTATAGTTATCTTTTGAGTTATGCTTTTTTGATATAAATCATAATTGGCTTCACAATTTGAGAAACTTCACACAAAAAGTTGAGGATTTTGTGTGAAAACATTATATTTTGAGAGTTTTACATTGTCACAGAAAAGGTTTGAGAATGTAACTTAAAATACATTATTTTGTTTTGATGTAAGAAGTAGGCAATCTGTATTTTGCTTGTGTGTTTTAGAAGTGCCTTTAAGACTGCATTCGTTTAACGTGATTGCTTCCTATGAATGTAGTGAGCTAGGTGCTCTGCTAGGACTTGGTTGTACTTAGAGTATCCATATTTAGATACTCATTTTTGTGTTATGTTTGAAATGTAAGTAACGCTTCGGAAAGTCTTTTTTTCTGAGTTTCTATCAAGATAAAGCTGTTCTATTTTGTTTTTTATGAAGCTGGTTGAGATTCACTAGAGCGATTTTATGGCACACAAATGGGTCACATCCTACAACTTGAAAACCATTGATGTAGATAGACGAAAGTAACCCTTCTCCAAGAGGCTGTGTTCATAATTTCATTTAAAATTCAGCCACCCACTCTTCCTTCCTCCAGGAACGTTCCATACCCTCCTACTGGCAATAAGTTTTAGTTCTTAAAATTTTAGTAAAGTATGCATTAACAATTTATTCTTTTTTGTAACTCATCTGTAAATTATCGAGAGCTGTGACTACTGTTTGATGTTCATTTATGCTCAGAAGTACTAGACACTCAAATATTTACTGACCAAAAAAATCTGGAAGAAAATAAGTTATGTGTTAAACAGTGGTTCTTCTGTCTTAGTATTGGAAATCACATTGCCTCACATTGAAAACTGTATAAACTCCAGTTTATGTGTACTGGACATGCAGATTTAACTGTCTAATATTAAACAAAAAATTCTAGTTAAACAGATTGTTTTGTGATTCTGATAGTCATCTGGGCCCTTCCTCTGAAACACACACACTGTTCATACAATATGCAGGGATTCATGGAAATAAAGTCATGAACCCCAGATACAGGTCTCTGATCCAGGTGATTCATCGACTGTATAAATGACCTGCAAATGTTTTTCACAATAATGATTTGCATAAGGGTAATCAGTACATACTTAGAGTTAACGAAAATAAATTTCATAGTTTTTGTAGGCATCCTAAAGGAATCTTATCCTTCTGTTTTTTATACCTTATCCTTTTATACTTAAAATTTATAGCAAGATTGATAGTTCATTTGACCAAATCACAATACTTTCTGCTTTCCCCTCTTATCCAGAATTGTATCCCTCGCTGTGTCTCTTAATGTGTTATGCTGTATGCTGTATCCTTTGTATGTATTTCTTAAATATTAACAACTACATTTCAAGTTCTTTGTCAGCATTCTTCTTTTTACAAATGAGGAAATTGAGGCTCAGAGAGATTAAATATTTTTTCCATAGTCCTATTATAAGTGATAGAAAGGAGTTGAATTAATTTTATTTGATCCCAAAGCCCTTGGCTTTTCTGCTTTGTCTGTAATATAGCCTGCCTTAAGACTTATTTTAACATTGTCTTTTTGGTAAGATTAGAAACTTTTTGATGAAAGCCATTTTCCACTTTACCTAGTGTTTAAAAATGTACGTGAGGCTGGCGCAGTGGCTCATGCCTGAAATCCCAGTATTTTGGAGGCCGAGGCAGGAGGACCGCTTGAGCCCAGGAGTTTGAGACCAACCTGGGCAACACAGTGGGACCCTGTCTCTACAAAAAATACGAAAATTAGCTGGACTTGGTGGTGTGTGCCTGTGGTCCCAGCTACTCAGGAGGCTAAAGTGAGAGGATTTCTTGAGTGTGGGAGGTTGAGGCTGCAGTGAACCATGATGGCACCATTGCACTTCAGCCTGGTCAACAGCAACAGAACGAGAACCTGTCTCAAAAAAAAAGTAGTTGAATTAAAGTGAAGAACTTTGAGCCTGTAAATTGTAAATAAGCTCCTTAAGGGTAGGATAGTGGGTTGTATCTTTTTGTCTTAGTATGTCAGCCCTTAATATGGCTGTGATACAATAAGAAATATATATTTGGTCTTTGTCCCTGACAGCTGACCTAGAGCTTCTAAATCCCTTGGAATTTTCTTAAGCATAGAGAGTCTTTTGTTTGAATGAGGGTGATAAGAGCATCTTTTGTTTCAGTGAGTCAACTCTTGGCAGGCCCCTATAATAGCTTCAGGTTAGGGGCTGGTTGCCAGAAAGACCAAGGCATGGGGCCCCACCTTCAACCTCTGGGAAGGCAAAGAGGGGCTAGAGATAGCCAGTCACCAATGGCCAGTAATTTAATCATGCCCATCTAATGAAACTCCTAAATGACAGTGTTTGGAGAGATTCTGGGTTGGCGAATATTTCAAGGTGCTGGGAGGCTGGTTTGACTGGAGAAGGCATGGAAGCTCCACACCACCCGCCTAAACCTTGCTCTTTGCATCTCTTCCATTTGGCTATTCCTGAGTTGTATCCCTTATAATAAACCAGTAATAGTAAGTAAAGTGCCTTTCTGAGTTCTGGGGCCATTCAAGCAAATTATTTTTATTTATTTATTTTTTGTTTTTCTTAGAATCAAGGTCTTGCTCTGTCACCCAGGCTGGAGTGCAGTGGCATGATCATAGCTCACTGCAGCCTTCAACTCCTGGGCTCAAATAGGCGTGCACCACCATACCTAGCTAATTTTATTTTTATTTTTTGTAGAGATGAGGTCTTGCTGAGCTGCCCAGGCTGGTCTTAAACTCCTGGTCTCCAGCAGTCCTCCAGCCTTGGCCTCCCAAAGTGCTGGTATTACAGGAGTGAGCCACCGTGCTCAGCATTTAGCAAACTATTGAACCTGAGGAGTGGTCATGGGAACCCCTGATGAATAGCTGGGTGGTGTGAAGTACAGGAGGCCCAAAACTTGTGGCTGGCATCTGAAGTCTGGGGCAGTCTTTTGGGACTGAGCCATTAGCTTGTGGGATCTGATTGTAACTCCAGGTAGATAGTGTCAGAATGAAATTGAATTGTAGGACACCCAGTCGGTGTCCAGAGAATTGGTGTGAGGAAAAGACCCACACATTTGATGTCATCAGTGTTGAGAATGAAAAAAAGCTCGGAATGGCACATAGTAGATGCTTGGTTTCAATTTGTACTTTTATCATTTATTTGTTTAAACTTTAGCCTTGCTGTGAGCTAAATATTAGAGACTGTTCTGTTCTAGTCATCTCCCATAAACAGATAATTTGACATTTGAAACACAATTTCATTTATTCTAGGTTGGCCATAAATGTGTTTACTGGGAGGAAATCTAACACTTTCACATGTTCTTGATTAGCTTTTTCTACAAAGACATAACCATAAATGTATTAATTTGCTGATGACTTTTTCTTGTTTTTCCATAGGCACATACTGACAGGCTTTACAGTGCAGTTACAGTACTATCACTGACTTACAGTACTTTTACAGATTATAGAGTCAGATGTCTGCAGAAATACTCTCTTGACTTGTGTGTGACAATGAACAGGTTAACTTATCAAAGCCTGATTCCTTATCTGCAGAATGGGGATGCTTAATTCAGTAGGTTTTATTTTGAGGATTGAGATGGTACATCAAGAATGGTAGGCATGGTGTTAGTATATACATATTAAGCACTCTTTCAATGTTAGATAAGAGATAGGAGTTGTGTGACTTGGTTGTTATAGTCTGAGGTAATGATGAATAATTATAATTGTATGTTGAGGTCAGCTTTCTAATCTCTGAAATAATAGTGAAAGTCAAATGAGAGAAAACAATTTGTTGTCCTAAACAGTTTACTTATATAGTGAGATTAAGTTCTGTTCAGCTTTATCAGCTTCTCTATTTGACTCAAGAATTACTCTGGGGTGTTTTTCAGTAGGTTGTTTTCACTACACATTTTTAAATAGACTTTAAAAATGACGTAGTTAGGCCAGGCGCAGCAGCTTATGCCTGTAATCCCAGCACTTTGGGAGACTGAGGCAAGAGGACTGCTTGAGCCCAGGAGTTCCAGACCCGCCTAGACAACATAGTGGGACCCTGTACCTACAAAAAATACAAAAAAATTAGCTGGGTTTGCATTCCTGTAGTCCCAGCTACTTGGGAGGCTCAGGTGGGAGGATTACCTAAGCCCAGAAAGTCAAGGCTGTGGTGAGCCATGTTTGTGCTGCTGCTCTTCAGTCTGGGCAACAGTGAGACCCTGTCTCAAAAAGAAAAAAAAAAAAAGACATCATTTCCAGAGTTCAGTTTCATTATGGTGATTCAAAATCTTAGGCTTGGATAGAGCATTTGTTTACTGATATCAGTGTGTTTGTGTTAATATTTTGTTTTGTTTTTTTTTTTCCATTTTGAGTAATGGATGTCTTTCATGTCTTTTTTGGGCCTTATATTCATCCCCCCCCCCTTACAAGTTTTCTTAGGATGCTCTTCTTCTACAAGTAACTCCTGTGACATTTTCTACAGTTCTAGTGTGGCATTTACCAAATAGCACTGTATTGGTTTTTTATTTGTTTACTTATCTGATATCTATACTAGATTTTAAGTGTCTTTCTTTTTTTTTTTTTTTTTTTAGATTTTAAGTTTCTTAAGGATACGGACTCTGCCTCAGCAGCCTTTTTCTTGACAATGACTATCCAAGTTTTTGGTACCAAGTGGGTACTCGCCTTGTTGAATGAAAAGGTAGTTTTAGCTTAACCCTTTTTCCTATTAGATTTGCAGTATAGTTATCTTATAGATTGACCTTTTATTCTTATTTCTTGTTTATAAGAATATCCTCATATGCTTTCCTCCCCTGTAAGACTGTCTTGTCAAAATCAGAGCATTACTCATACCCTCAGTCAGCAGTACTACCATAATAAAAGTTAATTGTACTCTAAACCTGTTGACATTTGTATTCTCATTAGCCTTCCTTTCTTATCAGATTTTTCTTTTTTCCTTTTCTACTGATACAGTCGTACTTGTCCTGAAATACTCTCTACTGTCACTGCTTCAGTTTAATTTATAGATAGCACCAGATATGAGTCCTTATTAGTTCTGATAACTCTGAAATGGTTATTTGGTATTTCTTCAGTGACAAGCAAACTATCCCCCCACCTGCCTTTAATGGCCAGTGTTTTTGATTTGCATACCAATAAGCGATCTAGGTAGAGGTAATCATCTACTAATTTGCTAACCTTTGGAACATAATTTTTTCTCTAGTAAGCTGTAAATCACTTGAAGTTAGAAGTTGGAATCTCTGGCCGGGCGCAGTGGCTCACACCTGTAATCCCAGCACTTTGGGAGGCCAAGGCGGGCAGATCACGAGGTCAAGAGATTGAGACCATCCTAGCCAACATGGTGAAACCTCTTCTCTACTAAAAATACAAAAATTAGCTGGGTGTGGTGGCGCACGCCTGTAGTCCCAGCTACTCAGGAGGCTGAGGCAGGAGAATCGCTTGAACCTGGGAGGCGGAGGTTGCAGTGAGCCAGGATTGTGCCACTGCACTCCAGCCTGGCAACAGAGCGAGACTCCATCTCTCAAAAAAAAAAAAAGTTCGAATCTCTTATAATGCTTTTTTAGAAGCCTGACACTTCAGACACGTTTTTCAGGGAAGGTAATTGATTAAAGGGAATGAAGAAAATCTGCATGGAGTACATTGAGAGCAAAGCAATAGCCATGTGAGTTTGGTAATTAGGATTCTTTGAGTTTGTCATTGTGAGTTATTTACGTGATGAAAGAATAAATGTAATCAGAATCATGAACCTGACATATTTGAAAGTGTTAGAGGTCTTTTTTGGAATTTTTCATATAATTAATGCTTTTATTCCTTTGGTAAACTGCTTTCTTACATTTTAAAATTAAAAATGTAATATATATGATTTATTTGTGTGGTTGAGGAATTCCTAAATACTAAAGAGCCATGACCCTAATGATTGCATAAGTGATTTATTTAGAAATTCTTATTTTATTGTTGCACTGCTTATGAAATTGCTTAGGGCTTGAGAGATAACACTTCGATTACTTTTCTTAATTTAAAGGTTCCAGAACGCTTGAAAGAGTTTTGTTCCTGCTATTTTGTTTTGTTTTTGAGATGGAGTCTCGCTCTGTTGCCCAGGCTGTAGTGCAGTAGTGCAATCTGGGCTCACTGCAACCTCTGCCCCTACCCACCGGGGTTCAAACAATTCTTCTGCCTCAGCCTCCCTAGTAGCTGGGATTGCAGGCACCTGCCACTATGCCTGGCTAATTTTGTATTTTTAGTAGAGACGGGGTTTCACCATGTTGGCCAGGCTGGTCTGGAACTCCTGACCTCAAGTGATCCACATGCTTTGGCCTCCCAAAGTGCTGGGATTACAGACAGTTGTGAGCCTCTGTGCTCAACCAACTGACTTTAATAAGTAATTGTAATTTAAAGTTTCAATATTTGTTTGTTTTCAGAAAAGTAATATCTTTGTGTTTTTTCCTCAAATTATAAAAGCAACACATACTTTTTTTGTGTGAATATTTTGTAAGATATCCAAATAGTATAGAAGTGGAAAGTAGGGAATATTTGGTCTATTATCCTCATTTTTCAGAGATATTAGTTGAAAACAATATTGTATATATTCTTCTGAATATTTTGTTAATAACTTTATAAACATCTTCTATGTATATTTGTAAAAATGGGATGGTAGATAAACACTGTTCTGAAGCTTGCCTTTTTCACTTGCGTTTGTTTCATGTCAGTTCATAAAGAGCTTCATGCTCTAGTAGTCACAATAAAAAGTAGAAAGATCAGACTAGTCTGGGTATTATATATTTTAAAAAAACAAGTGAAAAGAAACCATGAAATTAATTTTAACAGTGTATTTTATTTAATACAATAAAGGTATATCAAAATTATTACCATTTCAACTTGTAGTAAATATAAATAAATGAGATACTTTATATCCTTTTTTCTTTTTTCTTTTTGTTTTTTGAGATGGAGTCTCGCTCTGTTGCCCAGGCTGGAGTGCAGTGGTGTGATCTTGGCTCATTGCAACCTTAGCCTCCCAGATTCAAGTGATTCTCGTGCCTCAGCCTCCCAAGTAGCTGGGATTACAGGCATGTGCCACCACACCTGACTAATTTTTGTATTTTAGTAGAGACAGGGCAGAAAGAAAAAAATCTAATAGAGTAAGTAGGAGGACGAAGTGTTCCAGAAACTATTGACACACACACACACACACACACACACATGAAACTGATAGGTTACCTGATTTGTTTGAATGTATACATTAAAAAAATATTGATTCTTTTTACCAAAGAATGTGGGTATTGTGAACCCAAAATATCTGACAGGTCTCATTTTGCCAAGGCTAAGGACGCGGCTGTGACACAGCCTCAGGAGGTCCTGACGACAGGTGCCCAAGGTGATCGGGGTACAGCTTTTTTTAAATACGTTTTAGGGAGACATGAGACATCAATATGTACGTTGGTTTGATCCGGTAAGACGGAACAACTTGAGGCGGGGGCTTTCAGTTGATAAGAGTTAGCGGGGATCATAAGTAGGTAAGAGACAAATGGTTGCATTCTTTCGAGTCCTTGATCAGTCTTTCACTGAATACACGGTTTAGTCTGGCCCAGTGAATCTGCATTTTTACATAAACCATAGGGCAGAGGAAGCAATCAGATATGCATTTGTCTCAGGTGAACCTCAGAGGGGTGACTGAGTTCTGTCTGTCCTTTATCCACAAGGAATTTCCTTGTGGGCAAATGGTGAGGGAGGTATGTAGCTTTTTATCCTTGTAGCTATCTTATTTAGGAAAAAACCAGGAGACAGGTTTGTCTGACATAGTTCCCAGCTTGACTTTTCCTTGGCTTAGTGGTTTTGGGGTCCTGATACTTACTTTGCTTTCACAGGATGTATTAGTGATTTAAATAAAAAGTGAGACACAACTTGTGGAGAGAGGGAATGTACTATGAGAGACAGCTAAATATTCATCTTCATAATAAATGCTCAACAGATAACTAAAAAAAAAAGAAATGGCATGTATGTATACATAGAACATACACACGTATTTTATATATGTATATATGTATGTATATATAACATACAGCCTATTTTTATACATGTCACTAGAAATATGAAGGTAAGTTTAAGAAGAAACTGAGAGTTAAAAGTGTTCTCTATGCAGAACTCAGGTAGAGGAGGTGAGACACTGAATTGTTCTTCATAGTAGGTTTAATGGAACTGTTTGCTTTTTTTAAAAAATACACACATAATTTTGTGTTACACAACTATACGTACAACACATATGCAACACAAAAGTTGTATATTAGGGGCCCCTTATATGGAGTGTGTAAAAACATTGCTGTCACCAAGGTAGTGAATAT
The DNA here is from genome assembly GCF_000001405.40 of Homo sapiens. NCBI lineage: Eukaryota > Metazoa > Chordata > Mammalia > Primates > Hominidae > Homo > Homo sapiens. Next base: position 67,257,963 of record NC_000014.9, read on the forward strand.
TTGCATCATTTAACTACTTCATTCGATTGTCATTGAATAATTTGGGAAAAATCTCTCTCCTCTTGAGTTATTAAATGTTTGGCAATAGGTAGGTGTGGTTTTTCTCTTCCTGTCTTATCTAGTATTTAAATATTCAAATTTAATGCAGCACGTATTGAGTTTCTAATATGAGCATACATAGATAGCAGTGTGCAGGGTTCTCAGAGCCACTACCAGTAGATGGGAAGTCTATAGAATATTTGCAGTCTAGTTGAGAAGATAAGGTACTCATCCATAAAAATTTGATAATAGGCCAGGCACCGTGGCTCACTCCTGTAATTCTAGCACTTTGGGATCCCAAGGCAGGTGGATCGCATGAGCTCAGGAGTTCGAGACTAGTCTGGGCAATGTGGCGAAACCCCGTCTCTACCACAAATACAAAAACTTAGCCGGCTGTAGTGGTGGGTGCCTGTAGTCCCAGCTACTTGGGGGATTGAGGCAGGAGGATTGCAACTGTTGTCCAGGCTGGAGGGTCGTGGTGTGATCACAGCTTACTGCAGCCTTGACCTCCCCAGGCTTAGGTGATCCTCTTGCCTCAGCTTCCCAAGTAGCTGGGACTATAGGCACACGCCACCACAACTGCCTATATTTTGTACTTTATGTAGAAATGAGGTTTCACTATCTTGCCCAGGCCGGTCTTGAACTCCTGGACTCAAGTGATCCACCTGCCTCGGCCTCCCAAAGTGCTGGGATTACAGGCATGAGCCACTATGCCCAGCCTTCAGACTGCCTTGATACTGTTAACTCCTTAATAACAAAGTAATAGTTCTTAATAAGTTATTTTGTTATGCATTATTTGCTTTAATCATTCTTTTCTTTTTTTAAGGAAATATGTTCGGATGATTTTAACCTTCTTTTGAGATGGAGTCTCTCTCTGTTTCCCAGGCTAGAGTGCAGTGGTGTGATCTCTGCTCACTGCAGCCTCCCACCTCCCGGGTTCAAGTGATTTTCCTGCCTCACCCTCCCGAGTAGCTGGGACTACAGGCGCGTGCCACCATGCCTGGCTAATTTTTGTATTTTTAGTAGAGACAGGCTTTCACTATGTTGGTCAGGCTGGTCTCGAACTCGTGGCCTCAAGTGATCCGCCTGCCTCGGCTTCCCAAAGTGCTGGGATTACAGATGTGAGCCACTGCACCAGGCCGATTTTAACTTTTAACATTGTCATAAATGGTACCCTGAATGTTCTATGTATGTATATATAACATATACACATGCCCGATTTCTATACATGTATACCCTGTTTCTGTTTGCTATATTTTAATTTTTACTTTAGCCCAAAGTGAATGAAAGTAAAAAATAATGGACTACTTTTAAGTGAGTAAGGCCAGGCTGGGGGCGGTGGCTCACACCTGTAATCCCAGCACTTTGGGAGGCCAAGGCAGGCGGATCACTTGAGGTTAGGACTTTGAGACCAGCCTGGCCAACACGGTGAAACCCCGTCTCTACTAAAAATATAAAAAATCAGCCGGGTGTAGTGTTGGGCGCCTGTAATCCCAGTTACTCAGGAGGCTGAGGCAGGAGAATTGCGTGAACTCAGGAGGCAGAGGTTGCAGTGAGCCAAGATTGAGCCACTGCACTTCAGTTTGGGCAACAGAGCAAGACTGTCTCTAAATAAATACATGAATGCTTGCATGCATGCTGGCTTATGCCTGTAATCCCAGCGCCCTGAGAGGCTGAGGCAGGAGGATCCCTTTGCCCAGGAATTTAAGACCAGCCTGGGCAACATAGGAAGACTCCATCTATACAAAAAATAAAATAAAATTAGCCAGGCATGGTGCCATGCGCCTGTAGTCCCAGCTACTTGGGAGGCTGAAGCAGGAGGATTGCTTGAGCCCAGGAGTTTGAGGCTGCAGTGAGCTATGATTGTGCTCCATCTAAGAAAAAAAAAAAAAAAAAGAATATATGTATTTCGTAAATGTATTTGTCTTAAGTTTCTTCTACTTTAACTTTCTGTTTATTATTTCTTCATTCTACCAGAATTTATAGTTTTTCCAGTCTTGGAAACATTGTCCCCAGGAGAGAGATTTAAACAGAAACTATTACTCTTCCTCATTTATTTAAAGGAAAATATTAGTTTAATAGAAGAATGACCAGAACTTATGCATCTCTCTAATAAGTGATACTCTGTTCTTAGAATAAATTTTAGGTTTAAGCGCCAGCTCTCCATCTTCCAGCAATCCATATTGATTTAACTGTATTCGTAAAATTATGAATGAGGACATTCCTCTACGGCCATACCACCCTGACTGTGCCTGATCTTGTCTGATCTTGGAAGCTAAGCAGGGTCAGGCCTGGTTAGTACTTGGATGGGAGGACATTCGTGGTAAGAAGGCACAACCCTCCTCTCTCTCATTAAGTGGTTCTTTGGTCAAAAAGATTAAAAAGATTTTCATTCAAAAAATATTTGTATATAGCACAATATATTTTATATGTTACGAACTCATCAAATATGAGTTAACAAACTTTGCCTCGGGGGCTTGCAATTAATAGACATTCTGATTTCAAGGTAGACAATAAATGCTACAGCAAAGGCGTAGATTAAGTACTCTAGAAGGGTAGTTTGTAGAGGAGAGAGAGGGCAGGCAAAATTAAGATTTCATAGGATACTTGATGGAAGAGGAAAATCTTAACAGATAAAAAGTTGAAGAGAGGATTTTTTCTTGGTATAAGAAACAATATGTCAAAAGTTTAATGACAAAATATAAGCAGTATGTCAAAGTTTAATGACTAAATATAAGCAGTACACAAAATAAGTGCTATAAGAGTTGACTATTAAATTAATAAACTTCCTTTGGGAATGTGGACACTTCCCAAAGGAGGTGGGAAATTGCAGGGCTCATATGGGAAACAGCAAGTAGTTTGATTCAGAAGACAGGGGAGGGAGAAAGAAAATGGAAAAAGTATTCTAGGACTAAGTCAAGTGGAGCCATATGAATGTCAGGCTAAGGTGTTCTGCAGAATAGTTGTTAAAATGCCCTGGAGTCAAGCAGACTCCAGGCCCTAGCTGTGCCATTTAGCTTTTGACATTGGACAAGTATTTATTTTGTTAAGATACAAAATTGAACAAGGAGACTGCTGTGAGGATTAAATGAGATAATGTATGTCAGGTGCTTAGCATAGTGAATGAATGGTACATAGTAAATTCTCAGGAAACAATAGCTTAAAGAAAAGACAATAAAAACTTGAAAAGGGACACTGTTGTGGTGGTAGGAGTGCTTCGGAAAGTTAATCTGGCAATACTGTGTAAAATGATTGGCAATTAGAAAAGACAGGTTGGAGAGAAACTCATAGAAAAGTTAAGATGCTCATAGAAAAACCCATGCAAGAGATAATGTATATTATGATTTAAGGTAGTGGCATGAGAAGGGAGAAGCTAAGAGTGTATGTGAGATACAGAGGTAGAATTGATGGGAGTTGGTATAGTTATAAGTATGTTTAGGGATATTACAGTTACGATTTTGAAAATACTTCAGTTTTACCCCAGGAGGATAGCTAATTTGTATAACAGGAGTCTATTATATTTTTAGGATATTCATTTTTAAGCTATAAATATTATTAAAAACAGTTTGTCAAGTTATGACATGTGGCTCACTTTGCCAGCACATACTGAAATTAGAGCAATGCAGAATAGAGAATAAAATTTTTTATATTGTTGTAGGAAACTGGAATGTTGGTAGCCTAGTATCACTTTACATATGTAGTAGGAAAATTCACACACATATCTACCATTTCTCTACTTGATTGCCTTCGCTGCTTGGTAAACTGAGTTTTTTTTAGGTACTTTGAGCAATAGATATCTTGTTACCACAATCAGGTACTAAAATAAACTTGTAGTCTGTTAGCATATGTAACAGTGAAATTAATGATTGTGTTAAAATTTATTTTATGAAGCAGTCAATTGAAGGGAAAAGATAAATTTTCTCTGATCATATTTTAAAGGCAAAAAAAGGATGGGATTTTGAAGGAAGCATGTAGTCAGCATGGTATCTTACAGACATGTAACTAACACAGCACTGTGGATGCACATTAGGATTTACCCATCTGAATTTTAGTTAATGTTCTATTGCTTCTAGCTATGTGACTTAACTTTCAGTGCCTACATATGTGGAAAACAGATATCTGACCTGTCTACCTTTCAGGGCAATTGTAGAGATCAAATGAGATAATATACTTGGAATCAGCTGTAAAAATAAAAATATTTTACAAATGTAAGATATAAGTATGTAAATTACTTATAAATTTGCCCTTCTAGCCTATCCCTTTTGTGTCCTGTCTAGCAGTTAACCTGCTAAAACTCCCAGTATAAATGCAATAATTAAAAAATAGAATGTATCTTCTCTTTTCCAATTCTTATCCCTATCCCCGCCTCGAATCCAGAGACCTTATTCTATGCATTTTCCTATTTTAAGGTTCCATAATTCTCCCAGACTCAGTTGACATACTCAGTATTTTAAAACTCTGTTTGGCTCCTGGTCTCCAAATCCTGTGAAATCATTCTTTATAATAACCATTGTTTGAAGTGATCACTTTTCATTCCTTCTGCTACTTCCCTTTATCCTGCCATGTGTAAAGGAATAAAACATTGTCTTTATTGGCCACTCCACTTACATTTTACCCTAGTCAACTCTGGTTACAGTATAGAGTAGATTTAGCTTTCAGAAAATCTGTTTTGTTGTTCTTTTCTAACTCAGAAACCTTTAGTCTCCCATTATTTGCAGGAGAAAATTCAAACAATTTAGTGTAGCATTCAGAGTCAACTCTGTCTTTATCTTCTATCTCTTACGGTGGCTCTGTTTGTTAACTAGACTGGTCTTATTCTCCAACTAGGCCATATATATTCTTCATTATTAGCCATATACAGCAAAGCCATATTGCAGGTAATTTTAAACCACATGTTTAAAAACCCATTTCTAGCCAGTTTGAAAATGTTATAAATTACCTTTTATCCTAGTGCCTTTAAAAAAAACTTTGCTAGCCTTTTAGATACATTTAATCTTTTATTGCTAAGGAGTTGAAGGTGATAATAGAGCAGTTCAAGTAACCAACCATTTGATATCCTTGATACTCTTTAGCTTCTAACCAGTTTCTGCCATGAGCGTGTGGTCTTGAATATTTCCAAAGGCCTTCAATTTTGTGTTTATTAGGAGCAAATAGGGAATTTTCTGTTGATGAAAAATGAAACACTTTTTACTTCAGGAAATGTTATGTGTAATATATAGGGACCCTAATTTGTCTAATTGAAAAGAATCATGATGCTCTCTTGTCCTCCTCCCACCCCTTTATATTGCAGGGTAAACAGGGATATTCAGATTTGTAAAGGAAAATGGTGAAGTATGCAGTCCCCTTGTGCCCTGGGAGTACTTAAGGTCAGAGCTCAACTTTAGGGATAAAAAAACAAGAAGAGACTATTAGGTATTTGAATATGCAAATGTACTTCATAGAATTTCATTGTTTAAAAGAGAATCTCTATGAACAAGTGAAGGAAATCTTAGGAAGGTACCCTTCGAAACACTGAACTAAGAATTAATCTTTAAAGATTTTCCCTCTCTTCTCTTAGTATAGGATAAGACTAAAGAAAAATAATGGCAACAGTTAAATGCTTCTGTTCTGATGTCATACAGACTTGGTGTGTGTTTTGGCTCTACCACTTAGATTTCTGACCTCGAAAAACAACTTAACCTCTCCCTACTTGTTTTTCTCATTTGTAAACTGATGATAACTTTGAGGAGTTGGAAGGATTAAGTGAGAAGATATATAGGAAACTGTTGGCACTGTGCCTAGCAAGTAGTGTTGCTGCTTTTACTTCTACTGTGACCTCCTCCATCACTGCTTACTCAACCATTTAAATAATTGTTCTGCTCTTGTCCTCTGTAAAATAGGGGTAGTAATTCTTTCTATTTTTTTAGAGGTGGGGTCTCACTGTATTGCCCCAGGCTGGTGTATGCTATTCACAGGCATGATGATAGCCCCACTATAGCCGTGAACTCCTGGGCTTAAGTGATCCTCCCACCTCAGGCTCCCATGCAAGCACCTGGGACTACAGGTGCATGCCATGGCACTCGGCAATAATTTCTTTAAATGAACATATAAGGTTGGTGTAAGGATTAGATGATGTCGTGGACATGCAACCATATGTACAAGAGTACCCGTTAAAATTGTAGAATGTTTATTTTAAAGTGTTTGTTAGGCCAAATACTGTTTTTTAAAACCTGTCTCCTCGTTTGTCATTGGGGATGACAGTGGTATTTAAATTTGTAGAATTGTTTAAAGATTAAGTATATTTAACATATGTAGCACAGTGTTGAGTACATAGTGAGAATCAGTAAATATTAATAGTATTAGCTATGATCACTAAGTAGGTTTTGGCTATTTGATGTAATCTCATTCGTCTGTTTTTGCCTTTGTTGCCTGTGCTTTTGGGGTCAAATTAAAAAAAATCATTGGCCAGACCCATGTTGTGTTATTTTTTCATGTGTTTTCTTGTAGCAGTTTTGCACTTTCTGATCTCACGTTTAAGTTTTTGAATCCATTTTGAGTTGATTTTTGTACCGTAAATGGTATGAGTAAAGGTCCATTTTCATTGTTCTGCATGTAGATATCCAGTGTGGAAATAAATTTTTTAATAAAATTTGTAAATGAATATTTTAGGATCTAGATGGTTAGTAAATTGTAAATGCAACAGTGTTTTTTTCGAGCTCTTTTGTCCACATTACCTTGTTTTAATTTTTATCCCAAAGCCATTGTATGGCCTAGAATCATGGGGTGAGAATAGGAACTTGTAAACTAAATCTTTCAGTTACAGATGTGTTATATATATGCTTTTTGCCAGAAATGCAAAAGCTGTTAAGTCTCAAGTTTACATCTGAGAAAGATGTATCTTCTAAGCTAATGATACTGCCTTATTGATATCCAACAGAATTGTCAGGAATCATATTTTTTTTTTCCATCCATGAGGGCAGATGATTTATGTGGGTTTAAGTTATAATACATGTTACTCTTTATTCTCCTTTGAAATCTTACTGGGTTTTTACTTTGAAGATTTTTTAAATTGGGATTTTGCTTCCATTCCTTACAAATTTTGTCTGGTATAGTATATTCTAAATACAGTTTGTTTTTAAGCTATGAAAATAGCAGTTGTTTCTTTGGAATGTAATTATCTGGATGACAAATGAAGGTACTTTGATCAGAAGCCTAAACCATGAACTATATGGAATTTTAGAAATGCCTTTTATTATAGGACTTGTTAGGGTGTTCTACTAAACAGTAAACCCAGAGCCTGGGCATGGTGACTCATGCCTGTAATCTCAGAGATTCGGGAGGCTGAGGTGGGAGGACTCTTGAGGCAAGGAGTTGAAGACCAGACTGGGCAACATACTGAGACTCTGTCTCTAAGAAAATAAACAAAAAGTAGCTGGATGGTGGCGTGTGCCTGTAGTCCCAGCTACACAGGAGGCTGAGGTGGGAGGGTTGCATGAGCCAGGAGTTTGAGGCTACAGTGAGCTGTGATTATGCCATTGCACTCCAGCCTGGGCAACAGAGCGAGACCCTATCTCTATTTAAAAGAAAAATAAAAAAGCCAGCGCAGTGGCTCACGCCTGTAATCCCAGCATTTTGGGAGGCAAAGGTAGGTGGATCACCTGAGGTCAGAAGTTCAAGACCAGCCTAGCCAACATGGTAAAACCCTGTCTCTACTAAAAATACAAAAATTAACCAGTTGCAGTGACACGCCCCTGTAATCCCAGCTGCTCTGGAGGCTGAGGCATGAGAATCACTTGAACCCGGGAGGTGGCAGTTGTGGTGAGCCAAAATCGCGCCACTGCACTCCAGCCTGGGTGACAGAGTGAGACTCCATCTCAAAAAAAAAAAAAAAGGAAAAAAGAAAACAAAGTAAACCCAGGACATTTGCACTTGGTCTTGTAATTTAAAGGACTGTATCTGTCCATTAAAAAACTTTTAAAAAAAATCTGTAAAAGTATTATTTATTTTTTGTAGAGACAAGGTCTCACTGTGTTGCCAAGGCTGTCTCAAACTCCTGGTCTCAGTGATACTCCTGTCTCTGCTTCCCAAAGTGTTGGGATTACAAATGTAAGCCACCATCCCTGGTGTAAAAACTTCTTTTATATTGTGCCCATTGAGTTAAACGAGTTCAGTTTACTTTGAATATATGTTTAAAATTAAAGAAATATATATTTATTTAAAAGTCTTTTTAGTTCTGTAATGTAAGAACTCGTTTTTTAGTTAGATCATGGGGACTTTATTTTTGTTTAGGTTGTGCCTTTTTTACTGAATAATAATTTCAGAGCTAATCCACTGCATGAGTAATTCAAATATTTCAATTTTTTTTTGAGGAGTCTCACTCTGTTGCCCAGTCTGAAGTGCAGTGGCGTGATCTCAGCTCACTGCAGCCTCTGCCTCCTGGGTTCAAGGAATTCTCATGCCTCAGCCTGCCGAGTAGCTGGGATTACAGGTGTCTGCCACCATGCCTGGCTAATTTTTGTATTTTTAGTAGAGACAGGGTTTCACCATGTTGGCCAGGCTGGTCTCAAACTGCTGACCTCAAGTGATCCACATGCCTCGGCCTCCCAAAGTGTTGGGATTACAGGCATGAGCCACCTCGCCCAGCTGAAATATTTCAGTTTTTACTTGTATTTATTTAGTTTTGGACATAGCTAAGTTTCTTCTGCAAAGATAGGTCATTCATTGTTGGAAACTTAAATTCATACAAGAAGTTACACAGTTATCAAGTAAATAGAGTCTTTTATGTGATGTCAGTATACGACTTGTTTTTGGAATATACAGTTATCTTTTAAAAAAACTTCGTTTCTTGGCTGGGCACAGTGGCTCATGCCTGTAATCCCAGCATGTTGGGAGGCCGAGGTGGACAGATCACTTGAGCCTAGGAGTTCGACACCAGCCTGGGCAACACAGTGAAACCCTATCTCTACTAAAAATACAAAATTAGCCAGGCGTGGTGGCCCATTCCTGTACCCACCTACTCAGGAGGCTGAAGCGGGAAGATCACTTGAGCCTGGGGAGGCAGAGGTTCCAGTGAGCCAAGATTGTGCCACTGCACTCCAGCCTGTCTCACAGAGCAAGACCCTGTCTCAAACAAACAAATAAATAAATAAATATAAATTTGGTTTCTTTGAGATATAATTTACATGCAACAAGATGTCATTTTAAGTGTATAATTTGAGGTTTTGTTTTCTTTTAAAATCAGCTGAATAGGTATAACTTCAATTAAAATTCATTATTTATTTATTTATTTTTTAATGAGACGGAATTTCACTCTTGTCGCCCAGGCTGGAGTGCAATGGTGCAATCTTGGCTCACTGCAACCTCTGCCTCCCAGGTTCAAGTGATTCTCCTGCCTCCCCCTCCCAAGTAGCTGGGATTACAGGCATGCACCACCACACCTGGCTAATTTTTAGTAGAGATGGGGGTTCATCATGTTGGCCAGGCTGGTCTTGACCTGCTGATCTCGGGTGATTCACCCACCTTGGCCTCCCAAAGTGCTGGGATTATAGGCATGAGCCACTGCACCCAGCAAAATTCAGTAATTTTAAGTGTTCAATTTAATGAATTTTCAAAACGGGTTTATTGAGGTATAATTTATATTTTATAAGATTTAGGTTTTATGGGAACAGTTTAAGTTTTAGTAAATTTATATAGTCATGCAGACTGTCACTGAAATCTAATATTAGGACACTTTTATCACATGAAAACATTTCCTCCTTGCCTTTTTCAGTCAGAATCTGTTTCCATCTCCAGGAAACCACCAAACTGCTTTTTGTAATAGCACTAGTTTTGCATTTTCTAGAAATTTTGCACAAATGGAATCATACTCGTGTCTGGCATTGTGTTTTTGAGACTGTGTTGTTGGATATGTCAGTAGTTTGTCCTTTCTTATTGCATTTTTTGTTTATCCATTTTATTCCATTTTATCCATTGTATTCTATTTTTTATTTATTCATTCCCAGCTGAAGGATAGTGTGTGGTTTTAGACTATTATTAATATTGCTCCTATGCATACTCATTACAAATCTTTCTTTGTGATTTTTACAGATAAAAACATGTTTATTTCTTTCTCTTGTGTGGAATGTCTCAGTCATATGGAAACTGTATGTTTAACTTTTTAAGAAACTGCCAGACTCTACCATTTTACATTCTCATCAGCATTATATAGAGGTTCCCCTTCCTTCACATTCTCTCCAGTGCTTAATATTGTCACTTTTTAATTTTAGCCATTTTCTTGTTTGTAGTGTTATTTCATTGTGTATTTTTTAAACAGCATTGTTGAGATAGAACTCTCATACGATCGAATTCATCTGTTACCCGAAGGGGGTCCCGATCCAGATCCCAGAGAGGGTTCTTGGATCTTGCATGAGAAAGAATTTGGGGCAAGTCCATAGAGTAAAATGAAAGCAAGTTTATGACAGTAAAGGAATGAAAGAATGGCTACTCCATAGGCAGAACACCGACATGTTACTTCTTGATTATATTCTAAGCAAGGGGTGGATTCATGAATTTTCCGGGGGAAAGGGATGGGCAATTCGCAGAACTGAGGGTTCCTCCCCTTTTTAGACCATATAGGGTGACTTCCTAACGTTGCCATGGCATTTGTAAACTGTCACGGCACTGGCAGGAGCGTCTTTTAGCATGCTAACGCATTATAATTAGCATATAGTGAGCAGTGAGCACAACCAGAGGTCGGGATTTGCCTCGCTTCTTTACCCCAACCTGTTTTGTCAGCAGGGCCTTTGTGACCTGACTTTGTGCTGACCTCCTATCTCATCCTGTGACTTAGAATGCCTAACCTCCTGGGAATGCAGCCCAGTAGGTCTCAGCCTTATTTTACCCAGCCCCTATTCAAGATGGAGTTGTTCTGGTTCAAACCCCTCTGACACATCCCTTTCAAGTGTGCAAATTCAGTGGATTTTAGTATATTTAGAGTTGTGCAACCATCACCACAATTAATTTGCATCATTCCGCAAGAGAAACCTGCATGCCTTGGCCATAATTCTCCCACCCATTCACCCCCAGTTTTAGGCAACCACTGATCTACTTTTTGTCTCTCTATATTTGCCTCTTCTGGATATTTCATAAATAGAATCATACAGTATGTGGTCGTGGTCCTTTGCTGCTGGCTTCTTTAAATCCTGTTTGTAGGGTTAATCTATGTTGTAGCATGTATCACTACTTCATTTTTATTTTCCAATAATGTTTCATATAGGATTATACAACTTTTAATAAATTCATCAGTTGAACATTTGGATTTTTTCTACTTTTTTTGCTATTACGAATACTGCTGCTATGAATATTTTTGTACAAGTTTTTGTGTGTGTGTGTGTAGATGTATGATTTTATTTCTCTTGATTTATACCTAGGAGTAGAATCGCTGATATGGTAACCCTATGTTTAGCCTTTTGAGGAATTGCCAGACTGTTTCCAATGTGTTATTGGAAAGTTTCCATTTGACATTCCTAACAGCACTAATATACAACAACATAAATTTTTAAATTGATGTCCATTAGATACAGGGGTCATGGTGCATTTTTATGATTTCTGACTAAGAAATCCTAGCTATCTGCAGACAGAATTGGTTATCATATTGAATTAGTCTTTCTCTTCCTCCTTTACCCCCCAAAACACTGCAGACATGTACATTTGATCAATTGTCTCATTTTTCTTTTTTATAGAATAAGAAAGCCTTGAGTTTTGTGAAAAACCGGAGAAGAGAAACTAAAAGGACAGTAGAAAAGGCTTTTCCAGTTTGCATAATGTAAGTTCTTTTCACTTTTCTTGGCTTGAATTCTGCCTTAGCTGACAAAGCTGTTTCTATGGAAACAAATAGTTTAACCTCTTAGAATGTCAGAGGAATGCTGATCACTTAAAATGAGACTTCCCAGCTGCTGGTCAAAGGGCATTACTTGCTGGAGAAAGAGGGGAAGGATGAATTTAAAAAATTCTAGAGTTCTGGACACTAGTGTAGACTGAACATGTTTATGCGTATGAAGTATATCTCTTCTATTTTACTCTGCCTAAAAATTAAGATACTGGTAATATAGGAAATTGGATTTCTGCTGACCTGTCTTGATTCTCAGCTCTTAAACAAATGGTTCTATTCGTTGGTACCCTTTTCAGTGGGTCTGTACCCTTTAGGCTATTTCAGTCCCTCCAGTCTCAATCATTTGCACTTGTTGTGAAGCTTATTTAGCTTCCCATTGCCCCCTTCTCCCGCAACTAAAACCCTTTCTCCCTTACTAGTTTGAGGTTAGCATTGAAACAGCTTCGGCATGCCAGCCTGAAAATTTTTCTTGCTTTGTGGACTATGTAAAGATTTTTGTATTTGTGTTCGTTTTCTGGCAGGGATGGGAGCAGGGATTCTGATGAGGATTTGAAATGTAGTCCTTTGAAGCTTTCTTTCTTTCTTATTTTTTTTTTAAACTTATAATTGGCAAGTTGAGAAGAAAAGAATTAGGGCCAGTAACTGCCTCTGCTGTCTTCATAAGATGGCCTGTTATTTACACACAATGAGGTAATTCTCTAGTTCAGTCATTTACCAGCTTCTGAATTGTCAAAGGACTTTTTTTTTTTTTTTTAAAGAGAGGGAGAGTGCAATTGCTTTGGACTGGGAGGACTTTTTCACTTTTATGATGTATATAGACTACATGTATGGGCTAGAGTATTTGTGGAGTGCCTGCTTAAAAATTATAATCTTAATGCTAAAACTATAGGATACAGTATAATGTTTCTTTAATTCTGGAAGAACTTTAGGATCTTTCATTGCCTTCATTAAATTAACTTGTGAGCATTATAGAGTTTTTGGAGTGTTAAATGGTGAAGTAATTATTTAACAGGATAGTCTGGAAAGATTTCTTGTAGAATTAGGGACTTGAGGGAGGTCTTGAAGGTAGAAATCAATGGAAAAGTAGTTCATCAGTCATTTGGGCAGAAAGATGGGATAGACACAAATGAGGAAGGTAAATTAGAAGGCTCATGCAGGTGCGTAGTAAAAGATATAGCTAGAAATCTTGGATTCATTTTTTGAGTTTGAAGTTTATTCTCCAGGTAGTGTGAAAGCCATCAGAAGTTCTGAACAGAGGAGTGGTTTGCTCATATACTTAATTAAGCAAACACTTAGCAGGTATCACGGCTATAGAGGTCAACAAGACGGATCCCTGCCAATTAGATAATTTACCTGTGTGATCTACAGTTACCTTGAAATTAATGTGTCTAAACCCATATTTCCCTTTACTTCTATCTGATTCTCCTATATTCTCCATCATAATTAGTGACATTGTCATCTACCTAATAAGCCAGGGATAGTGGTTAAGAGTGATGGTTCTGGAGTTATACTGCCTAGGTTCATATTCTGAAGCCTTCTGTTGTTTGGCCTTCTGCTGGGCAATGTTACGGATTCAGAGATGGGTCAGCCTGGTTCCTGACTTCAAGGAGCTTCTAGTCTGATGAGATAGAAAGGCAGAGATATAAATAGCAGTAGTCCAACTTGATCAAGAATGTGACAGGGATTATAGGATTCCAGAGGACAGTGTATTTGAGCTCAGACTTAAAAGAGTAGGCAAAGATCAGATCCTAGGCAGTCTGATTCTGGAGGCTTTTCTCTTAAACATGCTGTCTTGGGTAACTGGATGGATGTAGTGACATTAGTTAGAATTGAAAACAGGGAGAGGATTAAAGAGAATAGGAGATTAAAGGGAAATATGAGTTTAATTTTGGACATATTTCTAGATTCTTGTGGGAAATTCTGATAGATAGAATAATGGTCAGCCGGGCACGGTGGCTCACGCCTGTAATCCCAGCACTTTGGGAGGCCGAGGCTGGTGGATCACGAGGTCAGGAGTTTGAGACCAGCCTGGCCAACATGGTGAAGCCCCGTCTCTACTAAAAATACAAAAATTAGCTGGGTATGGTGATTGGCGCCTGTAATCTCAGCTACTCAGGAGGCTGAGGCAAGAGAATCGTTTGAACCTGGGAGGTGGAGTTTGCAGTGAGCCGGGATCGTGCCATTGCACTCAAACTGGACGACAGAGTCTCAAAAAAAAAAAAAAAGTTCAAGGATCCTGTCTTAATAACCATAGTATCTAGCCAGGGGTAAATAATTAAATTTGTATACAAATCACTCCTCTTTTTTAAATCTTTGATGATTCTCTTATTCTATGGAATTAAGGATTTGTATTTAAGACCTTTCATAGGATGGACCCAATCAAACTTTCTAGTCCTATCTTCCACTACTCTCTCGACTATTTTAGTTCAACGAGCCTTATTTGTACTTTCCCCTCACACCTTTCATCTTCCCACCTTTGGTTCATATGGCCCCTTTATTATTTCTCCATCTTGTCTTTAAGGCCTACTTCCAACCTCGTTTTTCATCTACGAAATGGGCATATTTGGATCTACTTCTGGAGTTGTAATGAGGAATAAATGAGTGAATACTATGTGAACTGCTTGCAGTGTTGGCTGGCACATAAAGAAGTGCTCAGTAAATGTTAGCTATAGTTGTAGTTGTTACTACTACTACCACTATTCCTACTCCTATGACTTCTTTCTCCTCCTCCTCCTTTACCTCTTTCTCTTATTCACTTTTTGCCCTCCTATATGAAGTAGATACTAAGTTCTACTGATTCTGTAACCTACATATTGCTTTTGTTTTTGAGACAGAGTCTCGCGCTGTCTCCCAGGCTGGAGCGCAGTGGCACGATCTTGGCTCACTACAACCTCTGCCTCCTGGGTTCAAGTGATTCTCATGCCTCAGCTTCCCGAGTAGCTGGGACTACAGGCACAAGCCACCATGGCTGGATAATTTTTAAATTTTTTGCATGTTTTTGTAGAGATGGGGTATCACCATATTGCCCAGGCTGGTCTCAAACTACTAGTCTTAAGTGATCCACAGCCTCAGCCTCAGCCTCCCCAAATGCTGGAATTACAGGCGTGAGCCACCACGCCTGGCCTGTAACCTTCGTATTTCTTGAAAACAACTTCTTCATTCTCACTGTCCTAGTTGAGGACCGCATTTCTAATAGGTGCTTTCAGTCTGTTCTCATTGCCACCCTTCAGTCAGCCCTCTATGCTTCAGTAGGAGTGATATTTCTTTCTTTTTTTTTTTTTTTATACTTTAAGTTCTAGGGTACATGTGCACAACGTGCAGGTTTCTTACATATGTATGCATGTGCCATGTTGGTGTGCTGCACCCATTAACTTGTCATTTACATTAGGTATATCTCCTAATGCTATCGCTCCCCCCTCCCACCTCCCCAACCCCACGACAGGCCCCGATGTGTGATGTTCCCCACCCTGTGTCCAAGTGTTCTCATTTTTCAATTCCCACCTATGAGTGAGAACATGCAGTGTTTGGTTTTCTGTCCTTGTGAAAATTTGCTCAGAATGATGGTTTCCAGCTTCATCTTTGTCCCTACAAAGGACATGAACTCATCCTTTTTTATGGCTGCATAGTATTCCATGGTGTATGTGTGCCACATTTTCTTAATCTAGTCTATCATTGATGGACATTTGGGTTGGTTCCAAGTCTTTGCTATTGTGAATAGTGCCGCAGTCAACATATGTGTGCATGTGTCTTTATAGCAGCATGATTTATAATCCTTTGGGTATATACCCAGTAATGGGATGGCTGGGTCAAATGGTATTTCTAGTTCTAGATCTCTGAGGAATTGCCATACTGTCTTCCACAATGGTTGAACTAGTTTACACTCCCAGCAACAGTGTAAAAGTGTTCCTGTTTCTCCACATCCTCTCCGGCACCTGTTGTTTCCGACTTTTTAATGATCGCCATTCTAACTGGTGTGAGATGGTATCTCATTGTGGTTTTGTTTTGCATTTCTTTGATGACCAGTGATAATGAGCATTTTTTCATGTGTCTGTTGGCTGCATGAATGTCTTCTTTTGAGAAGTGTCTGTTCATATTCTTTGCCCACTTTTTGATGGGGTTGTTTGATTTTTTCTTGGAAATTTGTTTAAGTTCTTTGTAGATTCTGGATATTAGCCCTTTGTCAGATGGGTAGACGGTGAAAATTTTCTCCCATTCTGTAGGTTGCCTGTTCACTCTGATGGTAGTTTCTTTTGCTGTGCAGAAGCTCTTTGGTTTAATTAGATCCCATTTGTCAATTTTGGGTTTTGTTGCCATTGCTTTTGGTGTTTTAGTCATGAAGTCCTTGCCCATGCCTATGTCCTGAATGGTATTGCCTAGGTTTTCTTCTAGGGTTTTTCTGGTTTTAGGTCTAACATTTAAGTCTTTAATCCATCTTGAATTAATTTTTGTATAAGGTGTAAGGAAGGGATCCAGTTTCAGCTTTCTACATATGCCTAGCCAGTTTTCCCAGCACCATTTATTAAATAGGGCATCCTTTCCCCATTTTTGTTTTTGTCAGGTTTGTCAAAGATCAGATGATTGTAGATGTGTGGTACTATTTCTGAGGGCTCTGTTCTGTTCCATTGGTCTATATCTCTGTTTTGGTACCAGTAGCATGCTGTTTTGGTTACTGTAACCTTGTAGTATAGTTTGAAGTTGGATAGGGTGATGCCTTCAGCTTTATTCTTTTGGCTTAGGGTTGTCTTGGCAATGCGGGCTCTTTTTTGGTTCCATATGAACTTTAAAGTAGTTTTTTCCAATTCTGTGAAGAAAGTCATTGGTAGCTTGATGGGGATGGCATTGAATCTATAAATTACCTTGGGCAGTATGGCCATTTTCACGATATTGATTCTTCCCATCCATGAGCATGGAATGTTCTTCCATTTGTTTGTGTCCTCTTTTACTTGGTTGACCAGTGGTTTCTAGTTCTCCTTGAAGAGGTCCTTCACATCCCTTGTAAGTTGGATTCCTAGGTATTTTATTCTCTTTGTAGCAATTGTGAATGGGAGTTCACTCATGATTTGGCTCTCTATTTGTCTGTTATTGGTGTATAAGAATGCTTGTGATTTTTGCACATTGATTTTGTATCCTGAGACTTTGCTGAAGTTGCTTATCAGCTTGAGATTTTGGGCTGAGACAGTGGGGTTTTCTAAATAGACAATCATGTCATCTGCAAACAGGGACAATTTGACTTCCTCTTTTCCTAATTGAATACCCTTTATTTCTTTCTCCTGCCCGATTGCCTTGGCCAAAACTTCCAACACTGTGTTGAATAGGAGTGGTGAGAGAGGGCATTCCTGTCTTGTGGCAGTTTTGAAAGAGAATGCTTCCAGTTTTTGCCCATTCAGTATGATATTGGCTGTGGGTTTGTCATAAATAGCTCTTATTATTTTGAGATACATTCCATCAATACCTAGTTTATTGAGAGTTTTTAGCATGAAGGGCTATTGAATTTTGTCAAAGGCCTTTTCTGCATCTATTGAGATAATCATGTGGTTTTTGTCTTTGGTTTTGTTTATATGCTGGATTACGTTTATTGATTTGCGTATGTTGAACCAGCCTTGCATCCCAGGGATGAAGCCCATTTGATTGTGGTGCATAAGCTTTTCGATGTGCTGCTGGATTTGGTTTGCCAGTATTTTATTGAAGATTTTCGCATCGACATTCATCAGGGCTTTTGGTCTAAAATTCTCTTTTTTTTGTTGTGTCTCTGCCCGGCTTTGGTATCAGGATGATGCTGGCCTCATAAAATGAGTTAGGGAGGATTGCCTCTTTTTCTATTGATTGCAATAGTTTCAGAAGGAATGGTACCAGCTCCTCTTTGTACCTCTCGTAGAATTTGGCTGCGAATCCATTTGGTCCTGGACTTTTTTTGGTTGGTAGGCTATTAATTATTGCCTCAATTTCAGAGCTATTATTGGTGTATTCAGGGATTCGACTTCTTCCTGGTTTAGTCTTGGGAGGGTATATGTGTCCAGGAATTTATCCATTTCTTCTAGATTTTCTACTTTATTTGCGTAGAGGTGTTTACAGTGTTCTCTGATGGTAGTTTGTATTTCTGTGGGGTTGGTGGTGATACCCCCTTTATCATTTTTTATTGCATGTATTTGATTCTTCTCTCTTTTCTTCATTAGTCTTGCTAGTAGTCTATCAATTTTGTTGATCTTTTCAAAAAATCAGCTCCTGGATTCATTGATTTTTTGAAGGGTTTTTTGTGTCTCTATCCAATAGGAGTGATATTTGTATAAAAATGAATGTGATCATGTCATCCTCTGCTTAAAATGTTTTAATTATTCTTACTATTTTCAGGGTAAAGATCTAAAACTCTTCTCAGTGTGGCTTCCTGCTTGTCTTTCCAGTTTTATCATTATTCATGTACAGCATGTTCCCATTGTCCCATCCAGCTTTATTGTATTCTATTCTGTTTTCTGAAAGTGCCATTCTGTCATACTCTTCCTTCCTATTGGTCATGTGAGCCTGTCTGCCTGGAATAGACCTTTCTACTATCTGGCTAATTTTTAGTTGCCCTTTGAAATCCATTTCAAAGAAATGTATCCTTATGTTTTGAGTGTTTCCTATCACCTTTTACCACAGACCAAGTTTTATAGTTCATTGTGACATTCCAAGTTGAGTTGAACAGATATTTATTGGACATTTCTTATGATATGTATTAGGCTAAGCACTGGAGCTATAAAAGTAAGACATGACCCCTGTCTCTAACAAATTTAGAACCTGTTAAGGAGATTGAGGAAAAATAATCATTTATTTTCTTTGCTTTCTCTCCCAGTAGACTGAACATTCCTGGGGAGATAACCAAAATGAAATTTAAAGCAGATTACTACCAGGTTATAGAAATTTTTCTGAGAGCAAAGGTTGGATCCAGATATACAAGTATGATAGTAAATAGTACAAGCATGAGAATTTTGACCTGGATGACCTGGCCCGGTCTCTCTTGCATGACTTCTAATTTTCCCTCATAGTGTAGTGAATATGGACACAGATGTAGAGCTTTTAAGCTGAGTTTCAAATTTCAGATCATAATTTATATTAGTTAAAAACACATCATTTAATATTAAATTTGATTTTTAATATCCAGTAATTGTTATAGAGAGGGTTAAGAGTTTTAATTTTCTGAAAATACTAAATCCACTCCTGGATTTTTAAAACTAAGCATAGCACTGTAGTAACTCCTACATAATTTTTCTGCTTACTTGTAATGAAAACATTTAAAAAGCTGAATTTGCATTTGCATATAATCAATGCCTAACATAACTTAAGAATTGCCTAACAAAAATCAAATAGCTGTCATGTTAATGAAAACGAAGGCAGTCTAATGGTAAATAAGGTGCTTACGTGTAGATCACAGTTAGAAAGAAGTCAAAATTTGGATGAAAGACAGAAAAATCTACCAAAAATTTTAAGCAAATGTAGTTTTAATAATAGCTCTTGTAACTGGCATCCATTTTCCTGATTGTTGGACTAGTGGTTTTCCTGATAGCCTAGTTGGGTTTGTATTAAGCATTTTGTCTTCTGTCCCTGTTTGCATTATGACCCAAGATGTTTGAGAAAAGATTGGCTGGTATTAGGAATATTATCTGAAAACCTGGCTTTTGCTTAGTTGGCATTGTGCTCTAACCAACTTGTTTACTAAAGTGATGCCCAACTCAAGGAGGTAGTAGGTTTATTACTGTAAATATTATTGCTCTTGAGTGAAAAAAAAAAGGCTAATTAGATTTAATGTGTGGGTTTACACATATGTAAACAACCTGCCTATGTATGCCTGAGAAATAGCTTGATGAAAAGCCAGAGTTATCTGGTAAAATATTTTTATTTTCTAAAATATGTTGAAAGATTTTTAAAATAGAATCAAGTTAATACTGGTAATTAATGTAAGTATACATTAACTCATGTGAAACTCAGAACTGTCAATCCTATGAATAAAGCTTCCAAGTGAATCTGAGGGTCAAAGAGAGAAAATGACTGGTCTTAAGTCATAAAACTAGAGGATTAAAAGTTCAGTTTTCTTATCTCCCTGTTTACTGTGATCTTTTTGCTGTACAGTATGACTCTCAAAAGTTTTTGAGTGGTAACAGATACAACCGTTTTCTCTAAATGAATCCTTGTAATTCTTGTAGAGTTAACCCCAATTCTTTTTTTTTTTTTTTTGAGATGGAGTCTCGCTCTGTCACCCAGGCTGGAGTGCAGTGGTGTGATCTCAGCTCACTGCGGCCTCTGCCTCTCAGGTTCAAGCGATTCTCCTGCCTCAGCCTTCTGAGTAGCTGGGGTTACAGACACCCACCACCACACCTGGCTAGTTTTTGTATTTTTCTTAGTAGAGACGGGGTTTTGCCATGTTGGCCAGGTCTCGAACTCCCGACCTCAGGTGATCTGCCTTCCTTGGCCTCCCAAAGTGCTGGGATTACAGGCGTGAGCCACTGCACCCGGCCCAATTCTTTTTTTTTTTTTTTAATGGGACCAGTTATAAAGACTGATAACCCATGTAATCCTTGTCTCAATGTAGTTTTGTCCTGTAGCTGCCTCAGCTGCTAATTGAAGTTTCTTATTCGTTGGGCATGTTCTCCATCTCAAAAACTCTTAAAGATGAATTATCCCCCAGAATACTGCTTGTATTTCAAGTGAGGTACAAACAAGGCTGCTATATGCCAAATCAGTTGATCATTCATCAATTTCTTTAGCAGTTATTCTTTAGCAGTAAGTTATTTCAATCCCATGTTAATTGTTGAGCATAAAGTACAGTGTTGAGACAACTACTAAAAGATGATTAAAACACCTTTTATGTTTGAAGCAAGCAACGTGTTCTCTACCAAACTAGTACCCCAAACTTTTTACTTTCCTACTTTGCTAAACTTTCCAGTATTGTATATCATTTTTCTTAGCTTTAAAATTGAATAGTATGTTTCACATTTTTGGAAAGGGACTTTTTGGGGGAGGGGGGAATCTTGATTTCCTCACCATTATCTGTAAAGTGAAAGTACTTAATCTACTTAACAAAATAATATTACATACTTATTATTTTCTACGTTGTATGGTGATTAGAAGTGGGCTCTGTAAAAACCTGCTTTTATATTGTAATTCTTACACTTTTTTCCCCCCCATCTTTCCCCTTAGATTTCCTTCATGGATACTTTTTCATAGCATTATTATGTGATGTGAGAAGTTTTTTTTTTTGAAGTAACATGGATTTTATACTACAGAATCAAGAGAATTGGCTTATAGGAAAAATTGATTTATAAAAAGTGGTACAGGTTTTCATAGATAACCATGACAACATCCCATATGAATGGGCATGTTACAGAGGAATCAGACAGCGAAGTAAAAAATGTTGATCTTGCATCACCAGAGGAACATCAGAAGCACCGAGAGATGGCTGTTGACTGCCCTGGAGATTTGGGCACCAGGATGATGCCAATACGTCGAAGTGCACAGTTGGAGCGTATTCGGCAACAACAGGAGGACATGAGGCGTAGGAGAGAGGAAGAAGGGAAAAAGCAAGAACTTGACCTTAATTCTTCCATGAGACTTAAGAAACTAGCCCAAATTCCTCCAAAGACCGGAATAGATAACCCTATGTTTGATACAGAGGAAGGAATTGTCTTAGAAAGTCCTCATTATGCTGTGAAAATATTAGGTAAGTAAAAATAGAGGTATAACAGAAAACATTTTGCTTTAATTTATCTGTGCCTTATAATGTATATGAGAAGGAAGAGGGTTTAAGAGAATGTAAGTAATGACAGTTTGAATTCCAGACCAAGATCCTTTGTTTTCGTGGAAACGCCGTATAACTATTGTTTACTGTTACCAACATAGAGCTAAAAGCATGTGGCTTAAATGTTAAGTCACTATAACATGTTTTTTTAGATATTAAAGAGTTCTGCATGGGCCCTAACATTTAAAGCCTTGAAATTTACCTTTTATATCAAACCACAAACTTTATGCAAAATACTAAAAAAGAATTTTCAGATTTTGAATTTCTGATTTCCTTAAAGTTTTGTAAAATAGTAATAAATTTGTAACTACAGTTTAAATTCTTTGATTTTTTTAAATTAATGATTGTCAATAAAAAGAACTGGTATTGTTCATATGGTATCATAAACTTAAAATAATGGTATTTTCTATATCCCCAAATTCTGTTCTGTGGGGGGAAAAAAAGTCCTATGAGATATAAGTAGATACAACCGAACCAAAAGAATTCTGTGACCAAATGGATTTTGAGAACTCTGGGCTAAATAAGTTAAATAGCTTCTTATCACGGGACTTCTCATAGCTGTTAGAATGTTACTAGGCATTGTGAATCTACAAGAGAGATTGATATCAAATGCATGTTTCCAAACTTAGAATATTTAATCATTGAATTTACTGCCTGCCCTTCTTGCACGTGCACATACACCCAAGTGCTCACTGAACTAGTGTTAGGAGAGCATTTTATTTTTTGGTGGTTTGCTATTTTTTAGGTGTGAAAAAAGATATATTTCTACTTTTTTGTAGAAGGAGAAAGTTTTTATTGTCATTGTCATCATTTTGCCATTCATTTAAGGGTCTGTTTAGCCTGTACTAAGTGTTTTAGCAAACATTGTTTCATGTAATAAAATAATCCTGTTAACAGTACTCTGTAATCTCCATTTTGGAGATAAAGAAATTGAACCTTAGTTAAACAACTTTTTAAAGACACCAATGGTAGAGCCAAGTTTGAATTTGCCAGATCAGGTGTTGATGTACTACACAAAATGGTTTGAATGGAAACCGGTATCCAGCCTGCGTTTCACTCACCAGGCCAGAGCTGTGGCTACCCAGAATAGAGCACCTTTTTCTAATTTGGCCAAAGGTACCATGTATATGCCAGATTTGTTCCTCATTAAGTCTCTTTATTCCAACTCTGGAGCAGTTTCCTTCCTTCCTTCCTTCCTTCCTTCCTTCCTTCCTTCCTTCCTTCCTTCCTTCCTTCCTTCCCTCCCTCCCTCCCTCCCTCCCTCCCTTTTCTTTCTTTTCTTTCTTTCTTTTTTTTTTTGAGGTGGAGTCTTGCTCTGTTGCCCAGGCTGGAGTGCAGTGGTGCAATCTTCGGCTCACAGCAATCTCCGCCTTCCCAGGTTCAAGTGATTCTCCTGCCTTAGCCTCCCGAGTGGCTGGGATTACAGGCATGTGCCACCACACCTGGCTAATTTTTGTATTTTTAGTAGAGACCGGGTTTCACCATGTTGGTCAGGCTGGTCTTCAACTCCTGACCTCATGATCTGCCCTCCTTGACCTTCCAAAGTGCTGGGATTACAGGTGTGAGCCACTGTGCCCGTCTCAAGTCTGGAGCAGTTTCTACTACATCACATCATCTTCTTTTCTTTGTTATAAATTTTTATTCAGGATCCACATTTCATATGTACATGCTTTTCTGTGTTTTAAGAAATCATAGATATGTGTTCAGTCATAGTGAAGTCTGCTAAATTCCTGCCTTCAGACATTTTAATTACAGTGAAAGCTAAAAGATTACATTTTTTTAATACCTTTATGTGAAAGAATTTTATGCTCTTTTTTCCTGAGGGTTTTATTAGAGTAAAAATACTTCATTCCTGATTGCTTCTTACTAGCCTTCATTTCCCACCACTCTATTATTATTTATTTATTTATTAAAATATTCTGAAAATATTTTATTGGAGAAAGTTTGTTATATCCAGTGCAAACCTGGATTGATTCTTCTGTTTTTCTGTTTACATTCCCTTAAGATTAAAGTATTTGTCCATTTGGTTTACTTAGAATCAGGTGTAAGTATCCATCTGATAGGTAATATTCATGTAATCACAGTAAAGAAACAAATATAGCTTCAGCCGGATTCACTTAGTAAGAGAACAGTTGTGAGTTTATGGTTTTGTTTGTTTTGCCTAAGCACACAAAATTGGACATCATTTCTCTTAATTTTTTTTTTTTGCTTTTTCCTGTTTCTGTTTGAATGTTCTATTGCTGACTTTTTTACAAATTCAGATTAAAGGATACCTCTATTCCAATGTGTAATCTGCTGTGGTTTTTAAAAGTACCTATGTGTGGTCCTTGAATTTAAGGCAGTTTTGTGTATTTTATTTTAAAGTAATTTGAAATGTCATAACAGGTATTTGTAATTCATTTCTTGGATAGGAGAAGATGTATTTTGAGAAATAAATGATATATTTTATGTTGATATAGTCAACACAGATATCTGTTATGTAAGAATCATGAGAAATTAGCATAAGGTATAGTTTGCTATTGTCAGTCATAGCCTCAGGTTTTTAACTTTTTGTTTAAAGTGAAGTGTAATAGCTTTTTGCCAAACTTTTTTTTCTTGTTCATAATCTGCTAACACATCAAACTGTAAGAGAAGTACTCCCTGAACATTGTGTGTGTCTCCTGGCTAGTATTTGATTAATACCCATATGACAGGAGACAACTTCTCAGCCTTTTTCACATCTAGAAACAGCAACCTTATTTTAAATGAGGGAAGAATGGGCAACTGATTTATTTCTCTGAGAGGAAGCCTTCAGTTTCTAAACAATACATCATCATTTATCTGTGAGTAGACAAAGTATTCTTTTAAGAATCAAAAATATGATTGGCAAGATTAAGTAATTGGGTGGTTTTTAATGAAAAGCATTTGTAAATTTGACAATGTATGATAATAAAAGTACAGGGATGGAATTGATAGAAAATACTCAGAAAGGATGAACTGAATTTTCTTGTTTAAAAGCAGTTAGAATTTTTTTGAAAGATAAGAAATAGTGATATGGGAACTAGATTTCAAATGAATAATTAGTATTATAAATGGTAAAAAATTTGATATTAGGGAGGCTTTCCTTAAAATTGGCATTAGTTTTTAAAGCTTGCTTTGTTACAAATATTATTGTCTTTGTTCTCTTTCATAATCAGAGCAAACTACCTTGTGAGAGAAATCCTCGGAAAAGAAAATAATGCAGGTTAGAGTGGGTTAAGCTAGAGTAGGGTAATTTTCATATATTTCTATATTATAGATTTCACTGTTTTTGTGTTCTCAGTTAAGTAATTTTGGGCCAGGGATGTGGACAAGGAAATATATAGATAGAATACTTGAATAAACTAGGGATGACTGCCATCTATCATATATGTGACTATAAAATTGTTGTCTTTGAAGCAGTGTCAGGAAAGGGAACATACACACCCATATATATCTGTGGTGAGCTGTTTAGTGGTTAATAAAAAGACTCCTGGAATTTGTGATTAGGGGCTTTCTAATCTATGAGATACTATTAGTGTGAAGAAGGAAAAACACACCACGGGGAAGAAAACCGGGATGAATAAAGCTAAAGAACAAAATATTTTCATAGAATTAATAGCATGTTTCAGTCTTAATTAGTGTCTGCATATTTTTTGTCAGATGTCTCTGGATATTCAAACTATTAAGTCAAAAGATTATTGACATTTTAAAGTAAAATAGCTCTTTCAGATTTCATTCTGGCATTTAACTGACTTTTGATTGATCATGGGGCATACTGGAATTTTGTGTGATTGTAAACTTTTTTAAAGGTTGGCTTTAAGATAAAGTTTATTTCAAGCCAACAGACAAAATCCCAATGCCAGTAAATCTTGAGTTTTAGTTCAGCCTGCTTCTGAGAAGTTGATTATTTTTACTATCAAATTTTTGTTTAGCTATTGTTACAGATATTTCCAAATAAATGTTATTAGCCATTCCTTCAGGGAATTTTTTTTTATCTTCCTGGAATTGAAATAATTAAATCTGTTGTCACTAGATTTAATGTTTGAAGTGTTGGGATCATTTGAGAATTCTGTGATTTAGTCAGGTTGCTAAAATTAGACCTAAAGATGTAAAAATTCATTAGAGTATATGTATAGTAATGTAAATTTTGTTTATTAAATACACATAATTCTATAGAAAAGTAACTGCTACATCATTCAGTCTTTGACACAATACGTTGAAACTTCATTCCACTTATTAAGCAGTAGTAGGTTTTAAAACTTATTTCTGCCTGCGAAGATTTGCTTCGTTGTCTTACGGCACATTCAGAAATGTATGCGGTAGCTGCATATTGGAAAGTAGGGATAATAGAGTCAAAACTGAGTTTAAATACTTTTTAATGTCACTAAATTGCGCTATTGACTTTGGGCATGTTACTCAATTTTTCTGAGCCTCGGTTTCAGGATTTTCTTGAGGACCAAATGAAAAAAGCATTTGAGTAAATGGCACACTACAGGTTTGAATGAAATTTAATTTTTGTTAGAACCAGAAGCTACAGAGAGATCATCTAACTCTGTAGTCCATAAAATTTGTGGATCTTAACCACTAATTTCTTATTTCATTTTAAAAATAACTTTATTAAGGTATAATTCACATACCATAAAATTTTGTCTTTTAAACTGTAGAATTCATTAGTTTTTAGTATACTCACAAGGTTGTGCAGGCAGGCGTGGTGGTTCACGCCCGTATTAGTAGCACCTTTGGAGGCCAAGGCAGGAGGATCTCTTGAGCCCAGGAGTTTGAGACCAGCTTGGGCAACATAGACCCTATCTCTTAAAAAAAAAAAAAAACAGCTGGGCATGGTGGTATGCTTCTGTAGTCCCAGCATACTAGGGAGGCTGAGGCAGGAGGATTTTTTGAGCTTTGAGCCCAGGAGATCGAGGCTGCAGTGCTAAAAAAAAAAAAAAAAAAAAAAAAAAAAAAAAAAAAAAAAAGGTTGTGCAATCATCACTACTATATAATTCCAAAATATGTACCCATTAATGGTCACTCCCTATTCTGTCCACCACCTGGCCCTTGACAACCACGAATATACTTTCTTTTTGGATTTGCTTATTCTAGACATTTTATATGAATGAAATTACATAACATAGGCTCTTTTGTGACTGGCCTCTTTTCACTTACCATTATGTTTTCAGGGTTCATCCATATTGTAGCATGAATCAGTACTTCATTTCTTTTTTATGGATGAATTAATATTCCACTGTACAAATATACCACATCTTGTTTTTCCATTCGTCTAGGTTAAAAAATTTTTATTTTTATTTTTATTTTTTTGTAGAGACGGGATCTCACTGTGTTGCCCAGGCTGGTCTTGACCTCCTGGCCTCAAGTGATCCTCCCACCGTGGCCTTCCAAAGTGTTAGGATTAGAGGCATGAGCCACCACAATTTTAATTCCACAGGTAGATGTACTGGAAACTGATGTAATTTCCTCCTACTTAGTAATATTAAGTTCCCCATCTGAGTATCATATTTGACCCTACAGTTTAGAGGAAAAGAAATCTTAAAAGTTTCAGAAAAAAGTCATGAAGTTGGTTGGACTTGAAATTTCTGAGGACAGGTTAAAAGAGTTGGAATTATTTACACAATGAAATGGAAAAGCTTAATGCTGGGTATAGGTCCCTAGAAGCTATCTGTTTTCATATGGGGTAAATGAGAGTAATATATAAAAATAAATGATGCCAATCCAGATGGAGATTCCTTAGGTAAATTTTTTTTTTTTTTTTTTGAGACGGAGTCTCGCTCTGTCGCCCAGGCTGGAGTGCAGTGGCGCGATCTCGGCTCACTGCAAGCTCCACCTCCCAGGTTCACACCATTCTCCTGCCTCAGCCTCCCGAGTAGCTGAGACTACAGGTGCCCACCACCACCCCTGGCTAATTTTTTTGTATGTTTTTAGTAGAGATGGGGTTTCACCGTGTTAGCCAGGATGGTCTCGATCTCTGATCTCCTGATCCAGCCGCCTCGGTCTCCCAAAGTACTGGGATTACAGGTGTGAGCCACTGCGCCTGACCCCCTTAGGTAATTTTAATGTTTACCCTTATAACCAAAAAATCTTCCACATGGTTACCCAGAGTTCTAGGCATTGGAAAGTAGGATTTTCTGATAAAGTAACTCTTGGTGATTGCTTTCTGTTGCCTGTTTCAGAGTCCATTCTTTTACGTTTTAGACTGACAGGAGAGGGCAAGGAGGGAGGACAGAGTTTACGAGGGTGGATTTGTGGACCCATGTGTATGTTTGTATTCATCTGATTAGTTGTATCCTAAAGCCAAATGTAAGTGAATTTTCTTACTTTAGAATAATATATTCTCTCTTTTAAATAATCAAGAGTTAAATGTTGCGTGAAATATTAGAGAAGATGGGAGCTTAATTTCTACTGAAAAATCAGGTAAGAGGAAATAGCTCCACCTACAGGGCAAATAATTTAAACTAGATATAAAGAAATTCCTTGTAGGAAATTTGTTACAGACTTGAATTTACTACCAAAGCTAGATTTGCTATGCCTGCCTCTACCTTCTCCTGGGCAGAGTGCCTCCATCCCGCCTTAGTACTTACTTTTTTGTCCACTCCCAACCTAGCACATATATCAGTCTTTCTCACTAGCCTTGTGGTTCTTCATTTCTCTCTTTCTCTGTCCATGTGGTTCCTTCTTGTGTCTGTTGTCTGTCTGTATGGGATTGGGGAAGGGAATTTCTTCTCTCTGTCCTCTGTCTTCTCTTTGTTGTCTCTGTGTCTTCATCTTTTATTATGGAAGAGTGTATTTGACAGGACTGATTTAGTTACATCTGAATGGATTTTTTAAATTCCCTGCAGAATTGTATAGAATGTTGAAAAACTTAGGTGGATTTTTGTTTAAGTAACAGATATATCCATCAAAGAATGGAACATTTCTTTGAGTGTGTGGAAAATTAACTGTTCTTAGCCGGGCGTGGTGGCTCATGCCTATAATCCTAGCACTTTGGGAGGCCGAGGTGGGTGGATCGCTTGAGCTCAGGAGTTGCAGATCAGCCTGGGCAACCTGGTGAAACTCCATCTCTACCAAAAAAAATACAAAAATAGCCAGGTGTGGTGGAATGCGACTGTGGTCTTAGCTACTTGGGAGGCTAGGTGGGAGGATCGCTGGAACCTGAGAAGTTGAGGCTGCAGTGAGCTCTGATTACGCCACTGCACTCCAGCGTGGTGACAGAGTGAGACCTGGTCTCAAAAAAAAAAAAAAAAAAAGAAAAAAACTGTTCTTGAATAATACGTATTTGTGAAGTGCTTTTAAAAATGTACCCTTTATGGCTGCGCGTGGTGGCTCACGCCTGTAATCTCAGCACTTTGGGAGGCCAAGGTGGGTGGATCACTTGAGTCCAGGAGTTCAAGACCAGCTTGGGTGACAGTGAAATCTTGTCTCTACAAAAAATACAAAAAAATTAGTTGGGTGTGGTGTTATGCACCTGTAGTCCCAGCTACTGGGGAGGCTGAGGTGGGAAGGATCACTTGAGCCTGGGAGCTCAGGACTGCAGTGAGCCATGTTCACACCACCGAACTCTAGCCAGGGTGACAGAGCGAAACCCTATCTCAAAAACAAAAACAAAAAAAAAGACACTGGAGATTCTGGTTATGATTAAATTAGAACTGTGGCAAAATAGGTCTTTTACATTTCCTTAGTTTTTTTTTTCCATAAATATATTGGATTAAAAGCCATTGTTCTGATATAAGAAAAAAGGATGAAATTATATTAAGTATGTTCTAGTTAAGACTACAGGGATATCAGTTAAATTCTACTTATTAAAAAGCACTCTAGTAGTAAAATGGGCAAAAGATAAAATGGATGAAAGAAGAAATTCAAATGGCTATAACTTGTAAAAATATGTTCTATCATACCAGATCCCAAAAATTAAAAGATTGATAATTCTTAAATTGATTTGTGTTTGTGAGAACAGACATTCATGTGCAACGCTGGTAGGGGTATGAATTGGTACAAATCCAGAAGGCAGCTTTGGCAGTATGTGTCAAAGTGTTAAATGCTTTTGTTATCTGATTAATAATTTTATCCTAGAAATTTATTCTAAGGAATTGGAAAATAGGTTGCAAAACAACATTTACAGTGTCATCTATACGGTTAGACCAGCATTTTAAAAGTTTGAAAGGCTACATGGCGTAGCAAAATAATACCAGTAGTTAACAGCCGAAAGGTAGAAGTACAGGTAATTTTCAAAATAATGTCAGTATTTTAGTGTCCTTTTGAGTGGCTTTGGTACATAGGAGAGATTATACAGAAACTCCTTGGCCTTAAAAAGTTTAAATTCCCCTGAGGTTGAAGAGACCCAGTAGGGATACAATTACCTTCTGGGCTGTCTATGGCTGCTTGTTGATTTCAGTCAGTGGTGAAATCTGAGGCCCTCAGTCTTTCACAACACACTAACAGCCAGGCTGGGGTCTCCCTTTTTTTTTCCTTCGAGACAGAGTCTCACTCTGTCGCCCAGGCTGGAGTGCAGTGGTGCGATCTCCGCTCACTGCAACTTCCGCCTCCGAGGTTCAAGCGATTCTCCTGCCTCAGCCTCCCAAGTAGCTGGCACTTTAGACATGTGCCACCACACCCAGCTAATTTTTTTGTATTTTCAGTAGAGACGGGATTTTACCATGTTGGCCAGACTGGTCTTGAACTCCTGACCTCAGGTGATCTGCCCTCCTGAGCCTCCCAAAGTGCTGGGATTACAGGCATGACCCACCGCACCCAGCCATGAGACCCTTTTAACAATTACTAAAGACCTTGCAAGGCATGGCTCACACCTGTAATCCTAGCGCTTTGGGTGGACGAGGCAGGAAGATTTCTTGACGCCAGGAGTTATAGACTCCATCTTTACGAAGAAAATTGTTTTAATTAAACAGTAATTTAATTGTCTACTCAGAGAAGTCTAGTCCCCATAAGATTGTAGCTTATGCAAAGCTTAACTGCTTTGTTGCTTTTATAATTTCTTTTTCTTATAAGATATTTAAGTGTTATCCTATTTTGCTTTTAAGACACTTTAAGGCTGTTGAATTATTTAATCTCTTAGGGAATTCTTTGGTAACCTCATTGTATGTGATGGAATCTGACATTTTATATTCTTCCTATCTATTCTTAATATTAGCTTATGGTTAGATTCTGGCTATCCCTCAGCTCTTATCTAGCTCTGGGCCACAGCTTCTTAGGTCATTCTAATGACGGTTTTGACTTTTAAATTTTTTCCCAAATTTTTCTTCATTATAAACTACTGATGAACGCACATATATGTATGTTTAGAGAATAATGACAAGGAAAAAGTTTTATTTTCTTTATTTCCTTTTTTTTTTTTTTTTTTTTGAGACAGGGTCTCACTCTGTCATCTAGGCTAGAGTGCAGTGGCGTGATACTGGGTCACTGCAACCTCCGCCACCCAGGTTCAAGTGATTCTCCTGCCTCAGCCTCCCAAGTAGCTGGGACTACAGGAGCACACCGCCATAACTGGTTAATTTTTGCATTTTTTTGTAGACCTGGAGTTTTGCCATGTTGGCCAGGCTGGTCTCAAACTCCTGACTTCGTGTGATCCACCTGCCTCAGCCTCCCAAAGTGCTGGGATTACAGGCATGAGCCACCATCGCACGTGGCTGGCTTTTAAGTCTTATAAGTCTTTATAAAAAAGACTTTTCCCTGTCATTATTCTCTGAACAATACAATATAACAGCTATTTACATTGTATTAAGTATTATAAGTAATCTAGAGCTGATTTTAGGTAACTGGAGGATGTGTATACCTTATATGCAAATACTCCACCATTTTATATAAGGGACTTGAGCATCTGCAAATTTTTCTGTCTGTGGGAGGTCTTGGAACCAATCTCCCACTGATACCGAGGGATAACTATATATATAAAATAAGGAAGACTAAATATATATATGTTTGAAAGGAAGACTAAAGTTGTTTTGATTTGGGGCGGGAAAGATAGCGAACCTCAAGAATCAACCAAAGAACTGTTAAAATCTATTTAAAAATTTAACTGCTGTTCAAATTGTGGGATACAAGATAAATAAGAGTCAGTGGTGTTTCTGCAGACCTTATAAGAAGAGAGCTGACAAAAAGGCACATTGGGAAGATTTTTTTCCATGTCCTTTTTTTTTTTTTTTTTTTTTGAGACGGAGTCTCTCTGTCGCCCAAGCTGGAGTGCAGTGGCACTATCTCGGTTCACTGCAAGCTCTGCCTCCTGGGTTCACGCCATTCTCCTGCCTCAGCCTCTCGAGTAGCTGGGACTACAGGCACCCACCACCACGCCCGGCTAATTTTTTAAATATTTTTAGTAGAGACGGGGTTTCACCGTGTTCGCCAGGATGGTCTCGATCTCCTGACCTCATGATCCACCCGCCTTGGTCTCCCAAAGTGCTGGGATTACAGGCGTGAGCCACTGTGCCTGGCCTCCCTGTCTTTTTTATACTGTCTTTGACTGTATAAGTCCTTGTATGTGCTCTAAGTTTTTCCTAGACTCATTTACAGGTTTAATTTTAGTCAAAATCTCAATAGGACTTTTCTTTTTGGAAGACTAGGAAAGAGGGAATGGGAGGTAACGAAAAAAGTGACATAACTAATTTACAATAGTCGAGAAACTTTTAAAGAAAGATCAGGTACTTGTCATATTAATATAAACAAACATTATAATGCTACTCTAACAAAACAGTATAGTTCTGATAGACCAGTGAAATAAAGACAGACTCTGATATGTGTAAGAATTTGGTGGCATTGTAAATCAGTGGAAAAGGAATTATTATTTGATGAGGTCTCACTCAGTTGCCCAGGCTAGAGTGCAGTAGCGTGATCATGGCCCCAGTGGATTCTCCCACCTCAGCCTAATGAGTAGCTGGGACTAAGGCACATGCCACAATGCCTGGCTAATATTTTGTATTTTTAAAAATTATTGTTATTTTAAAAAGAGACAGGATCTCACCATGTTGCCCAGGCTGGTCTCAAACTGCTGAGCTCAAGCAATCTGTTCACCTCAGCATCCCAAAGTGCTGGGAACACAGGCGTGAGCCACTGTGCCTAGACATTTTTTATATTTTTTTAGTAGAGACAGGGCTTCGCCATGTTGCCCAGGCTGGTCTCCACCTCCTGGACTCAAGCAGTCCACCTGCTTCAGTTTCCCAAAGTGCTGGGGTTACAGACCTGAGCCACTGCGCCTGGCCAGGAATGATTATTTAATAAGTGGTACTAGAATCATTGGTTATTTGGAGGAAAAATAAAGTTAAATTTTTTCAGATCTATGCTGAAATAAATTCTAGATGAATTAAAATTAAATAGAAGTTAAATAAAGTAGAAATTATAAAAAGCTAGAAGAAATCTAGGTAAATATTTTTTAATGACCTACAAGAAGAAGTTTATAAGCATAGAAACAGTGAAAGAAATCACACAGGAAAAGCAGGGGGGTCGGAGTTGACAAATTCTATAATAAGAGCAACCATAAATATAATTAAGAGGTAAATGGAAATATTGGAAAACGATTCCCAACAAATATGACAGAGTATATGTGCGTGTGCATGTACACTCACACAGCCTATTTGGGAGCAGGGAAGAGACTACCAGTGCTTTTTTTTTTTTGAGATGGAGTCTTGCTCTGTTGCCCAGGCTAGAATGCAATGGTGTGATCTCGGCTCACTGCAACCTCCGCCTCCTGGGTTCAAGTGATTCTCCTGTCTCGCCTCCCGAGTAGCTGGGATTACAGGCGCCTGCCACTGTGCAGGGTTCTCCTGCCTCGCCTCCGAAGTAGCTAGGATTACAGGTGCCCGCCACTGTTCCCGGCTAATTTTTGTATTTTTAATAGAGACGGGGTTTTACCATCTTGGCCAGGCTGGTCTCGAACTCCTGACCTCATGATCTACCTGTCTGGGCCTCCCAGAGTGCTGGGATTACAGGCGTGAGCCACTGCGCCCAGCCTACCAGTGCTTCTTAACCATTTTAGAATAACGTTTTCCAGAAAAATGCTTGTGCTATTTATGCACACTAACAGGCAGACACAATGCACATACATATGCCCACAACTTTCAGTACAACTTAGGAGACTCACATATTCATTAGAGTTTTATAGACCACAAAAGAAGTGCCTGGTAATTGTGAATAAACCTCAACTTCCTTACTAGTCAAATAAATGGAAGATTTTTAAAAATAATAATATCAAATATTGCTGAAAATATTGCTAATGGAATGCAGATTAGTAAAGCCTCCCTAGAAAAGCTGTTTGACTTTTTAAAAAATGTCAGAATCTTATCTAAAAGTTCTATTTCTGGGACTTACCTTATGAAGACATCAGAATCTCAGACAAATTTATATGTAGCACTGATTATTATGTAATGAAATGCTTGTTTTTATGGTAGCAAAAAATTGGAAGCAATCTAAATGTTCAACTTTAGTTTAATGGTTACTATAAATTATGGTTTAGCCATGTAATAGAATATAATGGAATCATTAAATATTTAAAAAGACTAGTGATATGGGAAAACATTTACAATGTACTGTTAAAAAGGAAATAGGATGTTAAGAAAAAATATTTCTAGGTGATGGGATTATTGGTGGTTTTAAATTTCTTTATTTTTGCATTCCTCCCCTCACTTGTTTTTATATTGAATGTGTATTAGTTTTATAATTAAAACACCTTTGTAAAAATGCAAGTTATTCTGTTGTGTAATTTTTAAAAGAGTTTTACTTAAAACCTATGAAATGACCATGATTGACAATAATATATGCAGATTTTGGTATTTTTCTGAAAACTTAAATTGTTACTGGTTCAAAGAAATGTTCTCTGAAAATGCATGTTGAATTAATACTGAAACAGTTAATTTTTGGATACCTTTTCTTCTTCTACTAGAAATAGAAGACTTGTTTTCTTCACTTAAACATATCCAACATACTTTGGTAGATTCTCAGAGCCAGGAGGATATTTCACTGCTTTTACAACTTGTTCAAAATAAGGATTTCCAGAATGCATTTAAGATACACAATGCCATCACAGTACACATGAACAAGGCCAGTCCTCCATTTCCTCTTATCTCCAACGCACAAGATCTTGCTCAAGAGGTATGTATTCTAAACATCTTGTTGATGTCTACAAGGTAATTAGTAGTGGCAGGAAGGCAGGATTATTGGAAAATACTAATGTGACTATAAGATTTGTTTGAATTAATTACTGTTAATTACATGTTAATAATGTATTGTGACAGTTTACTACATGCATTTTATCCTAAAAACAAAAAAAGTTTACTTCAGAGTCAGAACACTGTTTCATGAAGAGTTAATTTTTTATATATAATCATAAATTTGGATAGTAACAAATATTTGAATTACTAGAGAGCAATTTGTTAATGTTTTTAGTATAGTTTTATGAATTTTAAGCATTATACATTATAAACTGAGATAGTGAATACTGATGAGATAATTATAACTGATAATCAGGCATTATATAACGCCTAAGATTTATTATGTCTAGGTATTTGGAAGTTTTCCTCCTATAAAAACTGTAGACATTTCAAATTATTAAATCTTAATATACTATGGGAGTTTTTATTGTTAACATGATGACTTAAATTCTTGTTTCTGATGCTAACTGGTGTTCAGTGTTTGATCTGTTATGCAAACATCTTTTAAATTTAAGATTTAAAAAGGGTATAAATAAACTCTCCTGTTTTGGGGAGTAGACAGTCTCTCATTATTCTAGCGTTTTAAGTTATTTTGGTATTATTAAAATGAATAATTCTGGAATCCCATCAAGTGAATGTATTTCATTGAATGCCAACATGAGCAGAAAATGGGCTATTGGGGAGGGAGGACATCTAGAGCTACAGAACCTATAAAATAGGTTAGAAGGTACTTTGTAGATTAGCACATAATTGTCCCCAAGGGAGATATTTTTCTCACTTGTCATATTTACTTATGGTTTAAATGGTTTTCTGAAATTTCTTAAAATTACTTTTCTTACGGAGATTGAAATAACATTACCTTGATCTTATACTATTCACACATGTAGGCAATTCTGGACTCACTTCCAG
Organism: Homo sapiens; assembly: GCF_000001405.40. Classification (NCBI taxonomy): domain Eukaryota; kingdom Metazoa; phylum Chordata; class Mammalia; order Primates; family Hominidae; genus Homo; species Homo sapiens. Next base: position 67,293,688 of record NC_000014.9, read on the forward strand.
GATAGAAGGAAAAGACGAGTACCAATATATTTGGTAAAAATATGACATATTTGAGAACACACAGGCAAGTGAACTGGTTTCAAATCCGGTTGGGAAGAATACAAAATAAATCATTATAATCATTCCTGTCCCTTTTAGGAGGAAGGTTTGTCCAGCTGGCTACTGGGTCCTTGTTTTGCTAAATACAACAATGGGTGAAGAAGAGAGTGAGAGAAGCAAGACAGATCACAATTGCTCCAATTGAAAAAAGCTGACACACACAATAGAAAGGTGGAAAGAAGGGAGAAAAGAAACAACTTAGCTTAAAGGGTTTTAGGAGTTGAGAAAAGCAAAGAACTAAAGTGGCTTAAAGAGTAAATGCCTTGGGAAGAAATAAGTTGTTAAAAAGGACTTTAAAAAAGATCAATTTTGAATATTAGTTTTAGGATAGTTCACATATTCACATATGTGAATATAGGATAGTTCACTATTTTAAAAGTACTGTATAAAGGAGATTTTCTGAAAGTTTGCTTTCACGTCCTTAGAGTAACTATAGTGTCTTCAGTGATAGAACGTGAATGGTTTCCCCTGGAGTGTGCATGACTGTGAAGTTGCCCTTTCAGTACATTATACTTGTGAAAAAAGCACATAGTCAGAACTCAACAAGGAGAGGAATGTTAAATCTGATAACAAAATCGTAAAGGTTAAATGGACCCATTGCCTTTATTTTACAGCTGGAAAAAAATATCAGCAATCACCAATCCAACTCCCCTGTTTCACATTCTGAATATTGAGGCCTAGTGAGGTTAAGTTAAAAAAAAAAACTCAAGAAATTTAGTGAAACATTCAGAAGTATTCTTTGTTTACATGGCTTAAAATATCAGTTAAACATTAGGTATCATATAATAATAAAGCCTACGGAAACCTCAAATTTTAAGGTCTAGATTAAATCTTTGATGATCTAGCATATTTACTAATAAACACAAACCAAATTTCTTAGATATTATAGTGCTTTTTTTTTTTTGAGATGGAGTCTTGCACTGTTGCCCAGGCTGGAGTGCAGTGGCACGATCTCAGCTCACTGCAAGCTCTGCCTCCTGGGTTCACGCCATTCTCCTGCCTCAGCCTTCGGAGTAGCTGGGGCTACAGGTGCCCGCCACCATACCCAGCTAATTTTTTGTACTTTTAGTAGAGATGGGGTTTCACCGTGTTAGCCAGGATGGTCTTGATCTCCTGACCTCGTGATCCACCCACCTCGGCCTCCCAAAGTGCTGGGATTACAGGCGTGAGCCACTGCGCCTGGCCCTAGGATATTATAGTGCTTTTATAAAGAAAATTTAGAACTTGGACTTCATTAGATGAACTTATAAACACCTTTAAGAGAGTAAAAATGAAAGCCAACGCGCTGAGAAATGGTATTTGATTTTGAGATATTGAAGTGTGTGTGTGTGTGTGTGTGTGTGTGTAAATACATGACAAAAACTTGTCTATGAAATATATAAAGAACTCTTGTTGGCTGGGTGCGGTCTGTAATACCAGCACTTTGGGAGGCTCACGCCTGTAATCCCAGCATTTTGGGAGGCCAAGGCGGGTGGATCATTTGAGGTCAGGAGTTCAAGACCAGCCTGGCCAACATGGTGAAACCTGGTCTCTACTAAAAAAAAAATACAAAAATTAGCTGGCTGTAGTGGTGTACACCTGCAATTCCAGCTGCTTGGGAGGCTGAGGCAGGAGAATCACTTAAACCCGGGAGGCAAAGGTTGCAGTGAGCTGAGATTGCACCACTGCATTCCAGTCTGGGCGACGGAGTGAGACCCTGTCTCAAAAAAAAAAAAACTCTTGGAAATTAATAAGAAAAAAAGACTACTCGGTTAAAAAAAAATTGACAACAGTCACTTCACAAAAAAGAGGAAATCCAAATGGCCAATAGCAATGAAAAGATAACTAGGCATCATTAGCCAACAGAGAAATGCAAATTAAAACATAATGAGATACAGTTACACTGACACCAGAATGACAATGATTACAATTTAAAAGACTGTCAGTATTGTTTGTGAACTTATGGAACAACTGAAACTCTCATACATCACTGGTGGAGTATAAATTGATACTACCACTTTGGAAAAATGTTTGGCAGTATCTGCTAAAGCTAATGTACCTATATACTGTGACCCAGCAATTTCACTTGTAGGTATATAGCCAAGAGAAATGAAAATGTGTCCACAGAAAAGCTTAAAAACAGATGTTCATAGCAACCAGATAATAGAAACCAAAAAAAACCTAGATGTTTGTCAACCTGTGAAAGTTGCATTAGGCTTTTGCTGTGGAGGAACAATGAGTAAACAATTACAGTCTAATGAGAAGTGCTATGATGGCAATATGAGAAGAGTGCCAACAGCACCGAGATGTGCCTAATTCTGTTTTGGGAGGATGGGAAGGATGAGGGGAATGGTGAGAAGAAGGAAAAAACATAGAAGGAAATTTAATTTGCTGAGTCTTGAGGGGTGACTGAGAATATACCAGGAAGCGTAAGAAAGAGGAAAAGGCATTCCATGCTCAAAGGGTACAGAGGTGGTAGTGAGAGAGAAAGCCTGGCAAATTTCTTGAATGCTAAGTAAGCATAGGACTTAATGTTAAAAGATGGTGTCCAGACGCCGGATGCAGTGGCTCACGCCTGTAATCCCAGCATTTTGGGAGGCCAAGGTGGGCAGATCACGAGGTCAGGAGATCGAGACCATCCTGGCTAACATGGTGAAATGCTGTCTCTACTAAAAATACAAAAAAATTAGGCGGGTGTGGTGGTACTCAGGAGGCTGAGGCAGGAGAATGGCATGAACCCGGGGAGGCAGAGCTTGCAGTGAGCCAAGATCGTGCCACTGCACTCCATCCAGCCTGGGCAACAGAGTGAAACTCTGTCTCAAAAAAAAAAAAAAAAAAAAAAAAAAAAGATGGTGTCTAGATCCTGAAGGCCATTAATAAATTTAAATTTATGCTATGATGGATTACTTTGGTAAATATTTTAAATATTTTAAAAGAATTAACTTATATGAATAGGTGAAAGGAGAAAACCATATGATCTTTGTTTTGAGACAGAGTCTTGCTCTGTCACCCAGGCTGCTGTGCAGTGGCATAATTATGGCTCACTGCAACCTCAACCTCCTGGGCTCAAGCAGTCCTCCCACCTCAGCCTCCTGAATAGCTGGGACTCAAACTCTTGGGCTCAAACAATCCTTCCATCTCAGCCTCCCAGAGTACTGGGATTACAGGCGTGAGCCACAGCACCTGGCCTCCTATGATGATTTTGATGCAGAGAAGGCATCTGAAAAAAATTCAGTACTTTTTCTTTGTTGATACAAATTCTTAGAAAGCCAGTCACATTATTTTAACTTGATAATAGTCAAAAATAATACCACATGTGTGACAAAGCACTTTGGGGGAAAAAAAGAAAAATAATAATACCAGAAACCAATAGCATCTTCCCTAATGGTGAAACACCCACACATTGCCATTTAAGTCTTGAATAAGATAAAGAAACTCCAGATGCCCACCATTAGTATTCAACATTTTTTGGCAGTACCAGTCAGTGCAATAAAACAGGAAGAAGTAATGAATTATGAAGTTGTATAGGAACAGGGAAAATATGAATTAATTTATACAGATGCACACACATATCTCATTTAAACTGCATGTAAGAGGTAATGGAAGAATTAATAAACTATTAAAAAGGCTATCTCTGGGTGTTAGATAAATAGGTAATTTTACTAGTTTTTTTTGTGTTTCTCAAATTTAACAGGAAAAGGTCACTTCATAAAACATTTAAAGCAAGAAATTTATTCTATACATGATTGCGAATCTACTGAAGAATTTTAAACAGATTTATATAAACAGGCTTCTAATTTAAAATATTACTTTGATAACATTGTGGAAAGTCAGTGGAAACAGAATAATGTGGAGGCTATTGTAATTGTCCAGATGTAAGATTTTGAATAGCAGTTGTACATGGATTATAGAAATATTTAAGTAGAAAATTAATAGGACATAGTGTCTATGTGGGTAATAAAGGTAAAGGAGACATCAAGGATGACTTCCTATCCTCTCTTCCTTTCATTGAATTCATTAAATATTTCAGTGCTATTTGTCAGACATTCTGCCAATAGTCAGATATGAAGCTGAATAAGATACAATTCTATCTTCATTGAGCTCAGTCTAGTGGGGAAATAGCCCTATTGATAATTTTAGATCAAATGTTCAGTCTTATGAGTACATATTATCTAGGCAAATAGAATAAGGCAATTCAGGTAGCTGAGACAGCTAGTATAATCACAGTTGTTGTGGGGAGACAGCATGGTTTGTGCAGGGAACAAGCAGTTTAATGCTGAATCAAAAAGGTTAAGGCATAAGGAATGCCAGGAGATAGGGCTGGAAAAGACGAAAGAATCAGATGGTGATGGTCCTTAGATTTAATACTAAGGAGCTTAGACTTAATCTTGTGACAGAGAGCCACTCAGAACTAGAATGGTCATATTTCTGTTTTAAAAAGGATATTTAGTGACATAGAAAAATAAAATATTTTAGTAATTTATTAGTATCAAGTCAAAATAGTTATACTGTTACTAGGGGCCGGACCACCTGAGGTCAGGAGTTCGAGACTAGTCTGGCCAACATGGTGAAACCCTGTCTCTACTAAAAATAAAAAAAACTAGTTGGGTGTGGTGGCGGGCACCTGTAATCCCAGCTACTCAGGAGTCTGAGGCAGGAGAATCGCTTGAACCCGGGAGGCGAAGGTTGCAGTGAGCCAAGATCATGCCATTGCACTCCAGCCTGGGCGACAAGAGTGAAACTCCGTCTCAAAAAAAAAAAAAATACTATTATAAAAACTATGAGTAGCGTGATCTCATTTTGGTAAAAATAAATGTCAAGAATAAAGAAGGGGTATATACATAGAAATTTTCTCAAAGTTTAGATGCTATGAGTACATTTTTGGAGTAACTGACTTTATTGAGATATAATTTACATGCACTTAAAATGAGTGTGTTTTATTGTATAGTTCAGTGTATTTTGACATATATGTACATCTGTAAAACATACAACTGCTATCAAGTTGTAGAAGCATCCATCACTCCACAGAGCTTCTCTCCCACGGCCCTTTGCGATGACAATCACCTCTTTCAATCCTCAGGCCCTATGAATATCCACTGATTTGCTTTCTGTTTTACAAATTTGTCATTTGTGGACATTTCATATAAATGTAATAAGACAATAGGTGGTCTTTTCTGTCAGACTTCTTTTGCTTAGTATAATGTTTTTGAGATTCATCCATGTTGTTCTTGTATCAGTAGTTTGTAAATTGCTGAGTATCATTTCATTCTTTGAATATCCCACAATTTGACCACTTACCTATTGATGGATATTTGGGTTGTTTCCTGTTTATGATTCTAGCAGGTAGGTAATGGTATCTTGTTTTGATTTGCATGTACATAGTGACTAATGATATTGAGCATTATTCTATATGTGTATTGGCTATTTCTCTATCTTTTGTGAAATATCCGGTTAGATCTTATTTCCATTTTAATCGTCTTGAGTTGTAAGAGTTCTTAATATATTCTGGCTACAAGTTCTTTGTCAGATACATATATCAAGGTGAATATTTTGGTAAAAACAAGTAGCGAAATGTAGGAAGGATATATACCAAAGTGATTATCCCTAAGTATAATAAAAGTCCATTCTTTTACTTCCTTCCTTTTGGTTATCAATTTTCTGATTTTTCACATTTAACATACATCATTTTTATAATTAAAAAAATAATTAGTTTTAAAATACAAAAGGGTCTTGCCTCTGAAGGAAAACAAGGAAAAGTGGTATAGCTAAAGAACAGTACAAGGTCAGGAAAAGGTATTTTTAAAGATAAGGGATTAGAGTATTTTTATAGGCCAATGGAAAGGAGCAGTAGAATAAAAGAATAGCCTTTTAATTCCTTAACACCGTTGTAGAAGTAGCTGATGATATGTGTTGACACTAGAATAAGCAACATATAGGTTAGTAGGGCAGTGGGTAAACACGGGAGTTCTAAATTTCTTTAGAAGGTAAGATCTCAGAGATGTTTAGGAACTGACTTAAAAGTGGGAATAGGGAGAAAATCTCTAATACGGAAAATTATTATTGAGCTGACTCAGTGTATTTTGTATACCCTTGGTACATTTTTAATCCAGAATTATCTTCCCATCCTCAGAGTTTCTTCAGCTGTCAAAAGGTGTATGATCAAGACTACAAATTTCATTTAAAATTAATGTAGACTTAATAAACTTTAAAAGGGAAAATACCCTCTTTTAAAAACAACTTTTAGTTACCCACAGTCTTAAATCCTGGGTCTTAAAGCCTTAAAGCCTTGTCCATTGTAAGATTTTAGTTGAGTTCTTGAAGAAGATAATATTTGCTGTGCCGTCCTGTTTATACATATGGAACTCTACAATTAGAAATATAATTTTCTAAGTACCAAAACCTGAGGACAGACTGGTTTTGGTACTGTCATTGCTTTGATCCACTTGCTGTGGTAAAATTAATTAATCCCAAAATTATCATCTCTTGGGTTTCATAGGAAAATTACTGATAAAATGATTTAAAATAGCCATAAAAGGTATAGAATTACTGGGTTCCTGTATTATGAATTACCTTTTTTTTTTTGAGAAAGTCTCATTCCATCATCCAGGCTGGAATGCAGTGGCGCCATCTCAGCTCACTGCAACCTCTACCTCCTGGGTTCAAGCCATTCTCATGCCTCAGCCTCTTGAGTAGCTGGAATTACAGGCACACGCCACCACGCCTGGCTAATTTTTGTATTTTTAGTAGAGACAGTATTTTGCCATGTTGGCCAGGCTGGTCTCGAACTCCTGACCTCAAGTGATCTGCCTGCTTTGGCTTCCCAAAGTGCTGGGATTACTGGTGTGAGCCATTGTATCTGGCCTGTTTTAAGATTTTCTTAATCAGTCTTTGAAGCACCATAAATAGTAGGTGCCATTCTAAAGATAAGGAAACAGGCTAAAAAAATTTATAACCAAGGGGAGTTTATCCTAGGAAGACAAAGATTTCTCGACTGTGGGAAATTTAATGTAATCCATTATATTATGGTGATTGTTCCATTACACTCATATAAATTCATCTTGTTAGACTGTCAGTCTTTTTTTTTAATTATATAAAAAAATTTATAAAATAGAGACAGGGTCTCACTGTGTTGCCCAGGCTGGTCTCAAACTCCTGGGCTTAAGCAATCCGCTTGCCTCAGCCTCTCAAAGTGCTGGGATTACAGGTGTGAGCCACTGCACCCAGCCTGACTATAACTCTTTAAGTTGTCATCTCTGATTTTAAATAGTCACATAAATGATTTAAAAACTATAAAATAGCAAGGTAACTGTTAGGACAGTTTTTCTTTTCTTATGTAATTATTATTAATGAATTTTATGGTATGTTGGGTGAAACGTTCAAGATGGAAGTATTTTGTCTATAGGCGTAAGTACCAAAATATTATTTAGTGTTTTTTTAATAAGAAATACTGTTGTTTTATCCATAATAACAAGATTGAAAACTCTAATAATTCTTTTTAGTGATTTTATTTCTTACAAGTATTTTTATTATTTTAATTTGTACTTAAAAAATATGACCCTGCATACAGGTGCTACTGATACTTCCTATAATCTAGGAAGAATAATCTTTATTTTTGTTTCTTAGGTACAAACTGTTTTGAAGCCAGTTCATCATAAGGAAGGACAAGAACTAACTGCTTTGCTGAATACTCCACATATTCAGGTAGAAAATGGACAGAATACTATATATGTGGTTTTTCCAGCATTCTTCTATTTTTTTAAATCAAAGACTCCAGTACTGGAAGAGATGTCAAACATTCTCTAGCCTATTTTGATGTTTACAACCCCATCTATAACATAGTAGTTATTGTTGGATTATATATTTTCAGATTTAAAATGAACCAAATTATTTTTGAAACAACTTTTTCTTTAAAAATTAGGCAAAAATTCTTCCCCCCTTTGGTTGTATTTTCTGTAAGTTTAATTATCTAGGGTGTGTAGACCTTTACATTGATGTTATCTTCCGAAGTTTAGTAAGCATTTTAGACTTTCATAACCCATTCCAGAGTATGCCCTTAGTATACTTAACACATCTTTATTATTAGCTCTAATTAATTATAACACTTTTAAAGATTTAATGGTCAGAATACTATGTACATAGGTTAAAAATCACTCTGCAGAAATAAATCATGCTGTTACTTAAAATGCCATGGATTTCTTTGAAACAGGCACTTTTACTGGCCCACGATAAGGTTGCTGAGCAGGAAATGCAGCTAGAGCCCATTACAGATGAGAGAGTTTATGAAAGTATTGGCCAGTATGGAGGAGAAACTGTAAAAATAGTTCGTATAGAAAAGGCTCGTGATATTCCGTTGGTAAGTGTCCCACATACTGTTTTTAAACAAGTGCATTTTTCTGCTGTTGTGTGCTTCAAAAGTCTGGTTAATTTCAGAATTCTAATGAATAGAGTATTTCTGAAGCAGAAAGTGTGGGGGAAATGGTCAACTTTTAAATCTAATTACAATTACTCTAGTTGTGTAAATAAATTTTTTCTTAAGATAACTGAAGGTTAGTATTGTTGAATGGAAAAAATAGAATTTAAAAATAAATGCTTAACAAAAATTGTATTATTTTTATTTTTAAATTATACATATATATATTTTTAGGGTGCTACAGTTCGTAATGAAATGGACTCTGTCATCATTAGCCGGATAGTAAAAGGGGGTGCTGCAGAGAAAAGTGGTCTGTTGCATGAAGGAGATGAAGTTCTAGAGATTAATGGCATTGAAATTCGGGGGAAAGATGTCAATGAGGTTTTTGACTTGTTGGTAAGTTGACGCAGCTAGAAGAATAATTGATAGCTTTTAGAAAGCTCTTATTAGACTTTAGAATAAAATATTTTTAAAATAACTGTTAAGAGCACTAGATGATTTCTAGCCTGATTTTTCCATGATGTAACTGTTCCACAGTATTTGTTAGCAGTTTTATTTTTGGGTGGTACCACTGATATTTTTTTACTTTCTGATGTATCACTATCACATATATTTTATTTTTCTGGAATCAGTAATATAACTCATTAATTCACTCAGTACATATTTATTGAGTGCCTAATATGCACTAGCCACTTGGGAAACAGTAACAAAACAAAGTCTGTGTCCTGATGATTTTTTGTGTTCTTTTATTTTATTATCTGTAATTGATTGTTGTTTTCCTAATAATATTAGATAATAACAGTGCTATAGATCTGCAGTGTCCGGCATAATAATCACTAGCTGCATATAGCTATTTCTGTTTAAATTAAGTAAAATTTAAAATTCAGTTCCTTATTCGCACTAGCTGCATTTCAAGTGCTGAGAAGCAGTATGTAGCTAATGGCTACCATTATTAAGATACAGAAATAGCACATTTCCATCATTGGAGAAAGTTCTATTGGATAGTGCTAGTATAATCAGAAAATCATTTCTAGACATCTTTTGAGTGCAATTTATGATCACTTTGTACACACGCACAGACTAGATTTATGGTCCTAGTTATTCAGCATCTGTTATTACAGTGGAATCTGTACTATCTACTGATTCTGTTGTAAAATCTAGAGACATCTTCACACACTTATTTTCATCCAGCCCCATTCATTGCTTTGGTAGAGCAAAGTGCTGCTGGTCATTTAAGTCTGTGGAGGGGTTCTGAAATAGTCCAGTTTAGGGAATATAGATCATAAAATCATGGAATGATTTTCATAAATGCAAATTTAAAAAATAACCTGATCTTTCTATTACAGTCTGATATGCATGGTACTTTGACTTTTGTCCTGATTCCCAGTCAACAGATCAAGCCGCCTCCTGCCAAGGAAACAGTAGTAAGTGATTTTTAAATGTTCATTATTTATGTGTTTGTGGATGCTGTTTACTTCTGTTACTGTTTACTGTTACAGAAATGTCACTGTTTCCTGTACTCAAATAAATTCAATCATTTTTATTTAAATAAATATGAAATATCAATGTTTTAAATTAGTAAACTCTGCACCTTTTTTTTTGGAAGGTGGAAGATGGAATCTCCATCTGTTGCCCAGGGTAGAGTGCAGTGGTGTGATCTTGGCTCACTGCAACCTATGCCTTCCAGGTTCAAATGATTCTCCCACCTCAGCCTCTTGAGTAGCTGGGATTCCAGGCGCATGCCACCACACCCAGCTGATTTTTGTATTTTTGGTAGAGACAGGGTTTTGCCATGTTGGCCAGGCTGATCTTGAACGCCTGGCTTCATGTGATCTGCCTGCCTCGGCCTCCCAAAGTGCTGGGATTACAGGTGTGAGCCTTCACATCCAGCCAACTCTGCACCTTTTTAAAATAAAAAGTAGAAAATAATTTCAGTTTCAGAATTTTTTTTATAGTTATAGGTGGGTTTACTTAACTTAGTATGGAGTAGGGCAAGTGCTTTTTAAAAAGTATGTGTAACCCTTCTTTTAGAGTATATTGTTCTGTTAGACATTTACTCAGCTAGATCTGTTAAAAGTCAGTCTCCATTACCATACAGTCAAGCAATTGCATTCCAAAGTATATATCCAAAAGGACTGAAAACATATATTCACATAAGAATGTCTACATGAATGTTCATAGCAGCAGCATTCACAGTAGCTAGAAAGTAGTAACAACCCAAATGTCTGTCAGGTGATGAATCAAAGACAAAATATGTATGTATGATGGGATATTATTTGATAATTTTAAAAGCCTACAGTACTGATATATGCTACAACATGGATGAACCTTGAAGAAATTATGCTGAGCGAAGGAAGCCAGTCACAAAAGGCCATATATTGGTTCATTTATATAAAATGTCCAGAATAGGTAAATCCATAGGAGAGAAAGCAGATTAGTAATTCCTTAGATGTGGAGATGAGGATTTATGAGGGAATGGTGATTACTAATCAGTACCAAGTTTCTTTTTGAGGGCATAAGTATGTTTTAAAATTGTTTGTGGTGATAATTGTACAAATCTGTGAATAAACTAAAACCATCCAATTGTGTACATGAGTGAATTGTATATGAATTATATATCAATAAAGCTATTTAAAAATGAAACTTTAAAGTGTTGAATTAACATGGAAGCTTGATGTATTGCATCTGTTATTCTTAACTTTAAAGCATAGCAGTTTGAGAAAGAACACAGTTTCATTTTTCTCTCAATATTTCATCACAGGTATGCTTTATAGTTTGGCTATCATTCCATGTTTTCCCTTAATTTTTTACAGAACATACGGAAGTTGATATTGTATCTGCAACCTACTTTATGTTTACAGTTTTTTTGCAGGAAGAGAAATGAGGAAATATAGTTTGTCTTTGAATTTAAACAGCTTGATTCTCTGTGCATTGTGCTGTTCCCTGTATCTCTTCTGTGTATAAGCCCTGAACTTCAAAAGTAGCTCTGCAAACTGAGGAAACATAACAGAGGAGGGTTGGAATATACTCCTACTTACTTATCTACAATAATCCATCCCTCCTGAGTAAATGACTTTTGTCTTTTGAGAATAAATGTCAGAAGTTAAGACATTTTTTTTTTTTGAGGTGGGATCTGGCTCTATTATCCAGGCTGGAGTGCAGTGATGTGATCACGACTCCTGCAGCCTTGACTGCCTGGGCTCAAGCAGTCCTCCTACCTCAGCCTCCCTAGTAGCTGGAAACACAGATGCATACTACCACATCCGGCTAATTTTTTTGTACTTTTGGTAGAGATGGCTTTCACTATGTTGCCCAGGCTAGTCTCGAACTCCTGAGCTCAAGTGGTCCACCCGCCTCGGCCTCCCGAAGTGTTGGGATTACAGACGTGAGCCACAATGCCCAGCCAAGACATGTTTTCTCAACATTTTTTTCCTGCTATTCATGCAGAATCTGGAATTCTGTAAAAGAAAAGCCATTTTTTTCATGGATAGAATTAATCGAAGTGTTACATTGAAACTTGTTGATTCTCGTTGTATGCAAAACAGAATATCAAAGCAATTAACTTACACAGATTGTTTCAACCTAAGAATGAAATAACTTACTTATCCTTTAGTGGTTATTTAACCCCCAACTTTCATTATTGATTAAGAATAAAAGGCTGGTTTAATCTGAAGACCAAAGGAATATAGGTTCATGGTGAACAATCTCTGGAACTACTTAACTGGAAAATGAAGTAGCTTAAAAAGGAAGAAAGTGGGAGAAAGAGCAAAATGCCACATCTATCCCTTTTAAAATGGAGCTTTTTCTGTTCTTTTTACTTGGAGTCTCACTCTTGTCACCGAGGCAAGCAGTGGCACCATCTGGGCTCACTGCAACCTCCGCCTCCCAGAGTCAAGCAGTTCTCCTGCTTCAGCCTCCCTAGTAGCTGAGACTACAAGTGCATGCCACCACATCCAGCTAATTTTTGTATTTTTAGCAGAGATGGGGTTTCACTATGTTGGCCATGCTGGTCTCGAACTCCTGACCTCAGGTGATCTGCCCGCCTTGGCCTCCCAAAGTGCTGGGATTACAGGCATGAGCCACCGAACCCGGCCTATTTTCATATTTAAAGTAGGGATCTTTTCAGAATAGAGTGATGTGCAGTATTTTTCTTTTCCTTCTTTTCTCTTTTGTTTTTTGTTTTTTTTGAGACAGAGTCTTGCTCTGTCGCCCAGGCTGGAGTACAGTGGTGCGATCTTGGCTCACTGTAACCTCTGCCTCCTGTGTTCAAGCATTCTCCTGACTCAGCCTCCCAAGTAGCTGGGATTACAGGCGCCCGCCACCATGCCTGGCTGAATTTGTGTGTGTGTGTGTGTGTGTGTTTGTGTATTTTTAGTAGAGACAGAGTTTCACCATGTTGGCCAGGCTGGTCTTGAACTCCTGACCTCTGATGATCCGCCCACCTTGGCCTCCCAAGTGCTGGGATTACAGGCATGAGCCACCATGCCCAGCCCCTTCTTTTCTCTTTTTATTATGAATAACTCTCAATTGCAATATATCTTGCCAAGTTTTGTCAGACCTAACTGGCTTAAAATGAACTGCTATTATTAAAGCTCATTGAGGCTGTCCAGAAAGGAAACAGTAATAGGAAATCATAATCTTGGTTGACATATGCAGAATAATTATCTATGGAATTAATAATCTAAAGAAATTAGAACCAATTTATTGAGTATCATTATGGTACAGGTCAGCATCTGTTGATAGCAGCAGCAGCAGATATCTTCCTGATTTATGTTTTGTGATGTTAGAAATGTGTTTAAGACAGATATACAAAATAAGTGTTATCTGAAACCCCTATATAATGACTTGTTGAATTATGATGTCATGTATGGCAATAATAAGCTGTGTCAGAAGTGCTCTCTTGAGTTCTTAAATTTCTTTTGTATCACACATAGCAATCAGTGGCTGCTCTTTCAGTAGCAGAGGGCAAGAGTCTTGGCACCTCTGTATTTCACTTCCTGAGTAACTGGCACATTTGATCTAGGAAATGCATACATTATTCAAACGTACAGTTTCCTTCTCTCGGCCTTTTTAAAAAAAGGAAGGATTGGATTTCCCAGACTAGTTTGTAAAACTTTAGATTATTCTATACTATAATAATATGTAGGGAGGGCATAATAGACTTTTATCTGAATGGGACTTTTTCATTTAGTCTAATGCCATAATCTAACAAGGAGTGTATTTAAATGAAGAAGGATCACATCGCTTATTAGTTACAGAATATGTACCAGAAAATTAACAGATTATTGATTGTTTAATACATATAAGCTATTATTATGATTATGTACTCTGTGCCAGGCACTACAGAGATAACTGTGTTGTAAAGAAAAGTTGAGAACCACTGCTATCAAATACATTGCTTTCCCATTATAGGTATAAAAATGTATTAATAAAGACATTTATTTCTTGGTGGATGTGGGGAAAGGAGAAATTCTAGTGTTGTGTGGAGATACTTAAAAACTTGCTTGGTGCTATAAAGGCTTTCCTTGACTCACTTTCACTATTTTCTCTTCTACAATGAACTTTAAGAGTTAAAGATAAATCTGCGATAGTAAGAGATACAGAAATAAAAATTACAAAGAAAAATATTTTGGTAGCAGAGATGTGGAATCAACCTAAATGCCCATCGATGATAGATTCGATAAAGAAAATGTGGTATATATACACCATGGAATACGAATGCAGCCATAAAAAAATGAGATCATATCCTTTGCAGGGACATGGATGGAGTTGGAGGCCATTGTCCTTAGCAAACTAACACAGGAACAGAAAACCAAAAACCACATGTTCTCTTACATGTGGGAGCTAAATGATGAGAACACGTGGACACATAAAGGGGAACAACACACACTAGGGTCTTTCAGAGGGTAGAGGGCAGGGGGAGGGAGAGGATCAGGAAAAGTAACTAATGGGTACTAGGCTTAATACCTGGGTGATGAAATAATCTGTACAACAAACCCCCAACACACAAGTTTACCTATGTAACAAACCTGCAGTTGGATCCCTGAACTTAACAGTTTAAAAAAAAAAAAAGTCAGTGTAAAAAGTATAAAAGCCAACCTAATACTTAGACAATAGAAAAGGGAAAAACCAAACTTCCTTTTTTTTTTTTTTCTTTTTTTTCTCTTTGATTTTGAGGGCGTCACCAATGTGATAGCCTTACCTTCATGAGTACTAACCTTTCCATTAAGCTAATCCCAAAGTTGTCTCCCAAGTACACTGTCCAGGTGGTTGTGGCAAATTTATACTTTTCCAAAGGAGTGTCCATTGAGCAAGTGGAATATAGATCCTGAGTTTTAGATCAGCACTCTCCAAATATTTTTTTCTTTTTCTTTTTTTTTTTTTTTTGGAGACAGAGTTTCACTCTGTTGTCCAGGCTGGAGTGCAATGGTGCCATCTTGGCTCACTGCAACCTCCGCCTCCTGGGTTCAAGTGATTCTCCCGCCTCAGCCTCCCAAGTAGCTGGGATTACAGCTACCCTGTACCGTGTACAAGTACCATCTACTGTGCCACCAGCTAATTTTGTTTTATACCTTTATCAATTAAAAAACATTGAACATGTCCCCTCCCATATTGTATATATATGTACTACTCTACTTACTATCCCAAATTACAATATAGGACAAGTTTTATTAATAAGTAATTCTAATAGCCTTCTTGATTGGTTGAAAAACAATATTTTGGAACATTGGATCCCTAAAAAACATGTAAATAAACTGATGAATCATTATCCCTGTACCCTATCCCCATTTCATCATTACGACTTCAAATGTGAACAGCTTATAGATATTAAAAAAAGGAAAAAGAAAATGTTGGGCTGGAAGATAATTGCGTCCAAACAGTTCTACAATTTGAAATGTAAACAGAAGATTTTGTTTTGTTCAGAAGCCAAATACTGTTTTGATCAGATATACTGTTCTGATATTATTATAGCATTATGAGGCCCTGGACCTTTCCTATGAGGGTCAGCTTATCTCCTTCATTTTAAAGGGGCTTTTTTTGTTGTATGAGAAACAAAATAATTTTGACACTAGCAGGAAAGATTGGTGGAGATAACTTCTAGAACTGGTAAGAATTAATCAGTGGAATATATGGATAAAAGTCATATAGTATCTGTTAAGGCAATACCCAGACTTTAACTCATTCAAATCATTAATTTTTCAGATGTGAAATAAATTTTCCTTAGGAAAAATTAATAAGAGCCTTTTCCTCTTAATTTTAGGAAAGTAAGAGCTTTTTCTCTTAATTTTAGGGTATATTTTAGATGGGACTAGAGAAACTTGTCACATAAGTAAAGCATGTTCTCTTCCCAGCCTACACAAAGAGGGGCCCTGTTCCAAGCCAGTTAAATTAGAATAGTTAAGGGATGAGAACTGCATAGGCAAGAGTACATGGAAAAGCATCTCTGGGTGATTTTGTTGGCCTATGGCAATGGTCATAAATGTAGATATTCCCTCCTCACGGGTCTTAATTTCTCTCAGGGTAGTAGTTCCCTAAGATTGCTGTACCTAATAATTACCCAAGGAACCTGATTAAAATTCAGAGTCTGAGAGTCTGAGGTGCGGCATGAGAATTCATCATTTTAATAAACATCCTAGGCAGGTGATCTGAGCAAAAACACTTTGAAAAACAACATACTGGGTAGGCTTTCAGAAAGTGATTTGATAAAATTGTCAATCAAGATTGACAAGTACTTTGATTTGATCTTTGAAAAATCTGGTAAAATTGATCTCTCCACTACAAGTGATGCCAAAAATTCCATTTTTAGATTCTCAAGGTTTTTTTTTTTTGGCAAAAAAGTAACAAACAGATTCTAGAAGTATTATTGATAGGATGGTGCTCAAGCACTTTTTTTTTTTTAAAGAAAACATATTTCTAGATAAAACTACATAGGAGATTTTTCCTCATGCCAAGATTATAAATTTGTATAATCTTTTTGCTCAATCTCTTAACTGTGTTTTGATTCACTGCTATCCCACACAACTTTCTAAAATTCATTTTTAGTGCTGACTGAGAAAGATTTCAAGATTTTAATAAAAACTGTTTTTTCACATCTAGAATGAGGTTCTTTAGGGCACTTTGCATTTAGGATGAGCCACAACACTTTCAAATTTGGTGTGTTATCTTAACTATATTTGGTACAAGATTATATACTATGCTATTCCATGTATATGAATTAATATACAGGGGAAAATAATCAGTGTTTCTAGAAATCAGGATGATGTTTATCCTTGGAGGGGATGGGATGGGTAGTGATGGAAAGAGACCAGGTGGGGCCTCTGAGGTGTTGGTGATATGATGGTTGTTGATTTGGATGCTAGTTATACAGGTCTGTTTAGTTAGTGAAAATTCACTATGCTATACACTTATGATAATGTGTATTTTTTGTGTATCAAAAGTTACTCCCAAAAGGCATAATAACATTTAAGTTTTGCTGGTAGCTGTTTAACTTTTATATCTTTGTATTTTTAACCAGATCATTTTTTAACCTTAGTTTCAGTTTGTATATTAGGACTCAGCTTTATTTCCTATTTATAGAAGTTAATAAAATATTCTTTGAAATTAAAAAATATTCTTTAATGACAAGCCAAAAATTTTTTAAAAAGCCATTTATCTGTCTATCTATCTATCTATGTCTATCTTTGTCACTTAGCATTTTTTCCAATTTCATATAGTCTGTCATCGACAGTACTCATTTTAGTCAGTGTCTCAAGTGCTTAAAGAGCGCTTAAAAAGTGCCCCTTTTGGGGTAGACTGGTATTACTTTTATTACATATAACCTCAATTATGGTGAGAGTAAAACACTTAAAGCTAAGGCCAGGCGTGGTGGCTCGTGTCTGTAATCCCAGCACTTTGGGAGGCCAAGGCAGGTGGATCACCTGAGGTCAGGAGTTCAAGACCAGTGTGGCCAACTGGCGAAATCCTGTTTCTACTAAACATACAAAAATTAGCTGGGCGTTGTGGTGAGTGCCTGTAATCCCAGCTACTCGGGAGGCTCAGACAGGAGAATCACTTGAACCCGGGAGATGGAGTTTGCAGTGAGCCAAGATTGTGCCACTGAACTCCAGCCTGGGCAACAGAGCGAGACTCCGTCTCAAAAAAAAAAAAAAAAAAAAGCCAAAGCCAAATAATATTTGGATAGAAATGGACCTTGAATTCTTAGACTGTTTGTCTTTTGCTTGGTTCGTTGAGCCTGAACTTGGAATTTAACCTATGTGTGACAGAAATGCTCACTGCAAATATGTGGGCAGAAATGCTCATTACAAATTTGTGTGAGATCTCATTAGATGAAGTAGATTTCTTATAGATTTTGGAAGTGTCACATGCAACTTGCCCAGGTTAGGTAAAAATTAGACATGGGGAAATTAAAGAGAATTTTAATTCCTTTATAACTTCTTAGAAGTAAGAATAGTCTGTCATATCTTACAGAGGCATATTGGAAGAAATGGCATACAGAATAGCTTATAAAGTTCATGAGAGTTACTACCTGCCCTTAATGCTAAGTAGAATAGCACAATTCTTTGATTTATTCTGATTTCCAAAAACACATTATTAGCAAAAATTATAACTTGTACCGTTAATAATATGTCAAAGCCTACATAGCATACAAATAAGAATTGATTATAAACTTGATTTAGTTAATTTTAGTCGTTGATAGTGTGCTTGTTTCATGAACATATCCTTTAAAAGAAACGCCAAGAGAGTTTAAGGCATAGTTGGACTGACAGTGGGGTCAAGAGACAATGACAGCCCCAGGGAAGCTCATATTTACCTGCTTAGATGAAGAGATGTGGTAAGGTAAAGTGTACCTTTTCTAGTAGCTGTGGTTTGGAAATTGCATACCTTATTGCAGAGTCATTGTTTTCACAGGTCAGGATTCTATTCTATTTCTGCTTCTCTCAAGCTTTTGAGGCACCTTGTACCTCAGCTTGTAGCTGCGAACAGTGTTGTGGATATCCTTGTACATATCTGCAAGTCAACAGAGAAGATAACAGATCAGCCTGAAAAAATATTGCCCAAAAACACTGTTACTTAACACCCTTCTTCCAACTACAATTTCTTTGCACTGATGAAAAATTGTGGCCAAGTGCAGTGGCTCACACCTATAATCCCACCACTTTGGGAGGCTGAGGGAGAAGGATCGCTTGAGGCTAGAAATTTGAGATTATCCTGGACAACATACTGAGATGCTGTCTCTATTAAATTTTTTTAAAATTAAAAAATAATAAAAAATTTGTAGCATTTAAATTGTATTCATATGAAACATTTTATATTGCCATTTATTGTTGTTTTTGCCCTTTTTATCTTTTAGATCCATGTAAAAGCTCATTTTGACTATGACCCCTCAGATGACCCTTATGTTCCATGTCGAGAGTTAGGTCTGTCTTTTCAAAAAGGTGATATACTTCATGTGATCAGTCAAGAAGATCCAAACTGGTGGCAGGCCTACAGGGAAGGGGACGAAGATAATCAACCTCTAGCCGGGCTTGTTCCAGGTAAGACACAATATGGTAGAAAGTACATAATATTAAAAGAACATTGAAAATGCAAGCCTTCACAAAGAAAAACTCACTCTTTCATGCCTCTATTTAATAAAGTATTCCAGTTACTTTTTCGTGTAGTTGGGTTTTTATGTTGTACCTGCAGCGTAAGTATATTAAATAGAATGTGGCCAATTCTTTGGCCTTTAGAATGGAATTATGTATAACTTCAGCCAATCCCATATTGTAGTACATTTCCTGTATACATATTAAGATGACCGTATTATCGAGGCAATACAACTTGTATTATACTATATACTATATACTATGACATTAATTGGAGCATCAACATGATTTTTGAGAAGGAAAGATGCATAACTTTATAAGGAGTCAGGAAAAGTAACATCATAGAATTTATTGTACCAAACGTGATCTTAGGGCAGAAACAGGATGCTCCAAATTTTTTATTGATGAAACTATCCCTAACTTAGACTAAACTAAAACTTTAGCTTACATTATAGATTAAGATTATTAAGGGGACATGTTTCTGAGAGTTAAGATGATACAAAATAGAACAAAGTACAGTCATGCATCACTTAACGACAGGGATAAGTTCTGAGAAATGTGCCATTAGGTGATTTCATTGTTGTGCAAACATCACTGAGTGTATTTACACAAACCTAGATGATATAGCCTGCTGTACAGCTAGGCTATGTGGTATAGCCTATTCCTCCAACCACCATCATATATATGGTTGGTTGTTGACTGAAATGTTGTTATGCAGTGCATGACTGTATGTAGATATAATTATTTTCTACAAATGGCTCTTACAGTTCCCAGGATGGCAGTAGAATAAAGAAAGGAGAGCAGAACTAAGGGAAGTTTAATAAGCTATCGGAGAAGGCAAAGGAATACATACAGGATGATAAAAATAGGGATATAGAGTAAAGGGATAATAATTCATCCATTTATTTGTTAATAAATGCTGTTATGTCTGCACCATGTAAAGCACTTTGCCTGGTGCTGAGATAAACTTCGCTTACATACTTTACTTGAAAGCATATCCATTAACACTTATGTATATTTTTTTCTTCTGTGTCCCCTACTTTATAATATTTTCATGATATTGTCTCTGTTATAATTCTTTCTACTGTATATGCTCAGTTTATAAACTTCTTGATGTCAGAGGCCAAGTCTTATTTGTTTTAAATCCAGATAATATATGTTAAATTAATGAATAAAAGATGATTTTAAAAGTTCTCAGAAAACAAACAAAAATTAAAAAAAAAAAAAATAGTTCTGCCAGAACTGCTGTTTCTGAATTAGACCTTTCAATGCTTTGCTGTAATGTTTTTCTGGCCTTATCTTTTATCTACAACCTTTTTTAGCGATCATCCCTCCTACTCACACCAGAAGATTTTAAGCATAACAGATTTGGCTATAGACTTAGCCTTACACTGGATTTGACAACAAGCAATAGTTTAGGGGAAAAGAAGAAAAGGAGGGCATGAAAAAAAAGACTGAGAAATATTGACTATGAGATACATAGTAGGAACAGAGGAAGTTGTCCAAAGATTTTAGAATAAGTTATAAGGAATCTCTTTTATCTCTGTAACTAAGCCAAAGAGACTTTTCTGGGTACAAGAGATTTCAACATAATATTTACATTTATTCTTTTTGAGTATAAGGTCACAGAAAGCTTCAAATTTCTCACTTTAAAACTCAGAGGCTAGAAACAGATTTTGTCTATATCAGTCATATTTTAAGGAAGGAGGAATGGACTTCTTACATTTATTTTAGAGTATGATGCTAAAACCCGTGATTCTTCAGAGTAACAGTTACAGGACATTTCTCTAGAATCTTGGAGTGTTGGGTAGCCATTGTGGTTCTGCCTCAGGCTTGTGCCAAATATCAGTATGGTGTCTTCCTACCATGCCGAACTTTAGCCCATAAATGTTTAGAACTAGTGTTTGTTGATAGATTGATTTTCTGAAAGTATATAGATTCCAATGATGACATTTCTAAGTCTTTTTATAAGACTAAAGATCTGCCTTAGAGTTTGACGATGGCTTTCCATCAGAATTAGACAGATTTTTTTAAGAGGTCATTATGAGGCTGGCCCTGGTGGCTCACACCTGTAATCCCAGCACTTTGGGAGGCTGAGGTGGGAGGATTGCTTGAGCCCAGGAGTTTGAGACTAGCCTGGGCCACATAGTGGCATAGCTGACATAATGAGACTTTGTCTCTACAAAAAATTTAAAAATTAGCTGGGCATGGTGGTGCGTACCTGTAGTCCCAGCTATTCAGGAGGCTGAGGTGGAAGGATTGCATGAGGCTGGAAGGTTGAGGCTGCAGTGAGCTTTGATCACACCAGTGTAACAGAGCAGTCTCAGAAAAAGAAAGAAAATCATTTCCATCTCTCATTAATTTCTGCCTCTATTTCAGAATAGCCTATAGTTCATACTACAAAAAGTGCCACAGAAGTACATCATTGTAATGTTTTACATTTTTAATATGTAAATGATTAAAATTACTTTGTTCTTGATTTTTAAAAATCGGTTACTTATTTTTAATTTTTTTTTTTTTTTTTTTTTTTTTTGAGACAAAATCTCGCTCTGTCTCCCAGGCTGGAGTGCAGTGGCATGATCTCAGCTCACTGCAAGCTCCGCCTCCCGGGCTCATGCCCTTCTTCTCTCTCAGTCTGCTGAGCAGCTGGGACTACAGGTGCCCACCACCACGCCCAGCTGATGTTTTGTATTTTTAGTAGAGATGGGGTTTCACCGTGTTAGCCAGGATGGTCTTGATCTCCTGACCTCGTGATCTGCCCACCTTGGCCTCTCAAAGTGTTGGGATTACAGGCATAAGCCACTGCACCCGACCCCTTTAAATTTTAATACTCTTAAAATTTTCCTTCTAGTAATAGTTACTTGTACTAAGAATACAGTCTTGGCCGTGCACAGTGGCTCATGCCCCTAATCCTGGCACTTTGGGAGGCCAAGCAGGAGGATCACCTGAGATTAGGAGTTTAAGACCAGCCTGGCCAACATGGTGAAACCGAGCCTCTACTAAAAATACAACCATTAGCTGGGCATGGTGGCGGGCCCCTGTAATCCCAGCTGCTCGGGAGGCTGAGGCATGCGAATCCCTTGAACCTGGAAGGCGGAGGTTGCGGTGAGCCAAGATTGCGCCACTGCACTCCAGCCTGGGTGACAGAGCGAGACTTCGTCTCAAAAGATAACCAGGCTTCCTTTAATGCTTCTTATGTGTATGGAAGTCAGTATTAATCTTTTTGTTAGTACACTTACGAAATGCACTAAGTTCTACAGATTATCCCCACCTATGTAGAATTTGCTTATTGATTTTTAAGAATCTCTGGCTTTACACTGAAAAAAAGTAGATTTAAAAATAAAATAAAAAAGTGGAACCTCAACGTAATTCAGAATCTTCTAAGTGAAGCCACTTGTATCCTATAGGAAAAGACATATTTGATTTAAAGTAGAAGTCGGAAAAGAAAACCTCTTTCAAGGTCAGGAACCTTGAAAGCCTCCTATATTAAAATATTAATTTTGTAAGGAAAAGCACGTTTTCCATTTATATAATTGGTAACTTAAGGGTGGAAATAAAAAATGGCTAACACATATACATACACAAAAGAAGAGGAATTGAGAATAATGCATGCAAGGGAATATACTGAATGGTTTCTTGGAATTGAATATGGAATTGAATATGTGATGAATGCGCACATGTTGTTTTGGAAAAGTTAATTCCTAGAATTGATATCCTTAATTTGAGATAATTCTAAAGGACCTAGAACCATTGTAAGATCCAGGATAGTACTTTTCCACAAAGTAAATGCTCAATGAAACCTTTTAAAAAGTTGAACTATTAAATTTTTAAATATTTTAGTAGATGATATGTATTCTAATAATACATATGGGATTGATTGAGCAGAGTTAATATTTTAAAAATTTGGAGGCTTACACATCATAGCTGACATTACTCCTGTGTTGGCAAAAGGATTTGGAAGGGAATATAAGTGAAGAGATATGTCTAGTGTTTTCCCTTCTTGATTAAAAAAAAAATTCTTATCCTTTTATCTTAAATATTTTACCCTTCTTTTTCTTTCTGCTATTAAGGGAAAAGCTTTCAGCAGCAAAGGGAAGCCATGAAACAAACCATAGAAGAAGATAAGGAGCCAGAAAAATCAGGTTAGACACTTGTATTTGACATAAGTAAATGGTTTCTTGGGTCTTCATCTGGAGCCATGTGTGAATCTGCATATTAGAACCGTGAAGAAGTACTCAGGGAAAGAGTGATACAAGAGGCAAAACTGATTATCTCAGAACTGTAAAGAAAGGATAAGATTTAAGTATTAAAGATTATCTGTCTATACTGTGTAGTTAATTGAAAATTGTAAATGCTTTCCTGAAAAATAGTCTTTATACAAACAGTGTAATAAGTATTTATAAAAGTAAATTAAAAACAAGCTGGGTGTGGTGGTTTGCACCTGTAATCCCAGCACTTTGGGAGACTGAGGCGGGAGGATCACTTGAGGCCAGGAGTTCAAGACAAGCGTGGCCAACATATGGAGATCTCGTTTCTGCAAAAAAATTTAAAGAATAAATGAATGAATAAATAGAGTTCTTCAATTTGAGTTATGTGGTTTTGTTCACGGGAACACATTTATAGTTATGTTTATGATTGCTCAACAGGAAAACTGTGGTGTGCAAAGAAGAATAAAAAGAAGAGGAAAAAGGTTTTATATAATGCCAATAAAAATGATGGTAAGTTCTACTCTCAGGGATAGGTGGAATTATATCTGAAAGGAGTCTAAACCTAGTCCTGTTTTGCACCTTAATGTTAAATATGTGCTTGAGAAAATCATTTAGTAGAAAGTATTTTCTTTTGGAATCCTGTGAGTAAGGCAGTGTTTTGAATTCTGGGGAAAACTGATACAAAAATTCAAGTACTATTTAGCATATGTAGTATTAAATTGACAGTTTCCTGTAGTTTTTTTCTACTTAAACTCTTTGCAAAAATTATACTTCTAACAAATTCTTACAGAACATACTTGAAGTAAAAACTATGTCCTCTACAATAGCTCATGTCACAGAAGCAACTCATTCCTGAGAACCCACTACCTGCTGGCTAAGTCAGACACACAAGAGAATTTTAGTTTTATTTTGATTGATTGCTAAGATTAAAAAGCTCGAAAGTTGTAGCTTCTCTTAAAATCAAAAGCTCTGATAATGTTGGGCTAGTATTCCTAGGTGACAACAGTCTGCTGGACCTGAGTGATGACTGTTGCTCTTATATCAAGCACCTGGTGTCTAGTTTAACAGTCTCTACCACTCCCAGTGTTTTATTAACCCAACCTGATTTACTGATTTTATTACCTCCTTAGTTTGTTTTTATGGGCATTTGAGTTTGCTACTTCTGTTTGGTTCACATTAGAAGCAACCCAAATAATAAAGCAAAGGCTTTCCTTCTTATGTAATTTATAAGGCTTTTCTGTCAAGAATTTGAAATATTTGGGAGCAGCACACATTAAACTAATAAAGATAAAACATTATAGATCATTATAATATTCCATAAAAGCTAAATGAGGTTTGATCAACTTTAATAAATTTTTTTCTAAAATAAATATCCTTTAATGCTAATTGACAGATTATGTAACTAAAAAGATTTAATGAGTTTTAAATTTTATCCTCTATATTTGTGATTAATATCTCTTTTATTTTTTGAAACAGACTGAAGTTAACTAGTCCAGCTCTAAGAGCTACTGTACTGTAGAAAACGTGGCAAATCTGAACCTTATGGATATACACACTGAGTCTATAAATTAAAATGCTACCAGTCTTGATTATACGTGTTAGAATAAACTCAGATTTTTCAGAGAAAATCATTTTGAGAGGAGAAGGAATTACATTTGCTGTTTATGATGATGTCATCATCATGAATATTTTTAAATAAATAACTACAATTCATAATAACTGCTGTATTCCAGGGCAGTAACTATATGATGTTGTTCTCACAAACTCCTTGAGGTTACAGAGTAATAGATTCAAGTTTAGATATTAGGCCGGGCGCGGTGGGTCATGCCTGTAATCCCAGCACTTTGGGAGGCCGAGGCAGGCGGATCACGAGGTCAGGAGATGGAGACCATCCTGGCTAACATGGTGAAACTCCATCTCTACTAAAAAATACAAAAAATTAGCCAGGCGTGATGGCGGGTGCCTGTAGTCCCAGCTATTCGGGAGGCTGAGGCAGGAGAATGGCGTGAACCCGGGAGGCGGAGCTTGCAGTGAGCCGAGATCGCGCCACTGCACTCCAGCCTGGGCGACAGAGCGAGACTCCGTCTCAAAAAAAAAAAAAAAGTTTAGATATTAAAGTGATTTGCTGAAATTCTTAACAACTAATACATGATTGGTTGAGCTGGAATTTAAACAAGTGTAGTTTGAGCTCCTGCTCTGTGCCAGGCTCTGTGCTGAGCATTGACAAGCCTAAGATGGTCCCCTAACCTCATGGAAATAGAGCTGAGGGAGTCTGACTTCACATCTGATGCTCCTTCACAGTCAGGAGAAGTAATATGAGTGAGGACTTGGCAGGCTACTAGTTATCTGCTTTTGTTCTTACCACTTGACAGCTCTGGTTTCATCTGGATTATGGGCTTTAGGAATGTTACCCCACCTGTCATAATTTATACCTCATTTTGATTCATGACTCTGGGTTAGCATTCCAGAGTAGAGTAAACATAAATGCAGAAAGTGGAGATAGCATGCATATGGCCTGTTTTCAAGTTATACAACTACAGCAGGGGTATCCAATCTTGTGGTTTCCCTGGGCCACATTAGAAGAAGAATAGTCTGGGGCCACACGTAAAATACACTTAACACTAGAGATAGCTGATGAGCTAAAAAAAAAAAAAAAAAAATTGCAAAACAATCTCACAGTGTTTTAAGAAAGTTTACAAATTCGCATTGGGCCCCATTCAAAGCCGTCCTGGGCTGCATGCAGCTCATGGGCCACGGGTTGGACGAGCTTGAACTATAGGAAAGTATTCCAGCTTTCTCTGATAACACTGGTTGTAGCCACTATATGTAAATGTCGGTCTATGCTAGCCATTGTATTCAGCGTATACATTATGTCTGATTCTTAAAACAACCTTCTTAAGTAGAATATTAATATCTGCATTCTTCAAAAATGACGGATATTACTCTTACTAGTTCATTCCCTGGTACCGCATCCTTATTCAAAGTATTGACTGCAAATTAGCTGTTTAATGTAAGAATCAGTATAATTATATTGTATTAGACATTCAAGCATGAATTTTTTATTTCAAATATGAAATGAGATAAAAATTAATAGAAGGAGTATTATATTGTTGTCTGATTCATTTTCATGATACCCTAGCAAGGATGTAATGACAATAAATTGTGCTTTTGTCTAATTTTGGGTGAAGATCTATGAGTATTTATATCTTTAATACATGGCCATAATTTTGTTTGAAGAGCTTAACTTTTTTTTCCCAAAGATTATGACAACGAGGAGATCTTAACCTATGAGGAAATGTCACTTTATCATCAGCCAGCAAATAGGAAGAGACCTATCATCTTGATTGGTCCACAGAACTGTGGCCAGAATGAATTGCGTCAGAGGCTCATGAACAAAGAAAAGGACCGCTTTGCATCTGCAGTTCCTCGTAAGTTTGAATGCATTCCCATTTTCCTGTGCTTTTCAATTTACCAGCTCAGAACCTAACTATATCATGTAGGGAAATTTTTTATTCATTTCATTAAAACACTGTTGTCAGTGAAAGAGGAACTTTAACCAAAGATTTTGACAATTTTTAAATTAAAAATAGTCATTATTAAGAAATTTAAATTTGTCCTTCAAGTATGTACTGATTATTTTCTAAACAAATTTCAGTTTGGGCCCCTTATAATTTCCTGTTCCATAGAGAATCAGTTCCTGCTGCTTTAAAGTGATACAGAAGATAGAAACTTAGGCATAATCTGAAACAGAAGTTATAAGATTATATGGTACCTAATCTTATGGAGATAAACTTTAGGAGAAGATGAGTAGTAGTGTTTTAAATGCAGGATGAAGTAACTTGAAGTGTAAGCATAAAATGTATTGAGATAAATATAACTATTACTAAGATACTACAAACTCATTTTTGTTCATTTTTCAATCTACAAAAAATAAAAACAATGTTAAACATGTAGGCACTTAGCATTTTCTCAGTTTATTATTTTATAATCTGTGTTACAAAATAGAAATTCTTTCTGACTAGCAGAATTATCCCCTGTCCTCACTCTAAGCCATGCCTGTTATTTCTATCTGATTTTGTTTGCCTAGATACAACCCGGAGTAGGCGAGACCAAGAAGTAGCCGGTAGAGATTACCACTTTGTTTCGCGGCAAGCATTCGAGGCAGACATAGCAGCTGGAAAGTTCATTGAGCATGGTGAATTTGAGAAGAATTTGTATGGAACTAGCATAGATTCTGTACGGCAAGTGATCAACTCTGGCAAAATATGTCTTTTAAGTCTTCGTACACAGGTAAAGCTAGAACTTTGTTTTAGGGTTTGAACTTAGAAGGAATGTCATATAGAGTAATCTAGTGGAAGCTATATTTTGGTCCAAGAACAGCGCGACCTAATTAAGTTCTCATACGGTTTTTCCCACTGATTTGCTATCTGAAATCACACAGGTTGCTAAATCTCTTTCAGTTTCCTCAGAGGGAAAACATATACATACTTACATATACAGGTTGACTATCTCTTATTCAAAATGCTTGAGACCAGAGTGTTTTGAATTTCAGAATTTCTCAGATTTTAGAATATTTGCATATATATAATGAGCTATCTTGAGGATAGACCCAAGTCTGAAATTAAATTCATTTATCTTTTATATACACCTTATTTACTTAGCCTGAAGGTAATTTTATTTTTCCTGGGGATATTGAATAAACTGTCTGCTCCTGTATTTTGACTATGACCCGTCACATGAGGCCAGGGTAACGTTTTCCACTTGTGCTGTCATGTCACTGCTCAGAAAGTTTCAGATTTTGCATTTCAGATTTTTGGATTAGAGATGTTCTGCTTGTATATATGCTTGTATGTATGTTCTGAAACTTAAAATACAGTAAATATAGTATTGGTAGTACTTTAATTTGAGTCTATGAAATAATTTCCCTTTTCTGATTCCGATATGAGAAAAATTAGAAAATTTCAAGATTATTTTTATGGTTTAAATGCCATTGTTCAAATATTAACAAGTATCACAGTGAATGCTTGGTTGTATGAAAATAATGAGACCTCAGTTTCACTTATTTGGCAGACTAAGCAAAAGTGTAAAATTACTAACTAGTGCCTCTTAGCTTTCTATTTAAAATGATAATTTTAGGACGCCAATGTGGGTGGATCACTTGAGTTCAGGAGTTCCAGACCAGCCTGGGCAACACGGCAAAGCCCCATCTCTACCAAAAATTAAAAAAAATTAGCCAGGTGTGGTGGCATGCACCTGTGGTCCCAGCTGCTTGGGAGGCTGGGGTGGGAAAATCGCCTGAGCCAGGGAGGCGGAGATTGCAGTGAGCTGCACTGCACTCCAACCTGGGTGACAGAGTGAGCAGAGTGAGACTCTGTCTGAAAAACAAAAACAAAAAAACCTAATTTTAGAAACTTGGAGTTTTTAAGAAACTCCAAATGTTACGGAAAATTGTTTAATTTTTGTAGACCATACAGCTTTAGCATACGACTTTCCTTAATGTGGTAGAATCTGCTGCTCATGTCAAATTAGGCAACATAGTCAGTGGTCATTAAAGAGATGTACATAAAGGAGAATTGACTCTAAAATGGCTATTCTAAAATAGTAATTAGGGATTTTTGTTTGTGTTTTAGTGGACAAATGCACTTAGGCTCTACTATTTCAATTATAAATTTTTGATTTAAGAGAAGTATACATGTTTTTACTAAATTTCTTTAGAGTTCTTTATATTATTTGGGCAAACAGGTTTTTAAAATTCTTATTTCTCCAGAAAAAAGGGCTAACAGATTTTAACAAAGAACTCAGCATATTGTTTTAATCATCTTAATGTTTTTAGATAGCAATGGCATATTCCTATAATCTCCATTTTGATAGAGCGTGTCAGTTTGAGCACACACAGTCATGCATTGGTAATCAAGTGAAAACTGCAATCTCCAGATTCAAACATAGTCTACTTTTTCTTGGATGTGCTTTTCTTGAATTGTCTTGCACATGTGAAGTTATGTTCTATGATTTTGCTTATATTTAGTGTCTGGCACATAGTAAGGCAACTTGTATGATTCTAATTGCTCCAAAATTGATTTTTAATATGGTTATTGTAATCTGTATGTGATCTTATTATTAAAACTAGGTGTTTTAATATCACATAGTTGTCATCCTTCAGTATCATTCACTTACATTTCATTACATAAAAGAGCAAGCTAAAATTATATGTATATAATATGTATTATATGTGTATATATATACATATATACACATATATACACGTGTGTGTGTGTGTGTGTGTGTGTGTGTGTATATATATATATGGCTTCACAGTATATTCTTACAGTGAATGGTAGGATCTTAAAAATATTGTGAATTGGGCCAGGTGCAGTGGCTCATGCCTGTAATCCCAGCACTTTGGGAGAGACCAAGGCAGGAGCATTGCTTGAGGCCAGGAGTTCAAGACCAGCCTGGACAACAAAGCGAGATCCTGTCTCTACAAAAAAGTAAAAAGTTAGCTGAACATGGTGGTGCATGCCTATAGTCCTAGCTACTGGGGATGCTGAGATGAGGGGCCACTTGAGTGCAGCAGATTGAGGTTGCAGAGAGCTGTGATCACACCACTGCACTCTAGCCTAGGCAACAGAGCAAGTCCCTTAATCTAATATATATATATATATATATATCAGTATTATTAGGAAGTAATTAAATGATGCAAATTATTTTAAAAATCAAAATGTCTCTTTACAGTCATTGAAGACTCTCCGGAATTCAGATTTGAAACCATATATTATCTTCATTGCACCCCCTTCACAAGAAAGACTTCGGGCATTATTGGCCAAAGAAGGCAAGAATCCAAAGGTAAAGTTTTCACACTATTGTACTATTCCATTGAAGGTAAACATGAAACAGTCCTGGTCTAATTTGTCCTGGTGCTTAAAAGCTACATTAGCTTGAGCTTTCAAACTGATTATTTTTTCTGTAATATTACTTGCCCAAAAATTGCCATGGTTGCCACTGGGTTGGACTATGGCAGCTTTCCAAAGTTGGGGCATCTACATTTGGTAACCTTTGAGCGTCTTCACATGGGTCTGTGACATTTCTAGGGAGATGTGACTGCCACCAAAGTTATCAGCCAACTCTTCAGGATTACTGACTTTTCTCTGTAGATACTCCACATTTTCAGGGAGCCAAATTTGAGTGCTCTTGCTTTTCTCTTCTTTTTATCCCACTGAAACTTTATGTTCTGCTTTTTTTCTCCCTTTGGTCTTCTCACATGGTTTGGAACAGAAAAATTTTTTTAAATTATTTTAGATCTATGCTAGATATGGTTGAGGTAGTCCATGTCATATTAAACATTAATAATTGACTGATAACATGTTATTAATAAGACAGCATTGACTTTTTATTTAAATATGTAAGATGGTAACTCTGTCAGGTGACTTACTGTATCAGAGTAACATGTTCTTCCTTGTTTTTTTTGCTCCATATTTATTAAATAGATCTACTTTTGAGAGGGCTCACTCAGATTGCCTCATTTCATTGACTATGCCTTTAAATCTCCTTAAAGATAGTCATTAAAAGCATATTTACACTCCTTTCTTTTGATTGTTTTTTTTGTTGTTGTTGTTGTTTTGGTCGTTGCTGTTTTGAAATAGGGTCTTACTCTATTGCCCAGGCTGGAGTGTAGTGGCATGTTCATGGCTCACTGCAGGCGCAGACTCTGGGCCCACGTGATCCTCTCACCCCAGCCTGTCCAAGTGGCTGGGACTATAGCCATGCACCACCATGCCTGGCTAATTTTTTATGTATTTTATAGAGACAGGGTCTCGCTATGTTGCCAGGTTGGTATTGAACTCCTGGCCTCAAGAAACCCTCCTTCCTGCCTCAGCCTCCCAAAGTTCTTGGATTGCAGGTGTAAGCTACCACGCCCAGCCTTCCTTTCATTTTTTTTTTTTTTTTTTTTTTTTTGAGACTGAGTCTTGCTCTGTCACCCAGGCTGGAGTGCAGTAGCGCAATCTCGGCTGACTGCAAGCTCCGCCTCCCAGGTTCACGCCATTCTCCTGCCTCAGCCTCCCTAGCAGCTGGGACTACAGGTGCCCACCATCATGCCTGGCTAATTTTTTTGTATTTTTAGTAGAGACAGGATTTCACCATGTTAGCCAGGATGGTCTTGATCTCCTGACCTTGTGATCCACCCGCCTTGGCCTCCCAAAGTGCTGGGATTACAGGCGTGAGCCACCAGGCCCAGCCTCCTTTCATTCTTGACTGTCCACCACAACACATTAACCCTTCCTCTTCCTCTTCACCCTCCAAAATATCTTTTTTCACTCTATGTCTACTTAACATTTCTTAATCTATATGTGAGGTTAAGAAATGATATATATATATCATCCTACATGATGAGCATAATTCTGGTTGCTTTGTCTAGGCTAAGTAGGCTAGCTGGTTAAAGTAGTGCTGCACCCCTTTTTCATTTCCGCCATATACCTACAAATTCTTAAGTAACTGGGGTCAGAGTATTTGTTGTCCATAGCACTTGGGATGATACAAAGGAAATAGGCAGCATGGTCACTGGCTGTTCTTGAGGAGGATCACAATATAACAAGAGAAACGAGATTAATACTGTGTAAAATTTAGTGTCCAATAACTACTTTGGTAGAACAGAAACTCCATGGTTGTTCAAGGAAAAGGATGCGCACTAAGGACCAGAGTGTACTCCATGCTTCCTGTTCAGCCTAATTTTCCACTTCCTAACATGCACACTTATTTCTTTTTAGGCTATCTTTTTTTCCAACAAGGATTTGCTATCATATGAAGGGCCATAGACCATTCCAAAACATGTTAAACATGTTAAGCATCTTTTTTTTTTTTTGAGACAGAGTCTTACTCTGTCGCCCAGGCTGGAATGCAGTGGCGTAATCTTGGCTCACTGCAACCTCCGCCTCCTGGGTTCGAGCTATTCTTCTGCCTCAGCCTCCCGAGTAGCTGGGATTACAGGCACCTGCCACCACACCCGGCTCTTTTCTTTTTTTTTTTTTTTTTTTGTATTTTTAGTAGAGACTGGGTTTCACCGTGTTAGCCAGGATGGTCTCGATCTCGTGACCTCGTGATCCAGCCTCCTCGGCCTCCCAAAGTACTGGGATTACAGGCGTGAGCCACCGTGCCCGGCCAGCATCTTTCTTTTGGTTGGTCTCTGGCCGTGTTCTAATGGAATTTTTATCTACTTCACTTTGAATTGGCCATCCTAAAATTTCAATTTAG
The DNA here is from genome assembly GCF_000001405.40 of Homo sapiens. NCBI lineage: Eukaryota > Metazoa > Chordata > Mammalia > Primates > Hominidae > Homo > Homo sapiens. The sequence continues at coordinate 67,326,216 of NC_000014.9, forward strand.
GTCTGATTTTTTTTTTTTTTTTTTTTTTTTTTTTTTTTTTTTTTGAGAGGAGATTCTATATGTCACCCAGACTAGAGTGCTGTGGCATGATCATAGCCTTGAACTCCTGGAGTCAAGTGACCCTCCCGTCTCAGTATAGGCATGTGCCACAGGTCCTAGCTTATACATATTTTTAAAGCAGGAAGTTGATCAGTACCAAAATGTTTTAACAATATGCAATATATTTGATTTTCTAATTAGAACTTTCTGATTCTTTTACTTTGCTGAAGTATATTTTACCTACAATACATGCATTTTAGTTGTATAATTCAGCAAGTTTTGGAAATGTGTACCTGTGTAACCACCATGCCAATCAAGATTTAGAACATTTCTATCACTCTAGATAGTTTTCTTATGCCCCTTTGAAGTTAATACCCCTCCATTCTTTCTTTCTGGCAACCACTAATCTGCTTTCTGTCACTATAGATTTGTTTGATCTGTTCTAGAAGTTCATATAAATAGAAGCATGCCGTTTGTTAAAGTTTGTGTCTGGCTTTTGATCAACATGTTTTTGAGATTGATCTGTGTTGCATCTAACAGCAGTTCATTCCCTCTTAATGCTGAGTAATATACTATGATATTAATATACCACAATTTATCCATTCTTCAGTTAAAAAATATTTGGATAAAATTTTGAGGGCCGGGCACAGTGGCTCACGCCTGTAATCCCAGCACTTTGGGAGGCCGAGGCGGGCAGATCACTTGAGGTGAGGAGTTTGAGACCAGCCTGGCTAACATAGTGAAACCCCGTCTCTACTAAAAATACAAAAGTTAGCCGGGTGTGGTGGCATGCACCTGTAATCCCAGCTACTTGGGAGGCTGAGGCCGGAGAATCACTTGAACCCGGGAGGTGGAGGTTGCAGTGAACCGGGATTGCGCCACTGCACTCCTGCCTGGGCAACAGAGTAAGACTCTCAAAAAAAAAGAAAAAATTTTTTTTGAGCTAGTATGACTGAAGCTGCTCTAAACATTCATAAAGTCTTTTTGTAGACCTATGTTTTCATTTCTCTTGGATAAACACCTAGGAGTAGAATTGCCGGATCAAGTGAGGTAAATGTATGTTTTAATTGTATAAAAAACTGCTAAACTGTTTTTAGTTTACTAAATTGATATAAAAGGCGGGGTACAGTGGCTCACACCTGTAATCCCAGCATTTTCAGAGGCCAAGGAGGACGGATCACTTTTTTTTTTTCCGGGGTGTGGGGGGAAGGTTTTAAATGTATTTTTATTTTATTTTTTTATTTTTTTATTATACTTTAAGTTCTAGGGTACATGTGCACAACATGCAGGTTTGTTACGTATGTATACATGTGCCATGTTGGTGTGCTGCACCCGTTAACTCGTCATTTACATTAGGTATATCTCCTAATGCTATCCCTCCCCTCTCCCCCCACCCCACAACAGGCCCCAGTGTGTGATGTTCCCCACCCTGTGTCCTGGTGTTCTCATTGTTCAGTTCCCACTTATGAGTGAGAACATGCAGTGTTTGGTTTTCTGTCCTTGTGATAGTTTTCTCAGAATGATGGTTTCCAGCTTCATCCATGTCCCTACAAAAGACATGAACTCATCCTTTTTTTGGCTGCATAGTATTCCATGGTGTATATGTGCCACATTTTCTTAATCCAGTCTATCATTGATTTGGGTTGGTTCCAAGTCTTTGCTATCGTAAATAGTGCTGCAGTCAATGTACGTGTGCATGTGTCTTTATAGCAGCATGATTTATAATCCTTTGGGTATATACCCAGTAATGGGATGGCTGGGTCAAATGGTATTTCTAGTTCTAGATCCTTGAGGAATCACCACACTGTCTTCCACAATGGTTGAACTAGTTTACGGTCCCACCAACAGTGTAAAAGTGTTCCTATTTCTCCACATCCTCTCCAGCACCTGTTGTTTCCGACTTTTTAATGATCGCCATTCTAACTGGTGTGAGATGGTATCTCATTGTGGTTTTGATTTGCATTTCTCTGATGGCCAGTGATGATGAGCATTTTTTCATGTGTCTGTTGGCTGCATGAATGTCTTCTTTTGAGAAGTGTCTGTTCATATCCTTTGCCCACTTTTTGATGGGATTGTTTGATTTTTTCTTGGAAATTTGTTTAAGTTCTTTGTAGATTCTGGATATTAGCCCTTTGTCAGATGGGTAGATGGTAAAAATTTTCTCCCATTCTGTAGGTTGCCTATTCACTCTGATGGTAGTTTCTTTTGCTGTGCAGAAGCTCTTTAATTAGATCCCATTTGTCAATTTTGAGTTTTGTTGCCATTGCTTTTGGTGTTTTAGTCATGAAGTCCTTGCCCATGCCTATGTCCTGAATGGTATTGCCTAGGTTTTCTTCTAGGGTTTTTCTGGTTTTAGGTCTAACATTTAAGTCTTTAATCCATCTTGAATTAACTTTTGTATAAGGTGTAAGGAAGGGATCCAGTTTCAGCTTTCTACATATGGCTAGCCAGTTTTCCCAGCACCATTTATTAAATAGGGCATCCTTTCCCCATTTCTTCTTTTTGTCAGGTTTGTCAAAGATCAGATGGTTGTAGATGTGTGGTATTATTTCTGAGGGCTCTGTTCTGTTCCATTGGTCTGTATCTCTGTTTTGGTACCAGTAGCATGCTGTTTTGGTTACTGTAGCCTTGTAGTATAGTTTGAAGTTGGATAGGGTGATGCCTTCAGCTTTATTCTTTTGGCTTAGGGTTGTCTTGGCAATGCAGGCTCTTTTTTGGTTCCATATGAACTTTAAAGTAGTTTTTTCCAATTCTGTGAAGAAAGTCATTGGTAGCTTGATGGGGATGGCATTGAATCTATAAATTACCTTGGGCAGTATGGCCATTTTCACAATATTGATTCTTCCCATCCATGAGCATGGAATGTTCTTCCATTTGTTTGGTCCTCTTTTACTTGGTTGAGCAGTGGTTTGTAGTTCTCCTTGAAGAGGTCCTTCACATCCCTTGTAAGTTGGATTCCTAGGTATTTTATTCTCTTTGTAGCAATTGTGAATGGGAGTTCACTCATGATTTGGCTCTCTCTTTGTCTGTTATTGATGTATAGGAATGCTTGTGATTTCTGCACATTGATTTTGTATCCTGAGACTTTGCTGAAGTTGCTTATCAGCTTAAGGAGATTTTGGGCTGAGACGATGGAGTTTTCTACATGTACAATCATGTCATCTGCAAACAGGGATAATTCGACTTCCTCTTTTCCTAATTGAATACCCTTTATTTCTTTCTCCTGCCTGATTGCCCTGGCCAGAACTTCCAACACTGTGTTGAATAGGAGTGGTGAGAGAGGGCATCCCTGTCTTGCGCCAGTTTTCAAAGGGAATGCTTCCAGTTTTTGTCCATTCAGTATGATATTGGCTGTGGGTTTGTCATAAATAGCTCTTATTATTTTGAGATACGGCGGACGCATCACTTGAGGCCAGGAGTTCGAGACCAGCCTGGGCAACATAGTGAAATCCTGTCTCTACTAAAAATACAAAAAACATTAGCCAGGCATGGTGGTGCACGCCTGTGGTACTGGCTACTGAAGAGGCCGAGTTCGTGCTACTGCACTCCAGCCTGGGCAACACAGCAAGACTTGGTCTCAAAAATAAATAAATAAATAAATAAATAAATAAATAAATAAATAAATAGATATAGAAACTAAGAAGATGATGGTGTTACTCACTGGATGCAAAATGTAACCAACCAGTTATGTAATTGTACTCTGAATCTGTTCTTCTAGTATTGTGAAAGAATGGTATTGGCATAAAGATGTGATTTTTTTCTTGTATGTATTGTTAAAGTCACAGAAAATCATCTATATTGTGGTAAGAGAGAATATATGCCAGACAAATGCTCTGCTGTCTGTCAGAAAGAGGAATAAAGACACAATCTGGAACCAGGAAATAAATAATAATAATAATAATTATTATTATTATTATCAAAAGGAATAATCAGACACTTTAGCAAAAGAAATAAGTTGGAGGGCATTTGTCTTTATTGTCTCTTTTCTATTTAATTCATTTCTTTTTATGCTTTCTTTGACTATAATTTGCACTTGCTTTAGTTTCTCAAGATGAATGCTTAATTTTTAAACTCTTCTTTTCAAATGTAGGCATTTGAAATTATAAATTTCCCTCGAAACAGTTCTTTAGTTGCATCCCGTAAGTTTTGGCATTGTATTTTTGTTACCATTTTGTTAGAAGTATTTTCTAATTTCCCTTCATTTTTTTTTTTTTTTTTTTTGAGATGGGGTTTCGCTCTTGTTGCCCAGGCTGGAGTGCAGTGGCACTATCTCTGCTCACTGCAACCTCTGCCTCCCGGGTTCAAGCAATTCTCTTGCCTCAGCCTCCCGAGTAGCTGGGATTATAGGCATGCACCACCACGCCCAGCTAATTTTGTATTTTTAGTAGAGATGGGGTTTCTCCATGTTGGTCAGGCTGGTCCCAAACTCCCGACCTCAGGTGATCCACCTGCCTCAGCCTTCCAAAGTGCTGGGATTATGGGCCTGAGCCCCCGGCACCCCGCTTCCTTGTTTTTCTCTTTAACACATGAGTTATTTAGAAGTATGTTATATAGTTTCCACCTATTTGGAGATGTGAAAAAGATTTTAACTGATTTATAATTCCAGGTGGTCAGACCCTGAAAGATGTCAGTCTTTTCAAATTTGTTGAGCCTTATTTTATGGCCCAACATCTGTTCTTTCTTGGTGAATGTTCTGTGCACACCTGTTAGGATGTGTATTCCACAGTTTTTGGTGTAGAGGATGGTGTATCTGATTGTATTTATTCTACTTAAGTTTTTTTCTCCTGTGATATTTCTTTCTTTTTTTTGAGACAGAGTCTCACTCTGTCGCCCAGGCTGGAGTGCAGTGGCACAATCTTGGTTCACTGCAACCTCTGCTTCCTGGGTTTAAGTGATTCTCATGCCTCAGCCTCCCAAGTAGCTGGGATTACAGATGTGCACCATCACGCCTGGCTATTTTTTGTATTTTTAATAGAGACGGGGTTTTGCCCTGTTGGCCAGGCTGGTCTCAAGCTCCCGGCCCCATGTGATCCACCTACCTTGGCCTCCCAAAGTGCTGAGATTACAGGCGGGGGAGCCCCTGCGCTGGTATTGGTATTTCTAATAGTGCTTTATTACTCAATGATAGAAGTGCTGAAGTAAAACAGATTTTCAATTTTAACTCTATAAAATTGTGCTAAGAAAATGATGGCGTTACAAAATGTAACCAACCGGTTATCTAGTTGCATTCTGAATCTCTGAATCTGTTCTGCTAGTATGAAGGCTTGAGAGTGGCTATCTAGCAGTATGAACTTATTGTCAGTTTTGCCTAGTTCAGCTAAAAATTTTGAGCTAAAACATTTTGTTTCATCTTAGTCGTGGATTGTAATTTGAAAGAGAACTTCAGACATGAAGTACTAAATAAGTGATATAAGCCATTTTGGCACAAAATGGAATAACAATGCCTTAAATTTGATAAAAACTAGGTGGATTCGGGCTTTATCATTTTCATTTCAACTCCAATACCACAAAGTTTCAGTTCTCTGTGGAGTCCTAGAATGTTCTTCCAATAATCTTGAGCTTACGGTAGACATAAGTTTTAGCAAAAATGTCAGTGTGTTCAGTTACAGTGGTGAAGTAGATTCCCTGCTGGGAACAAAGGATTCTGTGTGCCATATTCAGATGTACAACATTCCAGAATGAGAGTCATGCAAGAAACTGCCTCAGGACAAGCCAGAGTTGTCATATTTTTAATATGTTTTCTTACTGTTACAGAAGTTCAAACAGTTGAATGATATAAATTGTTTTGTACTATGGGTCCAATATAGTATTGATGTGTGACTTTTATATCTGAGACATTTTGTCTTGAGTTTAAGTTAGTTGTCTTCATTGGCAGGGGTGATTTGAGGTGAGTTTCACTTTCTTGAACCCATGTGCCTGATAATTAGAGGGTTCAGGATAAGTTTTGCACATAGCCTTGCTGCCTGCTTATCTTTGTAAAATGGCCCTTTCCTTCAGTCAGTATTTTAAAGTAGGCTACTCTATATAGTTTCCCAAACTCTGGTAGGATACTTTTAACTCTCTGCAGCAGATAGTATAGGGCAAGGGCTCTTTACTAGAGCCAAAAGTAAATGGCATTTTAGGTCCTTGCTCCAACCAGAAAGGTTCACTCCATATTACAGATGTTACTATTAGGAAGAGGTTATAGTGTCTAGAATGTTTGAAAACAAATGTTTGTAGGGAAACAGTGTGTGTTCTTGAAGCTTGTAGTTTTGTTGGTGAGATAAGACAAAATATGTGAAAACCTAAATAGTGGTATAAAACAGGATATATTGAGTCCCAGATGGTTCATAATATGAGTCGTGAAGATGCCAAAGCAAAGGTAACCATTGTGGCCGTGACAGGGTTGGAAAGGAGCTCCTGAGGTTGGGAGAGACAGAAGGAAAGCTATGAAGGTCGCTCCTTGTTCTTTGGCCATCTCTGACTCATCCTATATTATTTGGTTAGGAAAGGAATTATCTCACAGTTTTTATCTTCTGTTTGCAGCCTGAAGAGTTGAGAGAAATCATTGAGAAGACAAGAGAGATGGAGCAGAACAATGGCCACTACTTTGATACGGCAATTGTGAATTCCGATCTTGATAAAGCCTATCAGGAATTGCTTAGGTTAATTAACAAACTTGATACTGAACCTCAGTGGGTACCATCCACTTGGCTGAGGTGAAAGAAACATCCATTCTGTGGCATGTTGGACTTGATCTGGCAAAAACTGCCAATAGGAGGACTGCCCGACACTGCAGCAAGATTGAGGATAAGATGGAAGGCAGCAGTATAAGCTGTAGATCTGTTCTTAGATCTCTTGAATTAGTGAGACGACAGTTCCCTTAGGCAGTTTGTGCATGGCATCCTTTATTCTCTATACATGGCTTTAGCGGTTCTTGCCTCATTTTGGGATTCTAAATGGAAGCTTTCAACAGAGCATTCCATTTTGTCCTGTTAAAACCTTTTGTTTTCACCTAAACCCTTTCTGCTTAGTTGTATCTCTGTGAAAAACTTGTATACACAAGCGTCCATGTCTCACACAAATATTGATGTGATTATTCTTAAGTGTTAAATCATTAACACTTAAATGACTTCATTGGGAATATTGAGCAGAGGGACTGTGCTTCTATGCACTGGGCAAGGCAGTATTTGCTTAGGAAACTAATTTAGTCATCAGAGATACTTTCCTAAAAAGGAAAAATAAAAAACAAAATGGTGCCACTTTGGGTTGAAGCTACTTTGTTAGGCTTGAATTCATTTATATGTCTTTTGATTCTTAAAAAAACAAAAAACATTCCATTAGAAGCACCAGTTTTTTTGCTCAGACTTTGTGGATCAGACTCTACACTCAACACACTCTAATCTACTTAAAGGTATACAAAATATGCTGATCTTTTTTAAATTATGATTTCCTGAATTTTTTTCTTAAGTCGTCTCAACTGATTTACTCACTTAGCTTCCCTTCCCTCATCAGCATAGTATAATAGAATGTATGTTACATTTTTATGAATGGCAGGTGTTCATTATAATCTGTATTGACTTAAAAAGTTTCTTCCTCATGATGCTAATAGTTTTTTGTATACATGGGAGGATAGCACATTTGACAGTTTTTGCATTTTTATGTATGAGCACAGTATCCTATGACTGTGCTACGTATATATAGGTAATAAACTGGAATTCTGTTGATGAATATAGCTGCTGTACTGTATATTAATATTTAATAGATCAACAAATGGTCATTGAAAACACTTGTTTAGCATTAGAATAAAATTATATATGTCCTTGGGAAATATTATGACAGTTGACTTTAAGATCAAAAGGAAGGGAAGACCTGAAAGTCATTTGAACATTTTAGGAAAAGAATATTGGAGAGAAAAAGGTATTAAATATATAGAAATAGGTTTTTAACCTAACAAGGTCTGCCTCTTATGACGAGAATGCAACAGCTTGGTAAATCATAAAAGAAACATTTAAGCTAATAGGATTTTCGTACTGTCTCTATAGCTGTAGCTTTAAAATTCAACGTATATAATTGGCATGGAAACTTAATTTGCAGTCTTTTCAAGCCTTTAGGATAGTGTGATGTGTAACAAACAACCTCAAATGTGAATGCCTTGATTTTATTTTTATGGTGACTTTAGCTACAGCATTTCCTATACCCAGAGCTAAACACTGGAATAATACTGACATCATTTAATTTAACATAAGCAATTATGTTTAAGGAGTAATTTGTGTCATGTACATATTTGATTGATTTTTTTTCTTCTACATAATTTTATTTGAACAAATGTAGACAGTTTATATGTCGCCTTTTTCTGTTCAAATTTGCATGGCCTATTAAGTTGGCTGGAGAGTGTTTTATGTGGAAATATTTTCAAGATAATGTTCCTTAGGAAGAAAATAACATTCTTGGGTTGAGGGAAGGAATGCCATACACTACTGTCTCTTCAGATCTGAAATACTCCAGTTTAGAGCCAGGAAATTTCACAGGTCACACCGATTTTTAGCATTAAAAACTAAGGAATATACTTAGCACTTACTTAATCTTTTCAGTTTTCCAGTTTACGTCTCAGGAATGAAGTGTAGTCTATGGTTGACAATGGAGTTTTGTGATCCTGCTTATTGTAACTGACAACTGTTTTCAACTCCAAGAGCTAAACTATTGGCAGTTCATGTTAAGTTAGAGTGAGGGTGTAGGTAGTGTCAGTGAGTGGCTCTTGTGCCTGCTGTAGACATTAGGCCTGCACTAGGGCCATGTGCTGTCAAGATTCAGGAACATGGCTTTAACAAGCAGATCTTGTATCAAGGCAGAGGTGATGCCATGCCATACTTTTAGGAAGTCTGAGATGATAAATATTTCAAGGTCAGTGAAGTCTATCAATCATTCTCCCCTTCCTCATCAGCAATGGTAGATAGAAATGTCCTAAACTTTTCTAAATCCTAGTGATGAGGATGTGCTGATATTCAACATAGTCCTTAAAGTGAAAACTGAGTTGTTGCTGACCTCCACAAAAGAATATGGAAAAAAGCCTTGCTGTACACCTAGTTGTACAGCCACTCTGGCCAATTCCATTTCCTGTCCCTCTGTGGTTCTGACTGGAGACCCCAGTGTGGGGGAGGTCTTACCATTTAATATAGAAATGATATCAATAACTAATGCTATGTACTTGGAAAATCCAAATAAGGAAGTTTTAGGTTGGTGCATAACTTTGTTTCTCAAATTTTCGTTGTCAGAACAAATGGAAGGAGAATATTATTTAGACTAATCCAGATTTGCTTTCTATGAAAATCTAATGTCTGGATTATCTTCCTTTTCTCATGGCCTAAGAAATAAGGATCAATAAGGAATGATTTGAATGTAATTTTGTGAATGTGTGGAAAATATAAAGCAGGGATTTAGCCTTAATAAAGGTAACCTTCTGACATCTGTTGTTAATCCCCCTTTGTACTCTTTTCCTGTATCTGCACTGTTATTTTGAGATGTCATACTGTACACTGTATTGTAAAAATAAAAAGTAAAATTATATTTCAAATTTTAAAAGCCACTAAGCAATTTCTCTTGCTATTTGCTCGGCCACTCAAGGTTTCCACACATGTAAAGACCACCCTCCTCTTCAAGTTTTTGCCAAAAGCAAGACCATTGGATCCTCCAGCTACAACACAAAATACTTTTTGATTTGTTCTTTACAGAGGGATAGTGCCCCCTGTTGGCACAGGTATAGGTAGGTCCTGTTTCCTTAATTATTAAAACCAACAACTAAGTGTATTAAAGATGGACAACGCAAGGCTGTGAACTTGAAAGTTTTCTGGAGAAGGAGGTATGTAATAATACTCAGGCAAATGGACCTTATGTGCAGCCTGGGATCTGAGGACACTGAGGCAGCATGTGAATTATTGGCAAATATATAACATATTTTGTTTCTCCAGTCTTCATTTCTCCTTTTTTTCTGCTGTACATCTCCCAAAGGTCATAAATCATACACCAACAAACAAAAAGTTTCTTACATATATACACCTGTCACCACAGTTCAGCTTTCCATTCCTATTCCTGATCTATATTCTTCTCCTATGTTTCAGATAACTGACTCCACACAACAAATTATGTGTCCATTGTTTTCTTGATTTCTTTTTAACAAATGCTAAACTATAAAGTCATCTGCACTTTTGTAAGTATTTTAACAAGGCCAATACATTCCAGGTATTTAAGAAGCCACAGGAGAAATCTAGGGTCCTTTGGCTTGTTGCTTTACATTGAATTTACCTACATGTGGAAAACCACTAATCTGGATCCCTACTTCAAACTAATTTTTGCCTCCTAGAAAGGCAGTACGTAATTCTTAAAATATAAAGATCAAATTAAATCAAATCATACTTGACTTGCATTCCAGCTGTGCTCTTTGACTTGTCAAAGTCTCAATTTCCTCATCTGCAAAGTGGAGATGGTAGAATTTACAGTTCAGCAGGCTGTTGGGAAGACGAAATGTTAAACAGTTACCTATTTTTAAAGTACTTGTGAACTGAGTTGTTGGTTTTCCAGTCATTACTGAATTTACACTGAACCTAAGATTTTATTCTGTGAGCAGCAACCAGATTTCCTAAATATCAGCTTCTCCAGAACAGTCCCAATGTCTTTAAATACCCAAAGTTTGAAATATAGATGAAACAGAAAGGAAAAGTTAGGGTGTAAAAATTCTGAAGGTAGACTGCTTAGACTTAAATTCTGGATTTGCTACTTTCTAGCTTTTTAACTTAAGACTACTCAAGTTTCCTGTGTCTCCAATTTTTCCTCTGTAAAATAGGGGGTTAAAATAATATGTGCCTCTTATGGTTGTTGTAATGAAGTAATATAAACAAAATACTTAATACCAGTGCCTGGCACATAACTAAGACCTGCTATCTTATAGGAGATGTTAAATGCTTGCAAAATCATTTAGTACTTTAAAACTGCCTAGACTGGCTGGGCATGGTGGCTTATGCCTGTAATCCCAGCACTTTGGGAGGCCGAGGCAGGCAGATTACTTGAGGTCAGGAGTTCAAGACCAGCCTGGCCAACATGGTGAAACCCCATCTCCACTAAAAATATAAACATTAGCCGGGCATGGTGGCGCAAACCTGTAATCCCAGCTACTCGGGAGACTGAAGCAGGAGAATCTCTTGAATTGAGGAGGCGGACGTTGCAGTGAACTGATGTTGCTGCCACTGCACTCTAGCCTGGGCTACAGAATGAGTGAGACTCTGTTTCAAAAAAAAAAAAAAGAAAGAAAAACTACCTGGACTGTGATGTCACTTGATTAAAATACAGTATTAATAAAGACAGTGTCACAATTTCAGAACTAAACATTATTCCATGGCTAATCATGTCAAAAATGCCTGGAAATGGATGCGAGAAAGACTGAGTCCCCATGGATGGCTCATGCCAAATCAAACAGTACTAAAAACCTCAGACACCTGATGTGGCCACTCAAATGCTTCATCTTCATATATGAAAGCAAGTTTTTATCACTTATAAATAGTAAAAAGTTACCTTATTTCTTACTCTAAAATAGGAACTAGTTATTTTCTTAATTAGCAAATAAGGAAGTATTATAATGCCCTCATAACTCATCGGCAATCATTTATTAGTACCCCAAAATGCAACAGTTGTCTCAAAAGTAAGCCTTTTTGTAAAACTCTAATACATGGAGTGGGAAAAATAGCTACCCACTTCCTACATGTCTGCAGAGAAAGCTCTGGCTGACACTACTGATCTGAGCATGAGAACATGACTTAACAGTAAATTAATAAAAACGGAATGACTTACTTTTAAATCATTTTACTGTTTATACCACAGTCGCATTTAAATTGGCAGAATGGCTCCCATGACAGACAAGACAGGAACCTGTCATGCAAGGAAAAGTGCAGGTTTTCACAAAGTTTGAGAAGTACCATGGTAACAAGAATGGCTGCAGCAATCTCAGACAACAGCGCCAAGGTTTGCAAGTGGGTAGGAATGAAAGCTGCTCCACAGTAATTGGCCTGAGACCGCTAATGCTTCCTAAGAGGTATTTCCTAATATGCTTGGTAAGCAGATCACGTGTAACACAGATGTAAATGGAGTATGATAACGCTTCTGCAAAGTAAATTCTGTAAGTTCCTGGGCAGGTTTTACAGATCTCTTTCATCCATGATAAATGGTTGCTAAATTATGATTCTGCAAAAGTAATCCCATAAATAGACATCTAGGTAAATTTTACAACCAGTGAAATTCTTAGGCCAAAAAATAAATAGCCACACAAATCAAACCTACACACTGTGAATTAAAATGAAGCCAGTGTTAGGGTTTCTCAAAGAACCAGAACAGGAAAGATTATTCAAATAGAAGATCCTCGTCCTTCTCTTCAGCCAGAAGATTAGCAGGCTCCAACACCTCTCCAGCTGCTCTCCTTTGCTCCAAGTCCTTCTCAGATTTTTCCTTTAGAATCTTTTTCTTCTCTTGTATTTTCTTTAACCTGTAAAATACAGGTGGGGGTGGATTTTTTAAACACTGTTTCAATATTAAGTAGATTTGATTTCTTTGAGTTTTGTAACAAGGATAATAAACACATACCTAGAAAAAAACCTGGTACTTTTATTAATTTCATTTTCAGTAATTTATTTATAATCCTTTTTAAAAAACATAATTTTAAGCTAAAAATACATAATTTTAAGCTAATAACTGATTTAACCTGAGACAGAAGCCTTTTTTTTTTTTTTTTTTTGAGATGGAGTCTTGCTCTGTCGCCCAGGGTGGAGTGCAGTGGCGCACGCAATCTTGGCTCACTACAACCTCCACCTTTGCGTTCAAGCAATTCCTTGCCTCAGCCTCCCGAGTAGCTGGGAATACAGGCGCATGCTGCCACACCTGGCTAATTTTTTGTATTTTTAGTAGAGACGGAGGGTTTCACCATCTTGGCCAGGCTGGTCTTGAACTCCTGACCTTGTGATCCACCCGCCTTGGCCTCCCAAAGTGCTGGGATTACAGGCATGAGCCACCGAGCCCAGCCTAGAAGCCTTTATTAGGTTAAATTTTGAAATCCATTCTCGAATGGAACAGATTTTGAGCATTCAGGCATTTTTTTAAAATTTTGGCTCAACACAACCCTGAGTATCATGGAAGGACAGAAACTAACCTTTGATAATTAAGATTATAGACCATAGTTAGATGCTAACTCCAGGTCTAAGACCCCCCATGCCTTTCCTAAATACTCCTGCCCTCACCTACCTCCCATTTCTCTGAACCGAGTATACAGATCCCTGTACACTACCAGTTTAGTATTTATACCTGTTGACTCTAAATGTTCATAACCAATTCATGGACATGCATAATTTCTCTCCAAGTGCTGTGCTAATTCTCTAATGGCGTGATTTATATACTATTTGGTAATGCCTCCAGGTGCTTTATACCTTCTCCTGAACATGAAATACATATTTGTTGAATAACAGCTGAATTCTAGTTTCTTCTCTCAGTTTTTATGTAGGAGGCACCCAATCTAAATCATCATTTCATTTTAAAGAATAATCAAGGGCCAGGCACGGTGGCTCATGCGTGTAATCCCAGCACTTTGGCAGGCCAAGGCAGGTGGATTGCTTGAGGTCAGGAGTTTTGAGACCAGCCTGGCCAACATGGTGAAACACCATCTCTACTAAAAGTACAAAAAAATTATCCAGGCATGGTGACACATGAGCCAAGATCGAACCATTGCACTCCAGCCTGGGTGACAGAGCAAGACTCTGTCTCACAAAAAAAAAAAAAAAAAAAAGAATAATTCAGTCTTGGCTTGTCCAAAGGTAATGAGTTCTCTCTATTACGCACAATCAGTTACAGATCAAACTCCTTGTTCTACTCTTTCCCCACTTTTCACTACTGCATTTGACTATCTTAAAACATATATTTAAAAAAAAAATCAAACCTAAACAGTTTCTCTGAAAGGCCTAAGTTTTTGGAAATGCCATGTTATAGGTACATGTAAAATTTGACAGATTTGTTTCCACAACTTCTGGTAATAATATTTCTTGCTGCTTATTTATCAGAATAAAACATAAGCTGTGCTAATTCTAAAGAACATAAACCAACAAGTCATTCAGCAAATACAGCCTTTGGAATATGGAAAACAAAAGATGATCAATAACTGCCAATTTCAACAAACCTATAGAACTCTTCTCGCTCTCTCTCATCCAGCTCTGTGATGATATAAGCAAGAGTACGTTCAATCCGGGGAATGATGACTAGAATAAAAAAAAAAATAATATGTGTGAGAACTTCAAACCCCTTTTTTCAAATTATCAGTGCTCATTTGTATAACAGTTATTTTTTCCTAATTGTAAAATTAATGTGCATTTAATGCAGAGAACTTGGAAAATAAAAACACAAAGAAGCTCTTCCTCTCCCCCTCCCCCTCTCCCTCTCCCCACGGTCTCCCTCTGATGCCGAGCCGAAGCTGGACTGTACTGCTGCCATCTCAGCTCACTGCAACCTCCCTGCCTGATTCTCCTGCCTCAGCCTGCCGAGTGCCTGCGATTGCAGGCGCGTGCCGCCACGCCTGACTGGTTTTCGTATTTTTTTGGTGGAGACGGGGTTTCGCTGTGTTGGCCAGGCTGGTCTCCAGCTCCTAACTGCGAGTGATCCGCCAGCCTCGGCCTCCCGAGGTGCCGGGATTGCAGATGGAGTCTCGTTCACTCAGTGCTCAATGGTGCCCAGGCTGGAGTGCAGTGGCGTGATCTCGGCTCGCTACAACCTCCACCTCCCAGCCGCCTGCCTTGGCCTCCCAAAGTGCCGAGATTGCAGCCTCTGCCCAGCCGCCACCCGGTCTGGGAAGTGAGGAGCCTCTCTGCCTGGCCGCCCATCGTCTGGGATGTGAGGAGCCCCTCTGCCTGGCTGCCCAGTCTGGAAAGTGAGGAGCGTCTGTGACTGGCCGCCATCCCATCTAGGAAGTGAGGAGCGTCTCTGCCCGGCCGCCCATCGTCTGAGATGTGGGGAGCGCCTCTGCCCCACCGCCCCTTCTGGGAGGTGAGGAGCGTCTCTGCCCGGCCACCCCGTCTGAGAAGTGAGGAGACCCTCCACCCGGCAGCCGCCCCATCTGAGAAGTGAGGAGCCCCTCCGCCCGGCAGCCGCCCCGTCTGGGAAGTGAGGAGCGTCTCCGCCCAGCAGCCACCCCGTCCAGGAGGGAGGTTGGGGGGTCAGCCCCCGGCCCGGCCAGCCGCCCCGTCCGGGAGGGAGGTGGGGGGGGTCAGCCCCCCGCCTGGCCAGCCGCCCCGTCCGGGAGGGAGGTGGGGGGGTCAGCCCCCGCCAGGCCAGCCACCCTGTCCGGGAGGTGAGGGGCGCCTCTGCCCGGCCACCCCTACTGGGAAGTGAGGAGCCCCTCTGCCCGGCCACCACCCCGTCTGGGAGGTGTACCCAACAGCTCACTGAGAACAGGCCATGATGACAATGGCGGTTTTGTGGAATAGAAAAGGGGGAAAGGTGGGGAAAAGATAGAGAAATCGGATGGTTGCTGTGTCTGTGTAGAAAGAAGTAGACATGGGAGACTTTTCATTTTGTTCTGTACTAAGAAAAATTCTTCTGCTTTGGGATCCTGTTGATCTATGACCTTACCCCCAACCCTGTGCTCTCTGAAACATGTGCTGTGTCCACTCAGGGTTAAATGGATTAAGGGCGGTGCAAGATGTGCTTTGTTAAACAGATGCTTGAAGGCAGCATGCTCGTTAAGAGTCATCACCACTCCCTAATCTCAAGTACCCACGGACACAAACACTGCGGAAGTCTGCAGGGTCCTCTGCCTAGGAAAACCAGAGACCTTTGTTCACTTGTTTATCTGCTGACCTTCCCTCCACTATTGTCCTATGACCTGCCAAATCCCCCTCTGTGAGAAACACCCAAGAATGATCAATAAAATAAATAAATAAATAAATAAATAAATAAATAAAATAAAATAAAAAAAAACACAAAGAAAAAAAGTAAAATAGAGTATAATCCAACCATCCAAAAGAGTAACTACTGTAAACATGGTGGTGTATACCCTTCTAGTGTCTTTTCTATGCATAGATAACCTATTGGACCATAACAAATACAACACTGAATGTGCTGAATTCTATGAATATATAACATTGAAGCACAGATGTTATTTTAAATATAGTAGCAATCAACTGTTAAAAAATCGAGCAGAGAGAATGCTCGATTGAGTTTACGTCATTAGGCTCGACTTTACATAGTTTACCTGTTCAGCTTCTAGAATGTGAACTCTGAGGGTAAGAACTACGAATTATCCTTTTTTTTTTTTTTTTCTTTGCTTCCACTTTCATGTACAAGGCCTGGCACTAGCAAGCAGTCAAAAAGGTTTTTTAAAAAATGAGGTAACTTTCTCACTAACATTAATATAGTTAATATATAGTTAATATAACAGTTAATATATTTCTAACAATATAGTTAATATATCATATTATACATAGTTAATATAATAGTTAATATATTTCTCACTAGCATTAATATAGAAATTCCCAAGCAAAGGAATTTCTTTACTTCAAATTTTGCTTTCTTACCTAAAATTGAGTGTTTCTTTAATAAAAACTAAGTTTATTGAGCAAAAAGTACCATCAACACTAAGCAGTCATATTTTTTAAATAGTGAAATAAAAGAGATGGAAAATAAGTGCATCAAATGGGAAATTTTTTAGAAATCAAGGAGAATGGCTTATACTGATTTAAAGTTAAATATTTAATGTACTCAAAAAGTTGCATCACTCAACCATTAGAAAGAACTACAGAAAACACTAAGGATCTTGAGAAATATTCCTACCCTTAAATAACTGCATGAATAACTGGAAATGAAGAAAACATTCCATAATTTTTAAGTCACCACTTTCCTATGTGTGTAACTCCCCCAGATCATACAAGTACTTCTATCAGAACACTTCATAACACTTTTTTTTTTTACTATGGACACACTTCTCTCTTTGCACTGTGGGCAAGGGAAGCATCTTATTCATCTTTCAGTCTTCAGTACAGTCCCTGAATTCTAGCAGTTTCACGACAAGTGGAGGGTATGGACAAGTGACAAAGCACCTCACAGTACCTAATACTCACCATGTTCAATGGCATTTACACGCCTGTTGGTTATCTTAATAGCTTCATCCAAAGTAACAAAAGAAGTCTAAAATAAGAACAAATTAATAATGTAAGCACAAAGTCTTCCTAATCATTCCCTGATCACTTGACTCCACTAAGACTGCACTTGTAGAAAACATTTGAGAACCAAGACAACTTCTTTTTGGCATGCTTAAAAAACAAAATTCTTAGGCTGGGCGCATGGCTCACGCCTATAACCCCAATACTTTGGGAGGCTGAGGTGGGAGAATCACTTGAAGTTGGGAGTTCAAGACCAGCCTGGGCAACACAATGAGACCTTGCCTCTACAAGAAATAAATTTTAAAAATTAGCTGGGTGTAGTAGCATGCACCTGTAGTCCCAGCTGCTTGGTAATCTGTGATGGGAGGATCGTTTGAGGCTGCAGTGAGCTATTACTGTGCCACTGTACTCCAGCTTGGGTGACAGAGTAAGACCCTGTCTCTTCATAACAAAACAAAAACAAAATTCTTGTGAGATTTCCATAGGGCTAACACTATTTCCATGCTATTGATAACCTACATGTCACATTTGGTAGGTTTCCAAATTAACCTGCCTGGGCAGATTGAGGGATCTTATGATTCATGGTTTACATCCTGTCCCTGAGTAAGGAAATCTTAAGTTTCTCAGACTGCTGACATACTGATTAATATGCAACCTACTGACGCTGAAAATGACACTGATTTGTTTCTGATTCATGAAGTTTTACTTCATGATTTACTTGCATGTAGAACATTTTAGCTTGTATTTGTAATCTGTAGCCAATGATTGTGACCTCTGTATTGTACTCGCCAATGAAAAGGACAACTTGGGTATGAGGAGTCCTCCCTTCTCCTAAACTTTCCCATAAAAGCCTTCCAACTTGTAGCAGACTCTAGAACACACCCAACTTTGTTGGTGTCTTCCCGGGTCAATCCTCACATTTGGCTTTCAATAAACCTTTATCAAATCATTTCTGCTTCAACAGGCTTTACTTGAGTTGACACTATTATAATTTGTTTACTATAGTCTCACCTAAATAACAACATAAAAATGACAAGAAAGAATCAAGCATTAATAACCTAGATATATACTAACTGGCCACATAGGGGAAAAAATGGTCTTCCATGCACAAACGATGTTTATTTACATTTACATTTAAATCTAGTATCAACTTGCTATTCTTACTTAGCAAAGAGTGAAACTGGGCTGGGTGAGGTGGCTCACACTTATAATTCCAGCACTTTGGGAGGCTGAGATGGCAGGATTTCTTGAGGCCAGGAGTTTGAGACCAGCCTGGGCAACGTAGCAAGACCTCATCTCAACTAAAAAATTCAAAAATATTATCCAGGCGAGGTGGCACAAACTTGTAGTCCAAGCTACTTGGGAGGCTGAGGCGGGAGACTGCTTGAGCCCAGGAGATCCAGGCTGCAGTTAGCCAAGATCGCAACACTGCACTCCAGCCTGGGCAACAGAGCAAGATTCTGTCTCAAAGAAAAAAACAAACAAACAAACAAAAAAAACAAGAGTGTACCATAGCACATACATTTTGTTAACAAGAAGAAGCAGGGGCCGGGTGTGGTGGCTCATACCTATAATCCCAGCACTTTGGAAGGATGAGGCGGGCTGATTACTTGAGCCCAGGAGTTCGAGACCAGCCTGGACGACATGGTGAAACCCCACCTCTACAAAAAATACAAAAATTAGCTAGGTGTGATGGGGCATGCCTATAGTCCCAGCTACTCAGGAGGCTGAGGTGGGCGGATCACTTAAGCCCAGGAGGTTAAGGTTGCAGTGAGCTGGGATTATGCCACTGCACTCCAGCCTGGGTGACACAGTGAGACCCCATTTCGAAAAATAAATAAATTTTTAAATTAAAAGTAGGGGCCAGGTGCAGTGGCTCATGCCTGTAATCCTAGCACTTTGGGAGGCCGAGGCGGGTGGATCACCTGAAGTCAGGAGTTCGAGACCAGCCTGACAAACATGGCAAAACCCTGTCTCTACAAAAAATACAAAAGTTAGCCAGGCATGGTGGCACATGTCTGTAATCAGCTACTTGGGAGGCTGAGGCAGAAGAATCACTTGAACCCAGGAGGCAGAGGTTGCAGTGAGCCGAGGTCGCGCCATTGCACTCCAGCCTGGGCAACAAGAGTAAAACTCCATCTCAAAAAAATAAAAAATACATAAATTTTAAAAAGTAGGGACAATGGTACAAAAGCCATCACTTCAGAAATCAAAATATTATGTTTGCTTTACATAGGATCATGGGAACAGTTAAAAGTACAAAGCACAGTATATGCTGACTCAAGACCTGACTCTCCTCCACTTGACTGTTACAAATCAAACTACAGGAGTTCTCCAGGTCTTTTGCTACTTACCTGCAGAGAAGCTAGTTCCACCAGTAGTTCCACTGCTTTGGCATAATTCCTCTTTAATTTAGCCAACTGTTCCCCACCTCTGGCTAAACCAGTCAGTTCATAACCTGAAAGGACCAGTCAGACAACATTTTTAATTAGAGTAAAATATCTTCCCTATAAAATTCCCCAAAAGGAGATAATTCAGAATAATAACAAATATGGAAAGATGAATTCACTAATCTTCATTGAATGTAAACATGAAGTGCCTATCTCACTCCCCAAACACTATAGGAGCATGCTACTAAATACAGTTTCCCACAAGAATACTATTCTAAATATAACTACAAAGGAAGCTTTTAACCAACCTTCACTTCACTAGCTTGATGCCCCTTATTCCCTTTGAAAATCATACTGCCTGATGCCCAGAGTACGATGACACTCTGTGAACAGGTGACTCTCTCTAGAATGCTCTACTTCTTCGTATGAAATGTACTTAATATTCTATATGATTTAATTAAATATCACATGAAGCAAGGAAATACAAGTGCCAAAAGAAAGAATATTATTTGTTTATTTATTTATTGAGATGGGGTCTCACTCTGCCACCCAGGCTGGAGTGCAGTGGTGCGATCTCAGCTCACTGTAAGCTCCACTTCTCAGGCTCAAGCAATCCTCCCACCTCGGCCTCCCGAGTAGCTGGGACCACAGGCGCATGCCACCAGGCCCAGCTAATTTTTGTAACTTTTTGGGTGGAGACGGGGTTTCACCATGTTGCCCAGGCTGGTCTCAAACTCCTGGGCTAAGGTGATCCACCTGCCTCAGCCTCCCAAAGTGCTGGGATTGCAGGTGTGAGCCACTGTGCCTGGCCAAGAATATTGTTTCTATGAAAAAAGTTAATACTTTACTTTGGAAAGAAAATATGCTGTCAAACTAGGAATGGAATGAATAAGACAGTTATTTAAAAAGTGGAAGTGGGCTATAAAAATCTAGAAAGAATCAGCATTCAGGTTGCATCAGTGTCTAAGATCTTATTTGACTTTAAAGAGACCCAAACTGGGAATTATAAGCAGTGCATTGTGGGTGTAGGATATGCAGAAAAACAACACAGAAGTCTAATCAGTGAATTCATATTCAAAAGGCCTTATATTTTTTAAATAGCAAGTGATTCTACATTGATATATTTCTGATAAAATATTGAAATATTTTAAGATATGTATAATGTTTTATGACTTCCTAGCATAAGACCTTTTTCTTTTTTGAGACAAGGTTTTGCTCTGTAGCCCAGGCTGGAGTGCAGTGGCGTGATCAGAACTCGCTGCAACTACCTCCCCAGCTCAAGCAATCCTCCCTCCTCAGCCCTGGAAGTAGCTGAAACTACAGGCACGTGCCACCACACCTGGCTGATTTTTTATATTTTTTGTAGAGATGGAGATTTGCCTGCCTCAGCCTCCCAAAGTGCCAGTATTACAGGCATGAGCCATTGTGCCCGGCCTTAAGACCTTTTGATTAACTGATCAACTATTGTCCTGACTATATCAAATAAGAGGATTTCTAACTCAGGAACCTCTCAACATCTAGCACCATTTTCCAGAACTTAGTTCATTTAAAGAGGAAACAGGAAATCCCAGAGACACAAAGTAATACAAAAAGTTTCACACTTACTGTCAGTTCCTTCATGGTAATGTTCAAATACTGGCAAAGTAACACCTGTTAAACACAGAAGCATACATGGATTCATAAACCTTTAAGTTCTCTCTTTTTTTTTTTTTTCTGAGACGGAGTTTTGCTCTTGTCGCCGAGGCTGGAATGCAATGGCGTGATCTCGCCTCACCGCAACCTCTGCCTCCCAGGTTCAAGCAATTCTCCTGGTCAGCCTCCTGAATAGGTGGGATTACAGGCATGCACCACCACACCCGGCTAATTTTGTATTTTTAGTAGACACGGGGTTTCTCCATGTTGGTAAGGTTGGTCTTGAACTTCCGACCTCAGGTGATCCACCCGCCTAAACCTCCCAAAGTGCTGGGATTACAGGTATGAGCCACCGCGCCTGGCCTAAATTCTGTTTCTTAATCACTGTTTTCTGTGTTTCTTTTTCATCAAACTCAAAAATCAAGAGCTTAAGTATGGAATTGTAATTGGTTTCAATTAATGAATTTAGGAACTTGCCTTCTTTTTTTTTTTTTGAGACAGAGTCTCACTCTGTCGCCCAGGCTGCAGTGCAGTGGTGTGGTCTTCAGCTCACTGCAACCACCGCCTCCTGGGGTCAAGTGATTCTCCCACCTCAGCCTCCTGAGTAGCTGGGACAACAGGCACATGCCATGCCCAGCTAATTTTTTTTTTTTTTTAAAGATGAGTTTCGCTCTTGTTGCCTGGGCTGGAGTACAATGGCGCAATCTCGGCTCACCACAACCTCTGCCTCCTGGGTCCAAGTGAGTCTCCTGCCTCAGCCTCTCAAGTAGCTGGGATTACAGGCATGCGCTACCACGTCTGGCTTATTTTGTATTTTTAGTAGAGACAGGATTTCTCCATATTAGGCTGGTCTCGAACTCCCGACCTCAGGCGATCCGCCCACCTTGGCTTCCCAAAGCACTGGGATTACAGGTGTGAGCCATCACACCCGGCCTAATTTTTGTATTCTTTGGTAAAGATGGGGTTTCACCATGTTGGCCAGGCTGGTCTCGAACTCCTGACCTTGTGATCCGCCCACCTCAGCCTCCCAAAGTGCTGGGATTACAGGTGTGAGCCACCACATCCAGTGGAACCTGACTTCTTTATTTTTTTATTTTTTATTTTTAGACAGAGTCTTGCTCTGTCACCCAGGCTGGAGTGCAGTGGTGCAATCTCGGCTCACTGGAACCTCCGCTTCCCGGGTTCAAGCGATTCTCCTGCCTCAGCCTCCCAAGTAGCTGGGGCTACAGGCGCGTGCCACCAAACCTGGCTAATTTTTGTATTATTAGTAGAGATGGGGTTTCACCATGTTGGCCAGGCTGGTCTCGAACTCCTGACCTTGTGATTCGCCCACCTCGGCCTCCCAAAGTGCTGGGATTACAGGCATGAGCCACCGTGCCCAGCCGGAACCTGCCTTCTTAAGTGTTCACTTCTATACAAAAGTCAAGTTATCCTGAGTAATTAGAAACCTGGTTGTTAATGATTTTAACATGTAAAGCCAATCAACTTGTTCTAAGTAGAAGGAAGAAACTAGGACATTAAGATCTTGCTGTATAAACAGGTTAATTTTAAAATGTCACCTCTTTTCTCCCCAAAGGGTTTCTAAAAGGTTGAAACGTTACCTGCTACATTATCTTTCTTCGCTCGAATCTTCACTTGCGCTTTATTGACATTTTGGATAACTGTAGTGCTGCAGAAAAAGAGAAAGACTTTATTTAGCAGACTCTTCAGAAATAAACCTACAGGGACCCACTGGATAGTTTTAACATTAAATGAGACCAAGAGTGAGATGTCACAATTAAGTATGTTTTGATAACTGTCCTTTTTCCAAAAAGGGAGAAAAGTCATTACTGCTAGAGGAGGGCCTCTGAAAGCAGAGAATGAACAATATTCAAAACATTAGCAGTAAGAAAAGAACAAAGAATGATTTTAAAGTTCGTGGATTGCTTATGTTTTCAGTCAGAGGTGTGCTACATGGATATAACTTTAAGGATTCTTCTGCTAGTGTGAGATAGAGAAAACTCCTTTCTAGGTTTGCTATTGAATTGGTTAAGCTGGCGTTCAATTCCTTTACCCTGGAAACTATGTTCCATCTGGCTTTGTGTGACTTCTCAAATGTTACCAGAAAGTGCCTTCCTGGCAGGGTGCGATAGCTCACGCCTGTAATCCTGGCACTTTGGGAGGCCGAGGCAGGAGGATTGTTTGAGGCCAGGAGTTCAAAACCAGCCTGGGCAATGTGGTGAAACTCAAAAATACAAAAATTAGCCAGTCTCATAACCCAATCTCAAAACAAAACAAAAATAAATATTATAGAAAGTATCTTCCCCATAACCACCCTAAAACACTCACATACCACTTATACACTATTGATTGATCTCCACCCTCTGCTAGAAAATTCAATGCAAGCTGTGATCTTACCAGCACTGGCAAAAATGAAAGCCTACCACTTCAAAGGGCCTTATTAAGGCCCAAGAGCAGTGAAAGCTCCTAGATAATAGGCATCATGTCATTAGGAAAATAATAAAATCAGAAACCTTGAAAACAACTTCTGCCTCTGCCCCTAATTAGCCAAGTGACCTCAGGAAGGCATTTAATTAAAACTGAGAATAACAATGCTTGCCTTACCTATCTCATAGTGTTATTTGGAGAATTACATAACATATGTAAATTGGCATAACACATTTGCAAGCTATTTTGTATGCTTTGTAAAGGATTTACTGATGTCACCAAAGCCATGAAGTTCATGCCTTTTAAATAATCCAATTCTCAAAAATTTATCCTACGGGAATAATTCAGTAGAAACAAAAATACATATGTGTAAAAATGTTCACTGCACTTTCCCTAATATTCCAAAAAACTGAGAATTAACCCAAATACCCAGCATTAGGAGAAAAAAAAAATACATCTTGAGAAAGATCATACAGCCATGTTGAAAATAAGGAAAAATGTTTATGATACAACGTTAAATGAAAATGGACTCTAAAATACTAAGTATCCTGCGCCTGCAACTATGTAAGAATTACATGTGGAAGATGACAGTGGAGTTAAGGTGATGGGGTTAAAAGAATTCTTTCTTATTATTACTATATCATTTGTCCTTAACGCTTATTTCTAAATTAAAAAATGCTTTTTAAATGAAATTATGAGACTGAAATCACTTTGTTTTGCTTCAAAACACCCCGTTTAGTCCCCTTACCTGAAGTCACCTGCTGTGAACTTGGCTTCAGCTAGTGAAAAGGCAGCTTCTCTCATCACTTCGCCCATCAACATTTTAGTCTGGAAAAGCATAAACCAACAGCAGATTCAACCAAGCCTTTTACAAGGAAATATTCCATCATAATTATGTTCCTTTAATAACCATCAGTATTTTATGCTGGCTGTGCATGTAAATATTGGTTTGATAACGACAAACAGAAATTTCCAATTTTTAACAGTTTTGGTTATGATCACTAACAATATTACAAACTATGAGTTTTATAATTAAAACAGAATAAATGCATTGAGAAACAGAAAACTGAATCTTTACTGAAGGACCTATATTATTCCTGAATGGGTACATGCTGATTTACTCAAACTAATCTCTTAAATTCACTGCAGTTGCAGTCAAAACCCTAATGGTGTATTAATTTTAAAGTACATCTGGAATATTTAATGTTTGAGAATATTCAATAATGTTTCAGAAAGAGAAGAAAAACTGGGTCAGCTGGGTAGGGAGTTGCCTTCCCAAGTATTAAAAAGGTACAGCTACAATAAGGAAATATTAATATATCTGGTTTGGGACAGTTAAGTCAATGAAATAGACTAGAGGATTCAGAAACAACCCCAGGTCTATATGGAAATTTAGTAAAGAGACCACTCTACTGTCTATACAGTACAAAATGATAAAGCTACCTACCTCACATCATACTGCCCCCAAAATTCAGACATAATTAAGATAAAGGTTTAAAGAAAAAAAACTGTAAAGCAACAAAAGAAAATGTGGCATAATATTTTCTTAATCATTTTAGGTCTTTTCTAAGCCTTATATGTAACTCAGAAGCTATATAAAGAAAAAGACCAACAGATTTGACCAAAGGAAAAACATTTTTAACTTTTTATTATTTTTATTTTTTGAGACAAGGTCTTACTTTGTTGCCTGGGCTAGAGTACAGTGGTGTAATCATAGCTCACTGCAGCTTCAAACTCATAGGCTCAGGCAATCCTCCTGCCTCAGGCTCCCAAGTAGCTGGGACTACAGGTGCATGCCACCACACTCTGCTAATTTTCTTCTTCTTCTTCTTCTTTTTTGTAGAGACAAGGTCTCACTGTGTTGCCCAGGCTGGTCTCAAATTCCTGGGCTCAAACCATCCTCCCACCTCGGCCTCCCAAAGTGTTGGGATTACAGGCATGAGTCACCACACCTAGTATTAACTTTTTTTTTTAAGTTAAAAGAAAAGGCGTGGAAAAAATATTTTTAACATTTTACACATTAGGCAGAATACACATAGAACCTCTACCAAAAAAAAAAAGAAGACATTTACCAAGAAAATCAAATTGTCAATAAGCATGAAAAGCTCCTTAACTTCACAAATAATCAAAAGTAGTACAGGGCCAGGCACAGTGGCTAACACCTGTAATCCCAGTGCTTTGGAAGGATGAGGTGGAATGATCACTTGAGCCCAGGTGGTTGAGACCACCCTGGGTAATAAAGCAAGACCCCATCTCCACAAAAAATAAAAAAATAAAAATAAAAACAGCACTCATAGAAAATGCTTTTGTTAAGTACGTACAGGTTTAAAAATAAAACACAAAAACTGTAAACTCAGCACTTTCGGAGGCCAAGATAGAAAGACTGTTTGAGCCCGGGAGTCAAAAAGACTAGCCTGGGCAACATAGTGAGACCTCGTCTCTACTAAAAATAAAAAAAATGAGCTGAGAATGGTAGCATGCACCTGTAGTCACAGCTACTCGAGAGGCTGAGGTGGGAGGATCACTGGAGCCCAGTTTGAGGCTGCAGAGTAAGACCTTGCCTCAAAAAAAAAAAAAAAAGAAAAAGACTAGAAATAAAATGTCATACCATGCGGTAGTACATGCTACAATAAAATTAAAATAAGGAATTGTGAGAGAAGCAAACATGGTGTTCACTTTAGATTGGGTGATCAGGAACAGCCTCTCTTAAGAGACTAGAACAGCTAAAGGAGCCAGTTATAAGTTCTGGGGAAAGAGTATTTCAGGCAGGAGAAAGAGCTAATGAAAAGTACCTGGAGGACCTTAGGAAGAATGCTCTAAATAAGGTAAGAGAGGCAGGCGGGGGGCCAATCAGATCAAGTGGAGCTTTGCAGGCAAGATTAAAGAGTTTGGATTTTATTAAATGAACTATTTGATATTTGACACTTGTTAAACTTATAATGGTATTTTTACTTTTGAAAGAAAAAAATTAATTAAAATAACAACAACAAAAAAAAAAATGCCAAGGGCCATGCTGGATTTTTCTAAAATAAATACTATTCTAAGAAAAGTTCATTCTACCTCTATTATCTTCTTTAGGATCTGTCGAAATCGAAGAGTTAAGGCATCAGATTTTTTCTTCAGGAGGTTTCGACCTGTCTGTGCTCCCTTTAAACGAGCCTTCATGATGGTCTGTGCCCTATATAAACATAAACAAAGTTAAGACATCTATTCTCATTGTTTAAAAGACAAAAAAAACCCTCCCCACCAGTGTTAAAATTATCCTTTATCCTTTGATGTGATGAAAGTGAGACTATATAGAGAATTTGTAGCTGACAGGTTTAACTGATGCTATGGTTTGAATATGTCCCTAATCTTCATGTGTTGGAAACAATCTCCAATGCAACAATGTTGGGAGGTGGGACCATCAAGAGATGACTGGGTCATCTGGGATCTGCCCTCCATGAATGGATTAACGTCATTATGGTAAGACTGGGTTCCTTATTGCAGGAGTGGGTTGGTTTTAAATGTGAGTTCATCTGGGTACACCTGTAATCCCAGCTACAGGTGTAAGTGGGAGGATCCCTTGAGCCTGGGAGTTCAAGTCCAGCATGGGTAAGATAGTAGCAAGACTCCTTTTGTTGTTGTTGTTGTTGTTGTTTTTGAGATGGAGTCTCACTGTGAGGCCCAGGCTGGAGTGCAATGGCGCGATCTCGACTCATTGCAACCTCCACCTCCCAGGTTCAAGCAATTCTCCCACCCCAGCCTCCCAAGTAGCTAGAACTACAGGCGTATGCCACCAAGCCCAGCTATATTTTTTTGTATTTTTAGTAGAGACAGGGTTTCACCATACTGACCAGGCTCATCTCGAACTCTTGACTTTAAGTGATCTGCCTGCTTCAGCCTCCCAAAGTACTGGGATTACAGGGATGAGCCACCATGCCCGGCCCGACTCCTTATTTTTTGAGATGGGGTCTTGCTCTGTCACCCAGGCTGGATTGCAGTGGTATGATCATAGCTTGCTGCAGCCTCTAACTCCTGGTCTCATGAAATCCTCCAGCCTCAGCTTCCCAAAGTGCTGGGATTATGGGCATGAACCACTGCACCTGACCCTGTCCCTTTAGAAAAAAAAAAAAAGGCATGTTCGACCCTTTCTTGCTTTCTCTCTCACCCTCGCCTTCTGCCATGGGATAACACAGCAAGAAGGCCCTCACCCTTCTCAGCCTCCAGAACCATGAACCAAATAAATTTTTTTCTTTATAAATTACCCAGTCTCAAGTATTGTTATAGCAGCAGAAAATGGACTAAGACAACTGGTTTTCCAATAATGTAGATTTCTACCATCAGTGTTCCATAAATGAAAAGTTTATTAATTTACAACAGAAACAATTTTATAATCAATATCTGGAATATTTATTAAATCATCATAAATGTTATCAGGAGCCTTATTTTATGATGCCAACATAGTTTAAATACTTATTTGATTTGTAAGTTAAAATAATATCTTTGTTTTAGTTTCCACTGGAGGTATATTAAGGATTTAAAAATCTATCCACTAATATATATCAAAATTTTAAATGCAATTATTTTCAAGACCAACAATTCCACTTTGCGGAATTTATCCTACAAATTTATTCCCACATGTGTACAAAAACACGTGCAAGGTTTAAAAGATGGGTACTCCAGCCTTATGGTAATAGCAAAAGGGAGAAACAAGCTAAATGCTAAATACATCAGAGTTCACCTATGATGGAATGATATACAGTCATTAAAAAAGACGAAGGTATATAGGCATGTGCTGTCTATATAACAGTCTTATTTATGCAAAGTAAGGAAAAAATGTGCTTATATAGATGCAGAGAATAGTTCTAGAAAGGATTCACAAAAACTGGCAAGAGTTACCTTTGATAAATGGGACTGGATGAAAAATATGGATTTACTTTTTACTACTATATTCTTTTGTACCTTTTGCATTTTATTTTATTTTTTGAGGTGAAGTTTCACTCTTGTTGCCCAGGCTAGAGTGCAATGGCGCGATCTCGGCTCACTGCAACCTCTGCCTCCCAGGTTCAAGCGATTCTCCTGCCTCAGCATCCCGAGTAGCTGGGATTACAGGCATGCGTCACCATGCCTGGCTAATTTTTTATTTTTAGTAGAGACAGGTTTCTCCATGTTGGTCAGGCTGGTCTCGAACTCCTGACCTCAGGTGATCCGCCCACCTCGGCCTCACAAAGTGCTAGGATTACAGGCATGAGCCACCGCACCTGGCCTGCATTTTTTATACCACAATAATTTACCACATTTTCTATTAAAAGTGTGGTATTAACATGTTTTGATATCATCAATCAAGATCCTAACAGCAATCATTTTATTAATTTGTAAAAGACTAGGTAACAAATGACATACGTAAGATTCCTGAGAAATGACAAGCTAAATTTACACTGAAGTCTCCTCACTTCCTTGTTTCAATTTTTTTCCCCATCAGAAGCCCCAATACCAAAGTCAAGCAGAAACTGACATTTCTGTTCTTGCTGCCATATGCCAGATACAATTTAATAATGAAAAAAGTGGAGCCCAGTTCGAGGATGTAGAAGTAAGACCCTGTCTCAAAAAAAAAAAAAAAAAAAAAAAAAAAAAAAGACTAGAAATAAAATGTCATACCATGCAGTAGTACATGCTACAATAAAATTAAAATAAGGAATTATGACAGAAGCAAACATGGTGTTCACTTTAGATTGGGTGATCAGGAACAGCCTCTCTTAAGAGACTAGAACAGCCAAAGGAGCCAGTTATAAGTTCCGGGGAAAGAGTATTTCAGGCAGGAAAAAGAGCTAATGAAAAGTACCTGGAGGACCTTAGGAAGAATGCTCTAAATAAGGTAAGTGGTACAGTGGCTTATGTCTATAATCAGCACTTTGGGAGGCTAAGGTGGGTAGATTGCTTGAGTTCAAGACCAGCCTGGGAAACAAGGTGAAACCCTGTCTCTACAAAAAAAAAAAAATATCAAAATTACCTGGGCATGGTAGGGCACACCGGTAATCCCATATACAAAGAAGGCTAAGGTGAGAGGACTGATTGAGCCCAGGAGGTTGAGGCAGTGAGCTGTGATCATGCCACTGCACTGCAGCCTGGACAACAGAGCAAGACTCGGTCTCAAAAAAACAAGTGTTTGGGTAATAAAATTCAACAATAAGGTTGTATAACCTAGACACAGTATAACCTAGACACAGTGATTTAAGGGGATATAATTTCATATGACTGGTGTTTTAAAATCGCATGTACTAATAAACTTTTTTGGCCAGGTGCAGTGGCTCACACCTGTAATACCAACACTTTGGGAGGCCGAGGCAGGTGGATAACTTGAGGTCAGGAGTTCGAGACCACCCTGGCCAACATAGTGAAACCCCATCTCTACCAAAAAATACAAAAATTAGCTGGGTATGGTGCTGCATCCCTGTGGTCCCAGCTACTCAGGAGTCTGAGGCACAAAAATCACTTGAACCTGGCAGGCAGAGGTTGCAGTGAGCCAAGATCGGGTCACTGCACTCCAGCCTGGGCAACAGAGGGAAAACCTGCCTCAAAAAAACAAAAACAAAAAAAAAAAAACAAAAACAAACAAACACCATTTGGCCAAATTCTTAAATTATACTGGAATCTTTTACCATAGGGCTAAGATCACTAAGACAATTCTATAGCTGAAAGGGACTTTAGACATTAACTTAAAGATTAGAAAAATGAGGCTTAGAAAAGTAAAACAACTTTCTCAAAGTTACTCAGTGAAGAAAAGGCAGGGCAGGGACTTGAACCAGACTTTTGATTCCACTGACTTTCCCAATGCTCAAACTAAGGCTCCAACCTACGTTCACTGTACCCCAAACATGTGCCTCCCCTTAAAGAGAACAATTATCACTGGCTGACTCTGCACTGACTGGTCTCACAAGAGGTCTTATCAAGTGAAGGTCGTTTAGTTTCCAGCCTGAGAAGGAGCTATCCATCTCAATGTGTGCATTTAACATAATGTATTGTTGATAGTAAATACTAGAACTTGGGCTCAAAGAGCTGGATCAAATTTAAGTCAAATTGTAGTACTGCATATTCCAGCCAGTTTATAGTAAAAGGTAAACTGGTTGATAAAATTGAATTTACCATGTTAATTTTATTTTCCTCCTAGGGAATGGCATCTTTGTGAAATGGGCAATTTTAATTCCTGAAACTCTAAGAGCAGCGTGCACACTTACAGCTAATATGTAGCAGAACCTGGATTTAGTGGACTTCTGTTGACTCCAAATTTTTCATGCGTCTTTTACTTCCACTCTACAATTGTTTTTGCTTTCTCTGGTACGAAAGTGGGTGAAAGTAACATCACAGAATAATACTGTTGAATGGAAATGTCTGTGAAACAAGCTGCCAGTATATTTTCTAGCCTATGGCTTTTAAAACTTGCTCCTTTACATGTTTCAGAGCTGCTCAGTCCTACTCAAAAAGTTTGACCTTTAGCTAGGATGATGACTTTTCTTCCAGCTGAATCAAAGACATCTGACTACATGACAAAAAGCCTGCTGCCAGCCATGGGGAAAATATTTAGAGAAGAGATTATTTCCTGCACCTGATTTTCCTCTCAATCAGCAAGCTGAGAGCTTTCAAATAGTAGTTTCACCTTCATGAGCCTATCATTTTCTTACCTAAGCCCAAAGATGTCTATTTTTGCCTCTTAGTCTCAAAGTAAAAGTTTCAAAGTAAAAACAAAAAAGTTATTCTGACTGCTGTCAAAGATAAACCCAGCCAGACATTCGTTAAAGTAGTGAAAACAGATTTTATTCAGTAAACCACTGATAGTAGGGGAAAGGGCTGAGCTCAATTCTCATTTGTGCAGAGGTGACTGGCCATTTTAAAAAAGAGAGTAAGGGAGTGGCAGGGAGCCAGCCGCAAGAAGAGTCAGAGAAGAGAAACCTTAAAGTGTTGGTCAGTGTAAACGCCATACTACCTGGCAATTAGTAAGTTACTATTCTATCCTCTCACACAGACTGGGAGACAAAGCCCCTATCCCTCCTGATGATTACGTTTCAAAGAAATGGCTCTCAAAGATACTTGAAGGGACACTTCAGAGTTGGAAGAGATACATATTAACAATTGTAAGCCTGTTTCGTAAATGCTCTAAAAAGGGAACGAGAGGGGTCTATCAATTAGGTGTTGACTAGAACAAACAGTAAATTCTCCCCCTAGCTTTGAGCTTTTTCAGGCAGGCATTTTAATGGCGGGGGCGGCGGGGGGCGGCCTGGGGTCACCCTAGGGGCAGGCCTTACATTGCTAGAAGATAAACTAGTGTCGATGTCTTTCAGTGCAGAAGTTTTGACTGAGTCATCACGTCCTAGGAGTTCTGCAGTTGTCACTACCTCGGGATAGTCCTCATCTTTATTTCCCCACAACTAGCTTGCTGCCTACTTAGTGCAAACAGCTATTAGAAAGTCAACAGGTGAAGGTAAAAAATTTAAAAACTTCATTTCATTAAGAGCTATTTAGTCACCGGGCAGAAAGAAATCTGGGCTTCAGGTTTGAATATAACTTTTATTTTAAGCATCCTCAGATTCTCTCAAAGGACAGAATGAGGAAAAACAACAAAACACCCCCACAGAGATAGGACCACAATAAAAGGGTCTAAATGTCAGGGTCAAAACTGATTTTCTGCTTCCTCACTGAAAAGAAAAAGGGAAAGCCAGGCGCGGTGGCTCCCATCTATAATCTCAGCCGCCAGGGAGGCTGAGGCCGGAGGATCACTTGAGCCCAGGGGTTTGAGGCTGCTGTGAGCTCTGATCATACCACTGCACCCCAGCCTGGGAGACCCTGTCTCTTATTAAAACAAACAAACAACAAACTAAATAAAAATAAACAGGATGAGGAGGAGAAAGGGAGCAAGTTGTTAGGCACATTTGAGAAAACGTCAAAATTTTCCTTACAAACTAGCCAAACACCTACAGTGATATGCCATTTTCCTGACAAAGAATTCAGGCCCCAAAAGAAAGGCAGCCCACAACTGAGCGTATTCCCAAGCATGAGTTCTTTCAAGAAATATTTTTTTGTGGACCTTCTATGGATTAAGACACTCTTTCATCCTGGAGAGAGCCCACAGTCTAGTGGGAGAGAAAGACACATAAACAAATATCTACTTTACAGCGTGATGACCGGTATTAACACAGGTCTGAACAAGGTGCAGCGGTGAGAGAGCAAAAGCAGTGCCTCAGAAACACAGGGATATCCTCTCACAGCAGGTGACATTTGGCGGGATCTTGGAAAATGAGTAAGGGGATCCAAGATCGAATCCGAGGGCTATGCTAGGGCGATTCGATTCCATCCCCACTTTGGCTTAGGGACCTCTTCTATATCCTCAGTAAACTTCCCTTCTCAGAGCATTTATTAAAACCTCCTTGGCCTTTCCAGACGAATGTCTGGCTACGTAAACTGTGAGCTCTGTAGGGCAGAGGTGGCGACGGTTCAGTTATATAAATCCAGTGCCCGGCTCAATAAGGGTATGTGGAATGGATGAATCCATTAATGAATAAAGACAGCAGACCTCCACAAAAGCCCGCCGGCCGGGCGCCTTTTCCTACCGGCTGGGATCGCTTCGTCCAGCCTGATTCACTCAGGAGGAATGCGCGAAGAGGCCGTCAGGAAGCCTCGCCCTAGACTCAAGAAAAGAACCTGGGAAAAGCTCAGGATCCTCCCAGGAAACAAGGACCCTCACTGTGGCCCAGGGTCTGAAGGGACCGCGCTCCGGGTTCCTAAACCTGTGAAAGCGGCTTATCCCATTCCTTTACTTACATTCGCGAGGGAAAGATTTCAATTCGGTCTTTGCCCGACATTCTGACGATAACTTTTCGGCTCGGGTCCCCGGCCGGGCAACCGAGGCTGCAATAGCTCCAGAACTGGCCTCCACAGTGTCTTCCTCTACGGGAGTCAGCTGGTTGTGTCACTTGACCCCTCTTGTTGCTAAGAGGCAGCAGGGACACCCATTTTCACTTCCGCTTCCGGTTGTCACAGGCGACGAAGGGGGAGGACAGAACAGAGGCGTTGCCCGGATGTCGAGGCGCGCGCACCGCGGAACCACCCCTCAATTCCGGTTCGCCTCCCAACCCCTCCCCATCCAGCTTCCCTGCGGCTGCGCAATACGCGGCACGCGCCAGGCCAAAGACTAGGAGCGAAGCGTGCACGCCTTGTCTTTCTCCACCTTTCGTCTTTGGTCACAGCGCCATCTCATGGTTAGCTGAAACTTTGAAAGAGGATTCATTCTTCAGAGGCAAGGAATCGGAGTCCTATGTCTTTCTCGCGCCTTGAAGGTTACTTAGCTAAAGCTAAGATAGCGAGAAACAGTACTTTTCAGGTCCTTCCATGATCTACATTCGTCCTTGTTCTCGGAGGACCCAGACTCTATGGTTAATGATGAAGAGGGGCCTCTATTCGTTCAGCGCTTGCGCATGCGAGGAGGTTCCGCATGCGCGGTGGAGTGAGCGAAGCGCACGCTGAGGAGGATCGGCGGCCGGTGAGGGGGAAGCAAGTCTGGTCTCTGTGATTGAAGAAGTCGGCTCTGGGCTCCAGTGCGGGAATCACACACATACCTCAGGTGACTAATCCCAAGCTCGGTTTCTCCAGGAACTCACTTTGGTTTGTGTCCAGTGACATGGGTGTTCGAGAGCGGGTAGGCCCCGGGCTAATACCTCCCTTTCCCGTCCCTGCGCGGGAAGTGGCTGGACAGCACCGCCACCACCCGCGCTGTCGTGGGCCTCCTCGCCGGCTCCGTGTAGGTCATCCTGTGTTCCAGAGGCATCGTTGTTCGAGCAGAGGAATCTCGTGAAGGAAAGTGGGCCGAGTGGATTGTACAGCCTCTACAATATGCCGAAAGTGAGAATGCCATGACGATGGGGCGGTCTCAGGAGAACGCTGTGACACCGTAACTCTTAACCCCGGCTCAGGACGCTGAGCACTTTGCTTTTTCCAGGCTTGAGAATTCCATCTTTTCTTCCGCCCCAACAGCTCTACCAAAAATTTCCCCTGCGTCTCAGTGGAAACCAAACTGGCCTCTTACCTGAGAAACCTGTGGGACGGGCACCGTGTTGGAAAGAGCGGGGTCCGAGTAGTTTTTCATCTGATAATTGAATGAGTCACCCCTTGAACCAAAACTAAATGAGACTTGAGTTTATTACTGTTACTATCAGTTTGTCGTATTTTGGCGACAATGAGAATAGAACTGTGTTAAGCATATGTTAGGTTAACTATGTTAGTTAAGCATAACTAAAACCTAAGATAAGGATATATTTTCGGGTTAAATACACAGTCATGCTGAGGTCTCTTTATCCTCAAAACTTAGGCTTTTTAAATTTTTATTAAGCAAAAAACATGGTTTCTTCGAGAAAAAGTATAGCAGAGAAGTCTTTATTTCCCCTCAATTGAGTTGTTATTCAAGGAACAATCTCTGTCAATAGTTTGGGGGTGACTTGTACAGAACTTTGCTACCTATTCTTAGTTCATCTGGTGCCAAAAGATGTAGTTGTCTCATGCACAGTAATGTTTGTAGAGATTCGGTGATAACTTTCTTTTTCAACTATAATGATGAAATAAAAGCTTTACTTATGTAGCACTCCTATACCAAGAACTAGCATTCAGAGAGCATTCCTAATACGTGTTAGATCCAAATTAGAATTATCACGAGAGTTGTCCCCATCACATAATATATTTTGGAAAGGAATGTGAACTTCTATATCCATTATAGCAGTTTGACCATGCACTGTTTTGAGAAAGAAGTCCTACCTACCATTTGTCATGCAAAATAACTGACTATGCAGGGTATTTGAAATTAGCCTGGAGTTTGGTTGATATATTTTGAAAGGTGGCTGATACTTTTTACATCAGAACACATAAGAGTATTATAGCATGTTGTGATATTGAGGTTCTGTGGGTTAAAGACATTCTGGATTTGATGTCGGATTACTTGAGTTTAGCTCCTACGCTAGTACTTATTAAGCATTTGTTCTTAAGGAAGTATTATAATTTAGTATTTCTGTTCCACCTTTCCTGTTCATTGCTTCACTGTGCCCTTTCATAGTACTTTGTATTGTAATTATTTGCTTGCTAGTTTGTTTCCCACTCTATACTTAATTACTTAGGTAAGAGTCTTTTTTTTTTTTCTTTTTTCTTTTTTCTTTTTTTTTTTGAGACAGAGTCTCTGTTGCCCAGGCTGGAGTGTAGTGGCACGATCTCAGCTCACTGTAGCCTCTGCCCCTGGGTTCAAGGGATTCTCCTGCCTCAGCCACTATAGTAGTGGGATTACAGGTGCCTGCCACCACACCCAGCTAATTTTGGTATTTTTAGTAGAAATGGGGTTTCACCATGTTGACCAGGCTGGCCTCGAACTCCTGGTTTCAAGTGATCCACCCGCCTCGGCCTCCCAAAGTGCTGGGATTACAGGTGTGAGCCACTGCGCCTGGCCTGGTAAGAGTCTTTCTTGTTGTATCATTAGTGCTTAGTACATAGTAGCTACTGAAAAAAAAATTAACAAATTATTATATTACAAAATGGAAATACCTTCTTTTTCTTTCAATATTTTATGTTTGACTAGCACATAATGGTTTTCAAAATGTTTTTACGTATACATGTGATACCCTCAGTAAACCTGTGATGTACATGGCACAGATGAGAAACTACAGTTCAAAGGATGTTATCTTTCCCAAGCAGCCACTTCTAGTAAGTAGCAGAGCAAGGACTGGAACACAAGGCTAGAGTTGTTCCCCGAGTTTACTATGTTAATTGCCTGATTTGACACTTCTTGAGGACCAAATAAAATAAGAATGCTGTGAAAAAGATAAAGAGGTGAAGTCACCTAGTGTGACTTCGATATTGCGGAATGATTTTTTTAAGTTAAAAAAAAAATTTAAGTTATTAGCATTTCATTAGGCAATATGTTCAAAAATTGTCAACCAATATGCAGGTTTTTGTGGTATGGATTCTTTTTGTACTTAACTACTATCTATCTTTACTATGAATAACATACCATCAACAGTATTCCTTTACTTACCCTTTATGTTGCAAAGAGACTTGTGCCTCCTGAAGAAATAGTATTCATAGTCATATCCCTTCAGGATTCTCTTACATGATTGCCCATGTTTTTTAACCATCAAATTAAGCCTTGCTTCCCCTAAAAGCATCACCTTTACTGTTTGGAGAAGCTTGGTAAGTAAATGTGGTTTTCACTGGTCAAATGTCTTGCAACTGTTCCATACATTTCTGTAACATAGTTTATTTTTATGCCCAATTTGAAACTTTTTAGCTCTCAAATTTGAGAGCTTTACATACACATATTCAACAACAGTTTCCCCACCCCCACCCTCGAAAAGCCCTGTTTAAAAACGAAACAAACAGTCAGCTGTTTCTTGGTGGGTAAGGCCATTGAATGTCTACTTCTCTTTATTTGCTAAATCCCTATTTTGTAGGGATTTTGTATTCCCTACAAAGAAATACATCTCTGCTACTGTCATTAATATGCTGCTCTTTGTTGTCAAACAGATGAGTACTAATAGTTTGCACTTATTGGTGTTATGTACTCTGGCACTGAATATATATTAATGTTGCTTTTTAAGTAAAATGTTTCTAATTATAATATATTTATGAATAGTTTTGAGAGAATATAGTCTTACTGATAAGAGGACAGACTCTGGATCCAGACTTCATGGATTCAAATCCTGACTCATCACCTGTTAGCAGTATGTGAAAGAACAAGTAACTTAACCTGTGCTTCAGTTTTTTAATCTATAAAATGGGGAGAACTAGGGAGAAAGTTGTACCACAAGGAGATAGGCAATGGCCAGATCATATAGGATTCTGTAGGTAGTGGAAAGATACATAAGTCAGTGGGAAGCCACTGAGAAGATATAGGCAGGTGCCAATTAATAAGTTATTATATGAATTTTCACAAGGTTTTCTTAGGCCTTTAAGTTCTGTTACTACCTACGTTTTGAGCAGTGACAACAGTGAAGGTTAACAGAAAAACATGAAAATCATCAGCCATGATTAGTTTGAGAGCTTCCTTTTTTAAATATGCTTCTACCCAGGCTATGATTTCAGGCTTGTGGATCATAAAAGGAGTAGTGCTGAAAGTAGGTTGGGTGGATCAAAGGGAATAATTGTAAATATCTTTAATGCTTGGAGGTTAAGAGAAACTTGAACTTTGTAGTAATGGAGATTAAAGCTATTCTCAAGATTAGGTATACCTATTCAATAAAAGAAAGGAATATTTGGGAGTATTGGGGATAAGAGAAGCTAGACATTGTGAATTCAAGGAAAAAGAATTATGAGAGGAGGATGCATTTTAGTTTATTTTGTGATTAAAATTTTTTTAGTTTTTGTTGTTTTGACATGTGACACTGTAATTTTGGCTATAATAAATGACAGAATGTATCATTTGGTATATTGGTTAGGGTTTAGGTAGAAAATTTTTTCCTTTATATAGTGAGTGGTAGCGTATACAATGTTTGCTCACTTCGGCAAAGAGTAGCTTTAGTTTTCTGATTAGTTATAATAGTGATGCTTCCCATCATTTGATATGCCTTAAAGTAGTATTTTACTCTTGAGGTATTCCTTTAATCCTTAGGTCTTGGAGTACTTTATAGATGGTCATTATTTTTTATGATTCCTCTGAAACTAAAGGCAGAGAATCACCCAAGCATTACAAAAATGTTGAGCAAAATAAAAATTAAAGCTTGGTTCCTGAACATTATCTGTTTTCTGGTACCACTTAAGAAGTTTCAAAGGATGAGAAGACTAAGACTAATAACTATTTTTTTCTTCATCTTTTCTTTCAGTGGCAGGATGTGGAAATTGATTTTTTTTTTATTTTCACCTTAACTGAATACTTACTTAATTCTTTTGTTTAAATTGCAGAATGCCGGGTCTAAGTTGTAGATTTTATCAACACAAATTTCCTGAGGTGGAAGATGTAGTGATGGTGAATGTCAGATCCATTGCTGAAATGGGGGCTTATGTCAGCTTGCTGGAATACAACAACATTGAAGGCATGATTCTTCTTAGTGAATTATCCAGAAGGCGTATCCGTTCTATCAACAAACTCATCCGAATTGGCAGGAATGAGTGTGTGGTTGTCATTAGGGTGGACAAAGAAAAAGGTAAGTGAGAAAAATATCTGTAATATAAATTTCAGATTTAAAATGGTTTATTTAAAAATACATTTTTTGTAAATTGCAAGCTGCAGCTTAAAAAAAAAAGCTCCTTTTATACTTAAACCTTTTACATACAAAGTTGTTAGAAAAGGATGCCAATTAGCTATCTAAGCAAGATCTCTTAATAGTAGTTTAATTAGTACATCCTAGGATTTTATGGATCAGATAACTTGAATTTTATTTCTAGTGTTTATCAGGATCTTGATAATTGACTCATGGTAACCAAACTTAGAGACAGGTAAGTCAGAGTACTAGTTCATTTACATTGGTAGGCCTGAATATGTTGGATGCCTTTTTCTTGATTTAAAGCTAAAATAGTAATGAGATCACTGGGTAAGCATGAAAATGGGGCAAATGGATTTTAGGGATCTTTTATATAAGCTTTGAAAAAGCAATATACTATGCGTGTATATACACACCTGAAATCCAACATTGTATATCTTGCTGGTAATTAGAATGTTTGCATCTACCAGATCTCGTGGTATCTTTCAGACAGTTTTGGATGAGCATTCATTTTTTACTTATTGGATGCCTTTTCTGGGCCCCATGTAAATCATCACCTTTGTGAATACTCTTTTTTTAAACATGGTGTACAATACCATTACGTAGGTTTTAGTTTCAGCCATCTTACTATAATTTGTTAGGTGTTAGTTTTAGGTCATTAGTTACCATCATGTCCGAAAGGCTTCATATCAGTCACCTTGATTCAACTTACCCTTCTGAATCTCCTCAGCCGTCTGGTTTACTGATACTTTCTCACTTCTGCAAGTGATTAATTTTATACATACTGACATTTTAATTTTTTTTATTATAGCCTTAGATGATACATAGATTTTGAGGATGTCTTATGCCTTAGGTAGTGACTGCTACTTAGCACATGGATTGTTTTAAATGTTTTGCTATGACTTAGCTATAGCCCCGCCCAAAATTATTAAACTACTTTGAGACTATTTGTTAAACTTAGGTAAGTCTTCACATCACTGTCCTAGTAGTACCTAAAGTAGTGTCTAATCTTGTACTTTTTTTTTTTTTTTTTAAGAATTGGGGTCTTGCTCTGTCACCCAGGCTGCAGTGTAGTGGTATGATCATAGGTCGCTGCAGCCTTGAACTCCTGTGTTCAAGTGTTCCTCAAGCAGTCCTCCCAAGTAGCTGGAACTACAGGCATGTGCCACCCTGCCCAGCTAACTTTCTTTGTAGAGATGGGGTCTTGCTGTGTTGCCCAGGCTAGTCTTGAACTGGGCTCAAGCGATTCTCCTGCCTTGGCCTCACAAAGTACTGGGATTACAGGTGTGAGCCACTGTGCTCAGCCTTCTTTTTCTATTGTATAAAATATACACAAAAGGAGGAATCAAATATGTTTTTAGTTGCAATCAGAAAAAATATGGAATGGCATACTTGCTTACGTACAGTAGATACATGTAAAGATATTTCCATAGCATTTGTTTGTATGGCATTAACTAAAACCAGGAAATGACCAAAATGGGGACTGGTTAAATAAATCAGTACAAATGCGTGCAATGCAATTTTATGCAGAATGAGATCTGAATATTTTGATATGGAAGATCTCCAGGATAGGATGAGAAAAAGCAAAGTGCAAAAGAGCCTGTAGAGAGGATTCATTTTGATACTAGAGAATTATGTCCTCCTAGACAAGCCTTTCAACGTAAATGCCATAAACCCTGAACAAGTATGAAAAATAACTACCTAAAGACAATGAGAAGCAGCCAAAAGCAGGCCAAAATTGAAAATTTGAAGGTGAGTCGACACTTATAAGAAAGGGTATGTTTTCTGTTTTACACCTTTTTTTTTGACCTAAGTACATGCTGAAGACAGCTTCAAGCCAGGCAGCTAAGGTTCTAGCAGAAAATTTATGGTCTTATTGGCTTTAGAACTGGAGGCGAGAGTTGTAGACAACCATAGTAGATGGAAACTGGTGGTGATAGTGGTGAGGGTTAGAGAAAGGAGGCGGCAGGCACAAAGGGAGATCCCCTAAGTCTATATAAATTCTTCCCAAATCTCTGGTTTGTCCCTGAACTACTGAAACACAGGGTGGACTCCAGGTAGCCTAATAGGGGAAAAATCTGAACAGATTTCAGTTGCTTACCATCTGGGGAGACAGAGCTTATAGTTTTGAGTTCAGATTCTGACTGCCTGCTAAAACAAAAAATCTATATTCTCTTTTTTTGGGGGATGGAGTCTCACTCTGTCGCCAGGCTGGAGTGCAGTGGCACGATCTTGGCTCACTGCAACCTCCGACTCCCTGGTTCAAGCAATTCTCCTGTCTCAGCCTCCAGAGTAGCTGGGATTACAGGCACACACCACCATGCCCAGCTAATTTTTGTATTTTTGGTAGAGACAGGGTTTCACCATGTTGGCCAGAATGGTCTTGATCTCCTGACCTTGTGATCCACCCGCCTTGGCCTCCCAAAGTGCTGGGATTACAGGCGTGAGCCACCACGCCCCACCCCATCCAGGTCACTTTGTGCTAAGTGTTCTACACTTGGTCAGCATTCTCATAAATACGGTGCATGGAATGGAACACGGTGGGCACGTTGCGTGAACTCACAAATTCAAGACCAGCTGGGGCAACATGGCAAAACCTCATCTCTACAAAAAATACAAAAATTAGCTGGGCGTGGTGGTGCACCCTGTAGTCCCAGCTTCTCGGGCGGCTGAGGTAGGGGGATGGTTTGAGCCCAGGAGGCGGAGGCTGCAGTGAGCCAAGATTGCACCGCTGCACTCCAACCTGGGTGATAGAACCAGACCTTGTCTCAAAAAAAAAAAAGAGAGAGGTGAAGGAAGTTCTTTAAGCTGAAGAGATGTGATGACCTGACATGGAAAATATATAGGTAAATGTAAAAGACTATTTTTGCCCTTCTTAGTTTCTTTAAAAATATATTTAACTATTTGTCTCATTTGTGCCTGTGGGATTGTAATCTATAGAGGTGACTGAGTGATGACACAGTCCAATGCCCTTGAAAGAAAACTTTTACTACTTATATTGCCTGAGAGAAGGGGGCTTGATGTGCCATGCAGGGCCACATGGGGAAGCACCAGTTTTAGTCAGGAGTCACAAGGAACTAGGGGAAAAAGTAGGTCAGAGCTTTTGTTGGAGTTTCTGCAGGAAAAGCAAGGCAGAGCAGCGTAAACGGCTTGCAGTTGGCTAGTTTGAATGCTTTTGGCGGGCCTTGGGGCATAAAGACTGCCCTGCTTGTCTAATACCTGGCCCTTGACTTACAGCAGGGAGAATTTTGGCTTGGTGTATGAGTTTATGGGCTCCAGATTGGCTGCTCTGCATAAGAAAGGCATGCTACCAAGCAAGCCCTTTGCTGACTCCTCCCCACCTGACGGAGGGGCAGTCTCTCCACAAATGTCAGAGCCTCAAGAATACAGAAAATAAGAAAATATTTAGTTACTACTAATAATATTAATAATAAAATATATAGTTAATACAGTTGGCTCTGTGATTAATGGATGCCAAGTAGTTAAATATAGAAGCTAAGAAAACAGAATACTGTTTAAAGCAGGCTTAGTACACTTGACAACTTAATCACAAAGGCCAGGAGGTGTGGGGTAAATAGATCTATATGATTCTTAACGATTCTTACATTTTATGTGCAGTAGTAAAATTAAAAGGTTAAGGATGTATATTGTAAATTCTAGAACAACCATTAAATAAGCCAGTTGCAGTGGTCTGTGCTTGTAGTCACAGCTGTTCGGGAGGCTGAGGTGGGAGAGTCACTTGAGGTCAGTAGTTCAAGACCAGCCTGGGCAACATAGTGAAACTATCTCTAGAAATAAGTAAGTAAAATACAAAATACACTATTGTAAAAGCCAAAGATATATTAAAATGGAATTCTAGAAAACATTAACCTAAAAGAAAACTCAAAAGAAAAAAACAAAAACCAGAAAGAACAAATAGAAAACAAATACCTAAAATGTAGGTATTCAATTATTCAGTTATTGATACAACTGAATTCATTTATATCAGTAATTAAATGTAAATCAAGTAAATATTCCAGCTAAAAGGCAGAGATTGTTAGGATGAATTAAAAAGCAAGACTCGACGATAATCCTGTCTACAAGAGATATACTTGGTTGAAAATAAATGGATATAAAAAGATATGCTATGCAGACAATACCTTAAGGAGACAGTGTCTATTAATATTAGATAAAGTAGATTTAAAGACATAGTATTTTCAGATTTAAACAGGGACATTTTGTAATGATAAAGGGTCAATTTGTTAGAAGGAAAACAACAGTCATCACTGTGTATGTGCCTAATAATAGAGTTCAAAATATAAAGCAGAAATTGAATTCAAGAGAGAAATAGACAAATCTATAATCATAGTTGGAAGTTTGAACAAGCTCTGAACAATTGGAGAAACAATTAGATCAATGAAGACCTTGACTTGTTTGATACCTAGAACACTGCACCCAGAAAAGGCAAAATACACATTATTTTCAAGTGTGCATGACATTCACCAAGATAGACAATAAGGTGAGCTATAATATTAATACAACTCTAAATAAATTTCTAAGGGTTGGAATACAAATATGTTCTCTGATCACACTGGAAGTAATTTTGAAATCAGTGTCATATCTTGGGAGGGAAGAGTTTGCAGTATTAAATAAGCCCTTCCAAATAATTCATATATTAAAGCCTTAAGGGAAAATTTATAGCTTTAATTACTTATATTAGAAAAGAATAAAGATCTAAAACAGTTATCTAGGCTTTTGTTTTAGAAGATAAAAGAAAGGAAAGGTAAACTCAAAGTTGCTGAGACCAGCTCTGTTGGGGAGACCCTAACCCAGAGGCGCTAGAGGAATTAAAGACACACACACACAAATATAGGGGTGTGAAGTGGGAAATCAGGGGTCTCACAGCCTTCAGAGCTGAGAGCCCCGAACAGAGATTTACCCACATATTTATTAACAGCAAACCAGTCATTAGCATTGTTTCTATAGATACTAAATTAACTAAAAGTATCCCTTATGGGAAATGAAGGGATGGGCCGAATTAATTGCAGCAGGAACACGTCCTTAAGACACAGATCACTCATGCTTTTGTTTGTGGCTTAAGAATGCCTTTAAGCAGTTTTCTGCCCTGGGCGGGCCAGGTGTTCCTTGCCCTCATTCCTGTAAACCCACAACCTTCCAGCTTGGGCGTTAGGACCATTATGGACATGTCGCAGTGCTGCAGAGATTTTGTTTATGGCCAGTCTTGGGGCCAGTTTATGGCTAGATTTTAGGGGGCTTTCTCCCAACACAAAGTAAGTAGAAGAAAAGAAATAATAAGGATAAGATAATCGGT
Organism: Homo sapiens; assembly: GCF_000001405.40. Classification (NCBI taxonomy): domain Eukaryota; kingdom Metazoa; phylum Chordata; class Mammalia; order Primates; family Hominidae; genus Homo; species Homo sapiens. Next base: position 67,370,377 of record NC_000014.9, read on the forward strand.
GAAAATAGAGTACCAGAAAATCAGAGAACAGTATCAAAGTTAAAAACTTGTTTTTTGTTTTTTTAAAAAAGAGCAAAATTGATAAACCCCTAGTTAGGCTGATGAAGAAAAGGAAATAACACAAATTACCAATCTGGAATGAGAATGGGGCTATCACTGCAGATGCTACAGACATTAAAAGGCTAATAAGGGAATATCATTACCAATTTTATGCCAATCATCTCAACAAATCAGGTGAAATTAGTGAATTCCTTGCAAAATTTTACTTACTGAAACTGACCAATATAAAATAGAAATTTTGAGTGTCCTATATGTTAGAGAAATTGAATTTATTGTAAAAAATCTTTTCATCAAGAAAATTCGGTCCTGACCAGCACAGTGGTTCATGTCTGTAATTCCAGCACTTTGGGAGGTTGAGGTGGGCAGATTGCTTGAGCCCAGGAGTTCAAGACCAGCCTGGAAACATGACGAAACCTCATCTCTACAGAAAGTAGAAAAATTACCCAGGCATGGTGTTGTGCACCTCTAGTCAGTTCCAGCTACTAGAGAAGCTGAGGTTGGAGGATTGCTTGAGGCCAGGAGAACAAGTCTGCAGTAAGCCGAGGTCATGCCACTACACTCCAGCCTGGGTGACTAAGACCCTGTCTCAAAAAAAAGGAAAACTCTAGGCCAGATGGTTAAATTGATGAGTTGTATCAGACATTTAAGGCAGAAATAAGATGAGTCATAATAAAATTTCAGAAAGTTAAGGAGGTAGGCCAGGCACGGTGGCTCACACTTATAATTCCAGCAATTTCGGATGCTGAGACAGGAGGATCGCTTGAGGTCAGGATTTCAAGACCAGCCTGGCAATATAGGGAGACCCCATCTCTATAAAAATTTTAAAAAATTAGCTGGGTGTGGTGGTGTGTACCTGTAAAGTAGTTCCAGCTACTTGGGAGGCTGAGGTGGGAGGACGGCTTGAGCCCAGGAGTTTGAGGCTGTAGTGAGCTGTGATCACACTGCTGTATTACAGCCTGAGCAACAGAGCAAGACTGTCTCCCACCAAAAAAAAAAAAGTTAAGGAGGCGGGAACACTTTCGAAATACAGTCATGTGGTGCTTAATGACAAAGATACATTCTGAAAAATGTCTTATCATGCAAATTTCATAGAGTGTGCTGCTTACATAGACCTTATAGCCTATACACACATAGGTTGTTTAGTATACTCTATTATTCCTAGGCTACAAACCTGTACAGCATGTTACTATACTGATTAGGTAGTTGTAACACAATGGTAAATATTTGTGTACCTAAACACAGAAAAGATACAGTAAAAATACAGTATTATAATCTTAACAGCACTGCTGCTATATATGCAATCTATTGTTTACTGAAATGTTATGCAGTGCATGACTAATTTTATGAGGCCATCATAACCCTGATAAGAAAACCCAACAAAGACATGTTTTTGTAAAAAAGCAAATTACTGACCAAATATGTGATTAGCATAGATAAAACAATTAATATGTTTTTCAAATCCAACAATGTATAAAAAGGATAATAAAGCATGACCAAGTGGAGTGTATGGAATGCCAGTTTGGTTTAACAGTCATAACTTTATGTTGGCTGGGCATGGTGGCTGAGGCCTGTAATCTCAGCACTTTGGGAGGCCTAGGTGGGGGGATCACTTGAGCCCAGGAGTTCGAGACCAGCCTGGGCAACATAGCAGGACCTCACCTCTTTTGTTATCTCTCACTTCTTTTTATTTAAAAAAAAAATTAAAAAATTTATGTGTGCTTTTATATGATCAGTTAATTAACAAAAGTACAAAGGCAGCTGATCAAAGAAAAAATTATCTTTTTAACAAATGGTGCTGGGACAACTGGATGTCCATATGCAAAAAAGAACCTCAATTCAAACACCTCACCTTATACAAAAGTTAGCTTAAAATGAATCATAGATGTAAACTTCTAAGTACCTCTAGAAGAAAACAGGAATCTTTCTGACCTTGGATTAGGCAAAGATTTCTTAGATAGCACACTAAAAGCGTTATCCATGAAAGGAAAAATTGATTAATTGGACCTTATCAAAATTAAGAACTTATGTTCTTTAAAGACACTATAAAGAGAATAAAAAGACAAACCAGCATATTTTAAAAACTCTTGAACAACCTAAAAAATCCTGTATCTAGGCTGGGAGCGGTGGCTCACGCCTGTTATCCCAGCACTTTGGGAGGCCAAGGTGGGCAGATCATGAGGTCAGGAGATTGAGACTATCCTGGCCAACATGGTGAAACCCCGTCTCTACTAAAATATAAAAAATTAGCGGGCATAGTGGTGCGTGCCTGTAGTCCCAGCTACTCAAGAGGCTGAGGCAGGAGAATCACTTGAACCCAGGAGGCAGAGGTTGCAGTGAGCGGAGATTGCCCCACTGCACTCCAGCCTGGCGACAGAGCAAGACTCCATCTCAAAAAAAAAAACAAAAAACAAACAAAAAAACCCTGTATCTAAACCATCAATTTTTAAAGGAGCGAAAGTTTTGAATAGACACTTTGCCAGAGAAGATAATTGGATAGCAAATATGCACATGAAAAGATGTTGAACATCATTAGTCATTAGGAAAATGCAAATAAAAACCACAGTGAGATGCCACTGCACAATCAATAGATTGACTTTTTAAAAATCAATTGAGAGACATGGAGCAGTTCTAACTGCTCCACATTGCTCATGGGAATGCAGAGTGCCACATTCACTTTGGGAAAGTTTGGCAGATAAAATTAACATGTACTTAATATATAACCCAGCTGTGCCATTTCTAGGAAAATTTATGTTCACAGAGAAACTTGTGTCCAGTTTTTAGTGGCTTCAGGGGTGATGGAACTTGATTTTGGTGGTGGTTAAATGACTGTTCTTTTTTTTAAACACAAAGAACTTAACACTAAAAGTGGTGAATTTTACTATATGTAAGTCATACAATTTTTAATGAAAAAGAATGCTCAGAATCTGAAATAAAATCAGTGTATATGAACAGAATATAGGAGGAAAACTACAACCAATTTAATAGATGTGAAAGGGCATTTGACAAAATTTGTCACCCATTCATAATAAGTCAGCAAACAAGAACTAAAAGGGAATTTCCTAATCTGATAAAGAGTGTCTAGAAAAACACCACAGACATGCTGTCCTCCAGTATTGAGAACAAGACATTCACTCTCACCACTGTTACTCAGCATTGTACTGGAAGTCATTGCCAGGCACAGGTTTGTAGGTTTCAGCCATTTTTGGCTATTTGACGTTGACAAGTTACTTAACCTTTCATGGGTTTTAGTTTCTTCAGGTTAAAAAGACTGGGGGGCGCTGTGGGAAAGAGAGTGATAATCTACCATGCAGGATTGTTGTGAGGGTTCAAGAAGATGTTTAAGCACCTAACATAGTTACTTGTATATGGTAGTCATACAGTAGATTAGATAGTTTTAATTTGTTCAGTGTGTGTGTGTGTGTGTGTGTGTGTGTGTGTCTTCTGTGACGATAGCCTCTTTCCTTAAACTAAATGAACATCTTAGTGAATTTTCCTATTCTGGAGAAGGAAAAGGAAGAAATAGGGGAAAGATAGGCATTTGACTACCTTTCATTTGGATAATTGAAAATTATTAGTTCTCTCCAGTAAGGTAATGGAATATATATAATTACCTGATAATAAAAATTTATTTCTGAAAACAATTCAGAATCTCTCATCTTGTACAGATTGAGTATCCCTTATCCCCAAATCCAAAATGCTCCAAAATCTGAAACTTTTGAGCACCAACATGACACTCAAAGGAAATGTTCATTGGAGCATTTCAGATTTTGGATTTTCAGATTCGGGATGCTCTAACTAGTAAATACATTGCAAATATTCCAAAATCTGAAATCCAAAACACTTTTGGTCCCAAGCATTTCTGATGAGGGATACTCAGCCTTGTAATACTTATGCAGTATTTTGTTGATAGGATTTTAGTAGGAAATAATTATAAGTATGCCAATCAAACACTTAATTTGGTCTTCAAAGCTGGTTACAATAGTACAGTGGCATCTGGACAGAGATGATTTTTTCACAATTTTTTTGTACAGGATATATTGATTTGTCAAAAAGAAGAGTTTCTCCAGAGGAAGCAATCAAATGTGAAGACAAATTCACAAAATCCAAAACTGTAAGTTGATCTTTGAGTCAAATTAGTCCACTATCTGTGTGTTTAATAAATAATTTGAAATCTTAATTTCATACTGCTACTACCTTAAAGTATTGCTTATGATCTAATATTCTCAAATTAGTACTAGAAGTGTTTTGAAGCCGTTTTAGGTTAAATTAACTGTGGGTGACTTCAACTGCTTTAACTTGTTTACAGTTGGAATGCCTCATAAAATACGGGGTTTTTTTGTTTGTTTAAATAGAAATGAGGTCTTTCTATTTTGTCCAGGTTGGTCTCAGACCCTGAGCTTCAAGTGATCCTTGAGCCTCAGCCCTCCAAAGTGCTGGGATTACAGAAGTGAGCCAATGCACTTGGCCAAAATACAGTTCTTGATTTTCAACCCTGTTCTGGGATGAGGGTAACGGAGACAACCAGCTGTTATATGTTAAGAATGAACAGGGGTTTATAAAATGTCTGTGAATCCAGGAAAGCAAGGCAGAGGCCTGTTACTAGTTTTGGTTTTTTTCCCCCTCCACTAGCGTGTTAGGATTATTTCTTTTTGCATTCTTATTTTTGCTATTACTTCCTGCTTGTCATCCACAGTAAGCAGCAGCAAAGCAAAGATAGCCATTTAATTTCTTCTGTCAGTATTTCTCTTTTCTCAGGTCCTGTTTAAGTTATCCTTCATCCTCTACATCCTCAGTTCTGTGTGTGTGTGTGTGTGTGTGTGTGTGTGTGTGTGTGTGTGTGTGTGTGTCACAAAGTCTTTCCCAGACTGGAGTGTAGTGGCGCAATCTCAACTTACTGCAACCACCTCCTCCTGGGCTCAAGCGATCCTCTCGCCTCTGCCTCCCGGAATGTTTGAGATTACAGGCGTAAGCCAGTGTGCCCAGCCTATCCTCAGTTCTTAGTGGTACTGTTTGTATTGCTTCTGTTTTCTTTGCCCTTCTCTGGTGTCTGTTCTTTTCTGCCATGAGTGTTTCTGTCCTCAAGATAAAATATCAAAAAAAAAAAAAAGTTTCAATGAAGAGATTTTAAAAAATCTTGCTTAATCCCAGTAAGAGAGAAAATAAAGGTCTAAAAGCCATCAGTTACCCAAATCATTTCCTTTGTTTTACTGATGTATTTACAGTTATGCAGTGTGGTTTACACATTTGAAAACACTGTCAGTAAAATATCTTCTTAATAAACTCTAGGACCTTACCACTTAGAATGTAGTCTCTAAACTAGCAGCATTGACATCACCTGTTTTTTTAGAAATACAGACTCTCAGGTCCTACTAACTTTTGAGAAGCACTTTTCTGGGAAAATTTCATATTTTTTTGTCTCCTTAGGATATTGTTAAAATGAGTGTGTTAATAGATCTTATTGAGATGTTAAAATGGAAGAGTTATTCAGTGTCAGTACCTTTTCTCACTCAATTTTTATGTGTAACTATGATGAAGACCTTAATACTTTTTGTCTACACCCTGTTAATTTTAGGAGGTAAGAAAAAGTTTGGCAGGTGGGTAAGATGACAGAAAAAAAATTTTTTTTATCGTGATTCTCTCCTCAGGGAGTAATAATAACAACTTGTATTTGTATAGCCGTTTTCCATTTATAGTGTGTGGTTTCTATATATTTGATCTATGCGAGCACTCTGTAGTAAGGAGAGATGCTAGTTTCTTCTTTTTCCAGAGGAGGAAACAAGTTCAGAGATACTGTGTTACTGTCAAGACTTGATCCAGGTCTTAGGACCCTAAATTGTATACTATCTCTACTTTTTATACCCACTTAAAGTGAGTATTTCCCTATGGAGATCTTTTATTGTTAAGGAATTATTGTAGCCAAATTATGTTATTTACTAAAATGTAAAAACATTTTTTATAAATCTCTTATCTTTGAATTGTTGAGCTTTTCATTTTATTTCTAGGTTTATAGCATTCTTCGTCATGTTGCTGAGGTGTTAGAATACACCAAGGATGAGCAGCTGGAAAGCCTATTCCAGAGGACTGCCTGGGTCTTTGATGACAAGTACAAGAGACCTGGATATGGTGCCTATGATGCATTTAAGCATGCAGTCTCGTAAGAATACCTTCTTGACTCTCCTTCTACCTTGATATCACAACTCTTGGCCTGATATTTAACAGCATAGCATCCATGTATAAAATACTTGCCAAATTTAGATTAAAATATTTTGTATTGGCCAGTAAATGGGCCAATCCTATATGGTCAAGTCTGTGTAGTTTTATGTATCATAGTTATGTAGATTCATAAACCATATGGTTTATCTCACACATTTTCCTTTCCTAGTTATTGTCCTAAGTGGCTATGGGACTAAAGAGCATGTCTCACCAAAAACTATAACCTCTTGTTTTCTCTACCTCTTTTGACTCTCCTTTGACTTTCAGCCCACACCACTTTAGCCAGTCTTCCATGTAGCCTTAGCCTGGGCCTTACTATCACCGGGATTTGCTCTGCCACTAAAATCTTTAATTCACACTTTCTGTTCTTTTGCCCCTGCCTCCTATTCATCTAGCTCCCAGTTGGTCCTATTATTTGTCATCTTAATTCTGTATGTTAGGATCTGATTCCAAACCTTTTTTCTCCCTGTCTTTTCGCCATTTCCTGCCTTTTCTCTCTTATCCAACATAGGCACACCATGATACATCATTTTAACGACTTTGTTGCCATTATTGTGAGCTTTTGCCTTGTTTTTCCTTCCATCCATCCAGCCTTGGATCAATGTTCCTGCCTTCTCTGTACTTGTAGACTGCTGGGTGCTACTAGGAAAAATCAGTCTTGCAGGTTGGTCCACTGCATATTCATGGTCTCCAGCCTCAGCTGTTCCACATTCTCTCTGCTCCTGGTCAGTTCTTCAGTAGTGGCTATTTTAGAGCTTTTCCACGTTCTTCCTCAGAAAACCACTCTATCCCTGCTCCCTGCCTCTTGGCTGGTATGCTCACTACCTATTTTATTTTATAAAGAAAATAGAAACCATTGCACAAGAACTACTTTTCCACTGTCTCAACAAACTTACATATCTCTGTCCCACCTGTCATTTCTTCCTATGCTGCTGTCACTGGAATTTGTGTCCTAATTGCTCTCAAACTAGTCTTGCCACCTATGCCCAGCTGCTGCTCAGAGATCTCTATTAGTTACTTTTTCTCTTGGGTCACCTTTCCCTTTATTGCTTTTACTCCATCAGCATAAAAATATCTCTAGTTTCTTCCATTTATACTATAAAACCCACTTCTCAACTTTTCCTTTACTTTCTCTTGGAGCAAACACTGCGTCCTCTGCTTTTAACAGCCACACTTGGCTATGTGTGGTAGCTCATGCCTGTAATCCCAGCACTATGTAAGGCTGAGGTGGGAGGATTGCTTGAGGCCAGGAGTTGGAGACCATCCTGGGCAGCATAGCAAGACTGCCATCTCTAAAAAAAAAAAAAATTAAAAGTAGCCAGGTGTGGTAGCATTTGCCTGTAGTAGTCCCAGCAACTTGGGAGGCTGAGGCAGGAGGATCACTTGAGTCCAGTGGTTTGAGGTTTCTGTGAGCTGTGATTTGTGATTGCACCACTGCACTCTAGTCTGGATGACAGAGTGAGACCTTGTCTCTTAAAAAAAAAAAAAAAGCCAGACTCTTTCAGTTCTCTATACTTGCTGTCTCTTTACCTCCCACTCCTTCCTAAATGTTAAGAGTTAGAGGGGGGAAAAAAGAGAATGAGTAGGACCCAAGACCATTAAGAGTCCCCCAGAAAGCCAACTCATCTGGGGTTCCAAATCCCTTCAAGTTTATTCTCATGTGACTTTTTTTTTTTTTTTTTTTTTTTGGTATATCACGTGGTAGAAAAGGTGGGAATAGTAATAATGATAACTAACATTTATATAATTCTAACAACAACCTGTGGTATAAATGCTATTATTATCCTTTTCTTACAGTTGAAGAAACTGAAGCTGAGATTAAATAATTTGTTCAAGGTCACACAGCTAACAAATCATAGAGCCAGGCAGTATTCAAACGCGTGCATTCTGGCTCCATCCAGAGTTTGCACTATTAGCCATTAAACACAACTTTATATTTCTGTCCTGCAGTCCTCAGTACATTTCTTAACTTGTCTCAACTGTCATCATCTGGCTTCTTTAGTTACCTCTTTAACTTCTAGTTCCAGCAACCCCTTGTTACCACTAAACCTTGGCGTGTGTTATTCCCTTTTCCTTAGCACTCTTTTCTTGCTTCATTCATGTAGGGACTGTCCAGATTTAACTAATGCTAGTTCTTTGCATTTTTCTTTTAATTACATAAAATTTCTGACATAGTTGGAAACAATGTTTTACCTTTCCAGACCTATTTTCCTCACTTATCAGTGATAACCACTATTCTGAAATTATGTATCAATATCATTTGTTTTTATTGTTTTACTACATATGTGTCTATTATCATTTTTTATTTAAAATGTAACCTATTGTATCTTTTTGTAGCTTGCATTTTTACATATAAGCCTATTATTAAGCAGGATTCCCCCACAATGATAGATGTATACTTGATCCATATTAATCTCTATATAGTATTTCATTGTGAGAATATGCTTTATCTGTTCCTCTATTAAGAGTTGTTTAGGTAATTTTCCCTTCTGTGCCATTTGTCAAACAGGGCTGTGATGAATAGTGTATGTGTCTCTATATGTAGTTGTTTGAGAGTTTCTAATATATATGCCTAGGAGTGGAATTGTTGGGTCATAGGATTGATTATATATCTTTAAACTGACTTGGTTTCACCAAATCCTTGCCACAATTTGGTATATATCTGATTTTTTCTCCTTTTTCTAGTCTAATGAATTCACAGTAGTATCTTTTGATTTGCATACTCCTGATTGTTGGAGAGGTCAACAGTTTTTCATGTTTCTTAACCATTTGTATTTCTTCTGTGAAACATCTGTTCACCTCATTTGCCCATTTTCTGTTTATCATCTTGTTTCTTATACATTTATGTTGGTTGTCTTCTCGTTACTTTATGTTAGCTGAGTAAAAGTTCCCTCCACCCAAATTCTCTTGCCTTTTATTCCCAATAAGACCCCTTGCTTATTAAGCCTGATGCTTGCTCATGCTATTCCTTTTTTACATGACATAACTTTCTTTTTTTCTTTTTCTTTTTTTTTTTTTTTTTTGAGACGGAGTCTCGCTCTGTCGCCCAGGCTGGAGTGCAGTGGCGGGATCTCGGCTCACTGCAAGCTCCGCCTCCCGGGTTCACACCATTCTCCTGCCTCAGCCTCCCAAATAGCTGGGACTACAGGCGCCCGCCACTACGCCCGGCTAATTTTTTGTATTTTTAGTAGAGACGAGGTTTCACCGTTTTAGCCGGGATGGTCTCGATCTCCTGACCTCGTGATCCGCCCGCCTCGGCCTCCCAAAGTGTCTTTTTTTCTTTTTAATAGAGATGGAGGTCTTGCTATGTTGCCTAGACTGGTCTATGAACTCCTGGTCTCCAGTGATCCCCCTGCCTCAGCCTCCCAAAGTGCTGGGATTACAGGCATGAGTCACTGGTGCCCAGCCTTATGTATCATAACTTTTTTACAATAGTTCTACCTTTACTTTTTACAGTGCTACTCCTCTTTTAGTCTTTATTTCATATTTTCATTTGCTCACTCATTCAACAAACATGCCAGTTAATAAGACCCTGGTCCCTGTCCTGTGGCACTTAGGAGGGTCAGATGAAATGCTACTTTTTGCATGAAGCCCTTCCTGACCTCATTAACTGGAAGTAATACCTTTCTGTCCTGATGCCCACAGATGTACTGTTACATTTAAAAGTTTTTCCATGTTTTTTTTTTCTATTCAAGATAGATTATAAACTCCTTGAGGCAGGGACAGCTAATTGCATGGAAGTAATCAATTATAGTAGAATATCAGATGTGTTAGGCATTAAATTGCTTGTTTTAGTCAGATCACTAAAATTTTGATTTCACTAATAATCAGTTGGGGTGTAAGTGCAAAGCTAAGATTTGAATTCTAATTGTGACACTAAAGCCTTAACTATTATATGCATTAACTATTATATGCTTAACTATTATATGCATTGTTCCATAGTGTTTGGTTTCACATTTATCAGTAATATAACCTTGACCTTTTGTTATTTATTTATGTTTTTGACCAGAGACCCATCTATTTTGGATAGTTTAGATTTGAATGAAGATGAACGGGAAGTACTCATTAATAATATTAATAGGCGCTTGACCCCACAGGCTGTCAAAATTCGAGCAGGTAAATGATTTTTTAAATGATTTTTACAGTATTTTGCATGCATCAAAAAAGCTATTAAATAATGAGACTTACCAAAGAATATGTTGCTACATCAACATCTATAAATTTTTCTAAATGGTTGTTTTTTATAACAAAAGCTTAAGAAATTATTTTGGCTTCTGAATCATAAAATTTATATATTGACACAAGTAGAAACAGTCTTGTGAGTTCAGCTAACCTAAAGGTAGCCCTTTTTTTAAAAAGAGGGGTTTGATTGTTTTGTTTTAGTGCATACTTTAAAATATTCCAAATTTTTACAAAGATGAGACATACCATGCGGAATTTTCTCCAACTAGCCTTTTCCACCCAGTGTATCATAGGTACCCTTCCATTGCAGAACATAGGAATCTTTCTCATTCTTTTTTATGCTGGGTAATGTTTCATAGAACAGATAAACCTTAACATAAACCCGTCCCCTCCTGATGAACATTTAGGTTGTGCCAGTTTTCTCACAGTTACAAAAAAATGCTACAAATTAGCACCCTTATATTATACATACTTAACCATTTACACAAATGTTCTTCAAGACAAATTCCTAAAAGTAGAATTTCTGAGTCAAAGGGTAATGCAATTTCTAAACCGTTTTAGATAAGTTGCAGTTATTGTTATATTCCATCTTTACCACACTCCTCCTTGCCTCCCTTTTATAAATAAGGAACTGCAGTATAGAGAGGTTGGATTCAGTATAAGTATTTGAATACTAATATATCTGCCACGTGTTTGATTTCCTTTAAACTTTTAAATATTTTTTGCATTTTTTATCAACTTTTGAATTTTTGTAATTGTAGATATTGAAGTGGCTTGTTATGGTTATGAAGGCATTGATGCTGTAAAAGAAGCCCTAAGAGCAGGTTTGAATTGTTCTACAGAAAACATGCCCATTAAGGTGAGTCATGAGTTGTCTCCCTCCCTGCTGAAATGCTCACCTAAACCAAATAGGATCTTTGATCTTTGTTTCTTTTTTTTTTTTTAATCACATTTCATAACAAAAGTGGGTTTTTTACTCTTAAAATTGAGCAGTGGTTCTTGGTAATATTTCTAGATGTTTGTGATTTATGTTTAGGCTTTGTTGGTTTCTACTGTTACTATCACAGTGGATGGAGATTCCTATTGGTAGAAAGCCAGCGATGCCAAACCTCCTTTACAATAAAGAGTTGCTGTGCCCAAAATACTGAGAGCACTTTAAAAAAGAGTAACACTTTCTTCTATCTGTACACATACAAGTTTTATGAGGTTTGATCAGAATCTTTCATTAGTGATAAAATTAACTGGATGGCTGTAACTCAGAAGGATTCTTCCATCAGTTTAGTTCAGAGACAAATTATCCATTATACTGATGATAATTGCAGTTAGTTTAGCCACCAAAGATACACGGAAATGATAATTCTTTCTATTCAGTATCGCAGTGAACTGTTTATACTATTGCATTAGATCCCTGTGTTGATTTGCTTTTGCTACATTAACAAATCACCCCAAAACGTAATTGCCAATTCTGTAGGACCCTAAATTACTGTCCTGTAGAATTGGCAATTACGTTTTGGGGTGATTTGTTAATACAGCAGATTAATAAAATCTCAAGCATCCTAATAGTTGTGGGTTCTGTAGGTACATTCATAAATGAATTTTTGTCTTTCTCTTTTAGATTAATCTAATAGCTCCTCCTCGGTATGTAATGACTACGACAACCCTGGAGAGAACAGAAGGCCTTTCTGTCCTCAGTCAAGCTATGGCTGTTATCAAAGAGAAGATTGAGGAAAAGAGGGGTGTGTTCAATGTTCAAATGGAGGTGAGATCAATAGATTCATTTTTAATAATGACTCAGGAGGTTCCTAAAAGGAGTTCTTGTAGGTAAATAAGAGCTGTCGGCCTTGGAATGTCATATTGTAGGATGGTCATTCAGGCCTTTGATCACTAATGGTGTTAGGGTCACCCCCCGTCCCCAGCCAGGGGGAAGGGAATAAACAATATAAATGAGAAGTTTTTTTATGGTTTGAATTTGCATGTGGCATGTCTAAAATTTGATCTCAGAATTGGAGAAAAAAAAAGTTGTCTCCTGTCTTTTCCTTGTCCAACAAGAAAGAAGTGTGTGTACGTGCGTGCGTGCGTGTGTGTGTGTGTGTGTGTTATGGTTCCTTCTATGGAAAGGACTAGTAAGCTAGTAAGTAGTAGTTTGAGCCTGGAAGACAGGTTTTTTTAACAGGATATCTATTTGTGGTCTTGAAAGATACAGCCATTGGGGTTATTTCATGTTTTCAGTTTTAGCTTATAAAAATGACAGAAAATAATTTTCCATTTTAATACATACATCCTTTTTCTATACTATTCTCATAAGTTTCACCTCTTATTTATGTAATGGAATTTATTGCTGATAAGTCACTCAAAAGTGAACAGATATGACAGAGTTGTTAGAAAAGTGTTAAAGAGAGAAAACATTAGGCAGTAATAGTATTGAAATTAAATTTGTATAGTATTTACTACTTCAGTTTGAAATTATACCTCTGCTTCCACAGCCCAAAGTGGTCACAGATACAGATGAGACTGAACTTGCGAGGCAGATGGAGAGGCTTGAAAGAGAAAATGCCGAAGTGGATGGAGATGATGATGCAGAAGAAATGGAAGCCAAAGCTGAAGATTAACTTTGTGGGAAACAGAGTCCAATTTAAGGAACACAGAGCAGCGCTTCCTGGCTGTAAATCCTAGACTTGAAAGTTTTCCAGTATTGAAAACTTCAAAGCTGAATATTTTTTATTTCTAAGTATTTAAATGTTCTAACAGATCAGAACATGAAATGCCCTCCTAAATGTCAGCTGTTGTCACACAGTAGCTCCAACACTTTGAGCATTTTTAAGGGAGTGGCCTCATTTCACTAGAGACAAATCTTTAAGAATAGTTCTAAAATTGGGCTTGTGATTTCCATTTCTGATGTCTCCAGATTGGCACCCCTTTCTAGTTCAATGCCTCACGAGATTTGCCAGGGGCATCCAAGGCAAACAATCCCAATCTTTCTATATAAAATGTATTCAAGCAAACATCAAATAAATTTCTGGGATATTTAACTATAGGCTTCTTCCTTCTTGTCACCAGTTAAAAGCATTTTAATACTAAGACCCTAATTCTTTTATCTTTATTTTAGTCTTGATGTGGAACTGTAGGAGCAGGTGAATAAAGGATCTCTATAACAGATCCTTTCAAAAGAAGAGTTTTAGAGAAAATAAATTTAACTTTAACCACAGTGAAAGTTGACCCTTAGCGGGACAAAGCCTTAAAATGCATTGAAAGAATTAGATCGGTTCTGTGCCTTTTATCTATTTGAGATTGATGACAACCTGTGTGAGAGAATTTATCACACCACGTCCTTATTGGAATAATAAGCTACTTGCCTTGAGTTTATAATTCAGGGTGGTAAAGTATGTTTTTAAATTTTAAAAAGCAGCTGCATTTTTTATTTAGTTGGAATATCACCCAATTTTTTATTTTTATTGCTATTAAAATATCCACTAGATGCCACCTAGAGCTCCAGTTCTTTATAACAAAACAGGGATCTGTTTGAACACTTACTGTTGTTTTTTTTTTTTTACATGTTTCCATCATTTCTGTCTTTAAGAACTAATTCGTACATAATAAGTTTCATAGGTAACACATTATTTGAAGTTACAGCTACAGTAGTCAGGTGTAGAAAATCTTGAGTTGCTTTGGTCTGCTTGTCTTCATAAATTTATTCTCTTATGATACTTGAGGTACCAGTTGTATTTAATTTTATTCATTATCCCTAGATAGCTATTAAGATACTTAGATTAGACCTAACCCACCATAGTCAATCCAAGACTAGACTACTCAATATTAAAGGGTCTGGAAAATAGAAGAGTGTGTTGGGCAGGTAGTTTGTACCATTTATGAAGGTTTGTTCCTTTGTTAAATTTAGCAGCCTGTACTAGCTTTTGAAATCCAGAAGTTTTAACTTCCAGTGGCTGGTTTCTGAGAGAGTGCCATGATTGCTAGCCAGCATTCCATATTGGGAATATGTAGAGGAGAACCTGGATGTACTTAAGAGTGGCATATAATTTTCACTTCTGTCTGTTGAGGCATCAAAAAAACAAGTTTAGAAAGCTGGCAACATGAAGAATGCATTCAAAATATAACAGGTGCTTCTTTGTTGTACGCAGAGGAATTTTTTCTTTTGATTTTGTTTACTGAAATTTGTTATACTTCAAAAGCCATAACTTGAAAAATACTGGTGGCGTCGATGGTGAGTGATTTTTATCCCACGTGGGCCTTTTGCTCAGTTCCATGGCAATTTTGTAAATTGACCCTAGCCAGAGAATAGATCAGTATTTCACTGATACCACGAGGAAAAGAACAAACAAAACTTAAAAGTATTCATACACCTTGCTAACCTAAAAGACAGCAGGGACAAGATACATATGAGGACAAGGTATACACCCAGTTCTGAATAACTTGAAGAACAGGCTTGGCAAAGAAGTAAGTTTATCCAAATCTTGAATTTCTGCCAGGCATGGTAGCTCATGCCTGTAACCCTGGCACTTAAGGGGCCAAGGCAGGAGGATCACTTGAGGCCAGTGAGCTGTGATCACTCCAGTGCACTCGAGCCTGGGTGACAGGGCAAGACCCTGTCTCAAAAAAAAAAAAAAAAACCAAAAATCTTGAATCTCCCATCAAAGCCTTTTCATTAAAAATACAATTTCATCTACTCCCTACTGTACCTTTCACTGATGTCAAGTGGCTATCAATTCATATAGCTGAAAATTAGTGATAGTTTGGGTCTCATTTATGCATAAATTAATTGAAAATCAGTAATGGCCAGGAAGAAATATGAATATTCAAACCACTTTTTTCTTTTTTTTTTTTTTTTTTTGGCAAATGGTGTTATATTGCCTGGGCAGGTCTCGAAATCCTGGGCTCAAGCTATCCTCCTGCCTCTGCCTCTGTAAGAGTGTGAGCCACCATGCCCCACCCAAACCATTTTTCATATCAGTTATAGCAAAACAAGACAAACCAGTTCTTAATAATGTTCAAAGTTGGACCCATAGAGACATGCTAAGCACTACATCATGCTAAGAAGAACAGTTATTACTCAGCTGCCATACTTCAGCCATTCTACTTTTACACCAAGAACAAAATGGCTAGAGATTTTTTTAAAAATACAAATGCCAGTACCTTGCCGAGACTTGTTCACTGATTTGCCCCAACCCCAAGGTAATGGTCATCTACTTTGCAACCTATGGAGATCCTGATAGCTCCCATACAAAGTGAGGTACACTGTTGCCAATTTGGAGGCAGGAAGCCATCAAACTAAACGTAGTTTAATTCAGATGAACACCTATCGATATTCAAAAGGCAAAACAAAAAAACTAATTCCAGGGACATTAGACCTTGGTGAAATGCCAAATGGAAAATGGTGCTTTAAAAGGTAGTCTCTTACCATATAAGGAATAAGTAAAACATTAGCTTGTGATTTCTCATTATTCAGGTCAATGTTTTAGACACGACTAACAAGGGACAGTTCAAACTATTAAAGAGAACAAATTTTTACTTAAGCACTTTGAGGTATCCACTCCCCTTAAATGTAAGTTATGTATTTTATCTGTTGATTAAGGGGAGGTCCAAGCATTTGTACTTGGCAGGAATGCTGGCAATAGCTTGTGCCAGATTACTGTATAAACTTGAAAGTAATAAAAATGTTCTTTAAAAGTATTGTATGATACAGACTTTTCACTACAGATTAACCTTCCAACTGGTGAAGTTTCTTGGTACCTATTTGTCTCAGCTTATATTCATTTTAAAACCAAAATTTAATGCCTTGATATAAATCTTCCCCATTTACATCTTTTTCTGTCCTTTAGAGCGCTCTTACTCTGCATTGCTAAATGCCCATTTTTCATAGAAAAGCTATGTAATGTATTTTTCGTATACGTGATTATGTTCTCCGACAGAGTCCATGACTTCTGTAATGTATAATATTTATGCAGGCTTGTTTTCTAAAGCAAAACAATATTCTCAATGTACAAAGTTTGGCCACCATCCCCACTTTAAGATGAACTATGTCTTAATGACAGAGATACTTGAAACGTTGCTCGAAAACTATAAACTTTGTATGGGATTCTAATAGCTAGAAACAAATTGTCAGCTTTTACTAATTCCAAAGAAGTTAAGAGAGAACCTCATAAGAAGAGAGTTTTATTCAACATTATGGCATGGCCAGTGTAATTGTTCCAACAAAGGGAACCTACTTTGGTGCCCGAGGAAATGGCTGTTTGTGATGCTGGGGAAAAGTCAAGATGCTGACGCCTAATGGCTGTTCTAGCCTTTCCAGGTTTGTAACATGAAGATGGGGAAGGAAATGGCACCACTGCTGTTTGTAATCTGAGGAACTCTTGGCAGCATTCACTCTCCAAAGCAGTACAAAACTTACAAAGAAGTCAAAAGTCTTAACACTCCCATTCTCCAGGAACTCTTGTCTGTGTCATCTGGTAGGAGGGAGGAATCCTGGTTCCCTCAGGTCCTTGTCATGTTAGCTTTTTGATAGCTTCAATCCACTCGGCTCGCTCAGCCTTGCTGCTGGCCTGAATGTAATAGTGTGTGTCATCCTTAGTAATCACTTTGAAGAGGTTTCCCTGGACATTCCCTTTAACCCCTAGGCAGAAAAAAGGGGGAAAAAAATCAGTGATTGAATAGCCATGTCTGCTTTCATCTTGAACCAGCAGAAAGTCAACTGAGACATGGACAAAAACATACAATGATGTATTTATTAAATAAAAGGTTTACAGTTAGAGAATCCTATCAGATGAGGTCCCCTTTTCCTCCCATTCCCTGTCCCTCACCAGTGCCCTAAGGCCTTCCAATGGTTATGTCTGGATATTCCTGGAAGCCCTCTTGCCTGCTCCCTATGCTCAAGATGGTAGCATGCCATAGATCTACCATTTCATTTACATCAAAGAATCCAGTATGTTTATGTTAAAAGCAAGCATAGAATTTGGAGTTTGATCTCAAATTGTTTAACTTATTGGAACCCCAGTTTCCACAGACACAAGATGGGAATAATATCTTCTTACTATGGCTGGCTATTGTGAAATTAGTATTATGATACATATTAAGGTATGTTGTTAACCCTAAAGCATTGTGTAAGCCTCACCTATTATTTTTAGGCGGAAGCTTATGGGCCATCAGCACAGAAACTGAGGGGAAAGATTATTAACATAAGGATTACTTAGTTGTATTCTTAAAACGCCAAGAACATACCCTTTGTTCAATTCTGAAATTCACTTCAAAACTCACACCACTCTGTCTCATGGAGAAAGCCCTGCTCGGCTCCCAAAGCTGTCATTTCATTAGTGGGACATTACTGAGGTGCAGGAGGGAGGCCCCTGAGATCTTCAGGCCAGGGCTGAAGTTGTACCTTACCAGTGGGAACGCCATTATCTTCCAGAGCAGACACGAGTGAACCACGAAGAGAAAACCCACCCACTGGCCTGTTCTCTTCCTGTAGAGGAAAGGAGACCCAATTAGGAATTTGTGAATGAACAAAAGGGAAGAGTTGCACTCCCCTTACAACTCAGGCCAGCTAAAGAAGTGAGTGCAAATCATTTGTAATAGAAGATGAAGCTGAACTTGGACATCACATGGCCAAAGCTGCATGCATCAGTAAGGAAGCTTGGGCCTCTTCATTTCACAGCCAGCAGCAGTAGTGCCCATCAATGTTGCAGTTACCAAGTCTCACAGACTTGCAAATCTGCTTTTCATTCCTGGAGATGTCTCAAACAGAGCCTCTGATCCAATATGCTACCCGGAAAAACATTCACTGGCTTCCTTAACCCTTGTGTGCATCTTACAAAGCAATCAGAAATATATATTTATAGTAATCATTTCTTTTTTTTTGAGACGGAGTCTCACTCTGTCTTTCAGGCTGGAGTGCAGAGGCACGATCTCGGCTCACTGCAACCTCTGCCTCCCAGGTTCAAGCGATTCTCCTGCCTCAGTCTCCCGAGGAACTGGGATTACAAGCACACGCCACCACACCTGGCTAATTTTGTATTTTTAGTAGAGGCAGGGGTTCATCACCTTGGCCAGGCTGGTCTCAAACTCCTGACCTCAAGTGATCTGCCCTCCTCAGCCTCCCAAAGTGCTGGGATTACAGACATGAGCCACTGCACCCAGCTATAGTAATCATTTCTGCAAAGTTGATAGATTCCTGCACATAGGACATCGTTACACAAATCTAGTATGTGCCTAGCAAGAAACTTCGTGTGATACAAAACTGCGATTGGTGGTATCCCTGGACGATTCAGGGCAACTTTACACACCTCGTGCCTCAGGCCCTAGGAGCCCTTCAATTAATCAATAATCAACTTCATACTGCATGTTGGGCCCAGCAAGAGGTAGGGCAAAAAATAAAATGGTTAAATAAAATACTGGAAATATTTGTACTACTAAATGCCAACGGGAGGAAAGTTCAGAGAAGGAAGGGATCCGCCCCAGCCTGGAGGGTTCAAGGGCAGTCTCAGGGAGGACAGGAGAGTCCTGTCCTGGATAGGAGAGTAGGTCCCCAGGACAGGAGAGGGGCATTCAGCCTAAACAGGAGGAAGAGTGGGAGTAAAGTGCGGAACAAATTAATTGCAGAATGCTTTTGAGATGGTTCCTTATCTTGTACCTGCAGCCCAGAGATTTGGCAATTCTTTTATTTCCTTTGCACACTTGCTTTGAGTAATCTCTTCTGCACTGTTTCCATCTATGTATGTATATGAGCATTTGTGCATGTGTACATATATATGTATATATGTATATTTACATGTATATGTATTTATAGATAGGTGTGTATAGGCACGTATGTGTGTGTATATATTTTCTCAGTTTCCTATTTTAAAAGCTGAGACAGCAGACTCATCAGGGGCACAAAGAAAGTAGGTTAGGCTAGACCATGGTGAGAGTTAAATACAAAACTAAAGTGTTTTTTTTCTTTTTTTTTTTTTTAAGTGTTTTTTCATTTGTTTATTTTTTCCTTGCTTCAAACAGGATTTGAGGTAGCCAGAAAGGAAGGAGTTTGAACTCCATCCTGTAGCCAGGCCACCATGCCCCACAGAGAGGTCAACTGGAGCTTTTTGGAGGCTCCTCCTGCCACATCCCTCCCTGGCCCTGGCCTAGCTGGGTCCAGGCAGGGGTTCCTGACTGAAGCTCAGTGAGGAAGGAACTGCCCACTCTTCACTGTTTCAACAAAAACTAATGAAAGTCATACATTGCCCAAGACAAGGCTGAACAGCTAACTAAAGGGCCCTTTTTCTTTGCTTTTGACTGGAATTAGATCCACTTAGCATGTGGTAATACCTAGTATCAGAAACATAAAAATGATTTTTTTTTAATTTGCCATCAAAGTTTTTTAAAAAGCAAATTAGTAAATTATGGCTTAAATATTATATGGTGACAGAAACTTTTCAAAACATAGGTGGGGAAAAGTGGAGGGAGGCAGAATTAATGGGATCTTTGAATGGAAAGTGTGGAGAGGCTGGGAAGTGCCAGTAGGAGTCTCTGTCAGCCTACCTCATCCTCCCTACTCACAAAGCAGGCTTTGGGGAAGACCAAAAGATGCTTTTCCTCTGAAAATGATAAAGATGCCCTCCCATGGGAAAGTGGGGGATTAGGCATGGAAGAAACGGCTCAAGAAGCAGGCACCTATGTGATGACAGGGCAGAGCAGCTTGGACTGTGGAAGGAAAGGCATGGTGCAGCAGACTTTACGGCGGGTGCCAGGGGAAGGCAGGATATCCAGCCAGCTGCCCGCCATGCCAGGAGAGGAGTGTCTGGGGGCATCACAACATGGGACCAACATGGAGCCAGCATGCGCACTCACTTTGGAAGGGTCATAGTAATGCAGGAAAGCTGGATCCTTCCTTAGAACAAAGCGACGCACCTTCCAGTTTTTCCTCTTGTGTCCCTGAGGCAAAGAAATGGTTCAAAGCTCATTGGTGACAGCTGCATGTCCCTCTCTCCTGTATCTATGCATGTAATGCCAAACCCCCAACAAGCCAGCCCGCTCCAATGGGACTACATTCTAAAACCAGTCCACAGGAAACCTGAGGATAGCAATGACATGTCACAGACCTCCCTGCCAACACCCCCACTCAGTGACACTGTAGCAAAAATGCCATCACCTTAAGTCAAGTCAGCAGAGCCAAAGAGAGTCCATGCAGAAGGAAAGGGGACACACAATACTCAGGGCATAAAGGAGGACAGGGAGGCAGCAGGTGTCAGCTGGGCTGGGAGCACACAGGCAAACTTGAACCCAAGGGCACCAGCTAAGGGCCAAGTCAGTCCAAAAACAAACCTACAGCTACATGTATATTTGTCAGTCTACACGTGTGCCCACATGTGCAGTAAAACCACTTTCACATTGTGCATTAGGAAAAAAGCAAGAAACGATCAATTATATGATAAAATCTAAATGTGTAAGCAGCTGATATGTGTGTGTGTGTGTGTGTGTGTGTGTGTGTGTGACTTTCTTTGGCCTCACTGACCAGGAGGGCTAAGGTTAGATCACAAACCTTAGCCCTCCTAGTCAGGAACACCCTCAGAGTCCCTCCCACACCCTCCTCAAGCTCCCCTAGGGGCCTCTCTTCCTCCCCTCGGGAAGGACTCCTATCAGGCCCAGCAGAAGCAGGGCCTTGGTGTAGACAGGCAGCAGTGGGGATGATAAGAATCTAAGAGCAGATGAGGATCCTGATATGCAGGAAGCAGGTGACAGCAACAGCACATGCTCCGAGTAACGATGGGAGTGGTGCCGAGCCGTGTAGGTGCCCTCTGTGCAGACACACACATTCACATGGTATACAATATGTGCACAAACACGAAGGCTGTGCAAAATGTCTGCTACACTTCCTGGGCCAAGGACAGGTGATTTTGTTCACAGAATACCCTTTTTGTTAGGCACAGGTAGGAATGCCGCAGGACACGGCTTGCCTCTGGTTCAACATAGCTGCTCTCCCAAACACGGTTTAGGAGTAGTGGCCATGGCCAGGCTTTGAATAGGGAGCCTTACAGTGGAGAATCTGATCTTCAACCTACCGACATGGTGGAGAAAATTGTTTTTAGCTCAGAAAGTGTATCAAGGAGGCGTGCAGAATCTCACAAGGGAAGGCAGAGACCCCAGGACGCCCCAAGGAACAGAAGGCCAGCAAATGCAAAACCTCAAGCCAGTCAGCAAAAGCTTCCAAGACAAATATGTGAAGCTGGGCAATTGTGTAGAAGTTGTTTTTTGATGTTGTGATAATTGTGTGTGTGTGTAGTACATTTTTCCCGAACAGCCCTTGTGTCTGGTACACATGTGTGTGTGAGTGTGGGCATATGCCTGTTCTTTGACTTGCTCCTGGAGGCTGGTGCTGGGCTCTTGCTTTCGTAGATTTTGCTGTAATTGGTGCCCTCCAGCAGCCTCAGCCCTTCCCTTCTTCTGGGCTCACTGCTCCCTCCCCTAAGCTTGAGAACTGTCCATCTCTCTTCCCTGCTCATAGCAGCCATACCTGCTTGGCCAGGTAGCCTTGTTTCACCACCGTGCCACTTAACTCCACAGTGCTCAGGCTAATTTCTTCCTTGGGGCTTATCTTCTTTTTGTAGCTCTCAGCCTAGGGGGAAGGAGGGAGCAAGGACTCTGCTACAGAAAAGACCCAGGCCCAGGCTATGGCGGCTGTCAGAGGGGAAAGGAAATTCCTCAGGACAGGAACCTCATTCTGCATCAGGATGAAGTCGTCCCCCAAGCCCAAGGTCTCCTCCCATGACTGTGGCCCCCAGGCCCCCATTCTGTTGTGTCTTCCTTAACTTTTGCCCTGGTGGCAAGAAGAACCCACTCCCCAACTTACAAAAGTGTACAGGGCTGTGGAGTCATCCAGGAACTGCTCGGCCAGATCCCCAGAGCGAATGGCTCCCATGCTTCGGACACCCACAGGCCTGAGGAAGTTCTCCTCCATGAGCATGGAGGCCAGGGTCACCGCCTCCAGACGGCTGGCCGTGAAGCTGTTGGAGATGAGCCAGTCCACCAGGGAGGAGCCTGGCCAAGGGCAGCACCAGTCAGGCGATGGGTGATGGACCAGCGTCCTTGGGGTGTGTGGCCAATGACCTCACTGACCTTGGCCCTCTGGGCAGCCTCAGGGCTCTACGCAAGAGCAGACTGAAGGCCACACCTGCTGCATAGAGCCGTGGCTGCACACCCACACATGGCCATCTCAGGCTAGCCTGTTGCCCAGCAGGCAGCTCTGACCTCAATACAGGGCGGTCAAGCACACAGCTGAGCCCTGCATCACCATGTCCCAGCTTGACTGCCCAGCCCGGCCCTGGGGGACAGGCTCACCGAGGAAGGTCTTTTTATAGGTGCTTCCCTGCTCCATGTTGGGGCTTGAACGGATTCCGGTGTTGCTATCGTGCATCTTGTCCACAATGCGACTACATGGAAGGGAAGGCAAAGGAGAGGGAACCCTCATCACGCGGGCAGGTATAAGGGAGGGTCCTGAGTCACTGCTAAGGGTATAAAGCAAGTGGCAAATGGTGTGACACACATCACAAAGAAAAGGGGTGTAGGAAAGCAGCCTTTTGAATGGCAAGAGTGATGCCATCTTGAAGTGAAGCCGCCATGATGATTGATTTTTGTTGTTGTTGTTTTTTGTTTGTTTTTTGAGACAGAGTCTCGCTCCGTCACCCAGGCTGGAGTGCAGTGGCAAGATCTCGGCTAACTGTGACCTCCGCCTCCCAGGTTCAAGTGATTCTCCTGCCTCAACCTCCGGAGCAGCTGGGATTACAGACATTTGCCACCACACCTGGCTAATTTTTGTAGTTTTAGTAGAGATGGGGTTTCACCATGTTGACCAGGCTGGTCTCGAACTCCTGACCTCAAGTGATCCGCCTGCCTCAGCCTCCGAAAGTACTGGGATTACAGGTGTGAGCCACCGTGCCTGGCCTGATGATGGATGTTTGACTCCTGCATACCACGGTGTTCCCATAGCACGGCTCACCCCTCATAAAGATGTTTATCTAACCTCCCCAGTGGTCACAGGTTTCACAAGAAAGTCTGAGGCACCACTAGCTGCACATTTTCCCAAAAAAGCTTGCTATATAAAGGATATTTTCTGGAAGACAAGTGTGGTGATTCGCTGTCTCTAGGCCAGCAGGGACATCACTTCTGTTTGTAAGTCCCTATTAAATGCCTCTTTGTGAGAAACTGGAATTGTCAGCCTCTTTCTCCTGCCTCTCAGCTCCCCTTGCAGGTAGGTTTGTTTATACCTCCTCACCACAGAACAGGGTGTTCAGTTATGCCTCCAAATTTGAGAGGCAGGATTTTCAGACATTTCTTTTCTTCTCCTTATCTAAATGTTCTTATATTTCTATGCCAGACACACACTGCTTTTGTAGTAAAACCAAAGAGGTGTGACTTTTAACTTACAAACAAGAGTGTATGCTGGGCACAGTGGCTCATACCTGTCATCCCAGTGCTTTGGGATACTGAGGTGGGAGGATCACTTGAGCCCAGGAGGTCAAGGCTGCAGTGAGCCATGATCGAGCCACTGCACTCCAGCCCGGGCAACTGAGTGAGACCCTGTCCCCAAAAAAGAAAAACAAAAAAGCCCCAAGAGTGCACAGTAGCCCACATGGTTCTCTGTGATCCCCTGCATTAAGTCCAAACCCCCTCAGCTACTTTTCCAACTATCTTTAAACCCACCTGCCTACCCACCTTTATCTGCAGCTGATCCTCCCTGCACCCACCTAGACCCATAGGAGGTGTACAGTCAAGATTTCAGTGCCTGGTGGGGAGTTTTTGTGAGCCCAGGAATGGATTCATACATCTTTGATGGGTGTTAACAGTTCTTTTGCCTGGGAGGTTGGTGGAGATTTACTGTGGTTTGAATGTTTATCCCAAAACTCATGTTGAAAATCCCCAATGTGGCAATATTGAGAGGTGATGCCTTTAAGAGGTGATTGGGTCATGGGGGCTCTGCCCTTGTGAATGGATTAATGGGTTAAATGAATTAATGAATTATCATGGGAATGGGACTGGTGGCTTTATAAGAGGAAGAGAGATCGGAGCAAGCATGTTAGCATGCTCAGCCCCCTCACTGTGTGATGCCCTGCACTGCCTCAGGACTCTGCAGAGAACTCCCACCAGCAAGAAGGCCCTCACCAGATGCAGCCCCTCAACCTTGGACTTCCCAGCCTCTATAATGATAAGAAATAAATCCCTCCTTATGAGTTACCCAATTTCAGGTATTCTGTTATAAGTAACAGAAAACAGACTAAGACGAGATTTTGGGGGAGCTGTGACACAGCCCTGAGCACCCTGGCTGAAATGGAATGGGGGTCTTGTGTCATGGAGGTGTGCAGAGGTGGCAAGAGCCACGAGAGATCCCATAGGAATGGGGCAGGTAGGTAGGGCCACTCCCAAGCAGAGAAAATAATATACACAGGACAGGAACAGCTGAAGGCCCTGAAGCACCGTGGTGGCACCAGCCAGACTGTGCAGCAAGCACAGAGCCCCCCCAAGGGGCAGGGTCCCCTGCCCACCCAACACAGGCAGGAGAGGCTGCCACAGAGCCCGGCAAGTGGGGCACTCACTGCAGGCTGATGTGCGGGGGCAGCTTGAAGGAGTTTCTCAGGCTGTGCAGCTGCTGGACCTTCCCCGGCTGCCCTGCATGAATAGCCCCGGTGATCTCAAAGGCCCAGGCATCCCGCTCCTCTCGAGAACAGGCCTCCAGGAAGTACTCCGTGGATGTTTGAGTCTTCAGCTTAATGAGGAGCTGTGGGAAGAGAGAGCCAGTCAGGCCAGCACTCAGGCAGAGCAAGAGGACGCCGGGCAGCAAAAATGACGGGGCCCCGGGAGAATCTAGGTGACAGTGACTGCCAAATGCCCTGAGCCCTCGGCCACATAGCAGGTAGTCTTTAAAGATTCACTTGGACACCTCCAGTGACAGGAAGCTTGCGGCCTCACACTGCAGCCTTTCCCTTGTGGACAAGGTAGTTACTGTAGGGCCTGCCTCCTGGACACACTAGTTCTGTTCTCTCTTCTAGAACCACACAGATGAAGACTCACCTCCTATGACAGCCCCTACACTGAAGAGGGAAATGCCCAGGCTTTAAAATCAGTCCCATCTGAACACAAACCCCAGCTCTGCCACTTGGCTGTGGACTCCCGGGCACATTAGGAAATGACAGGATATTAATGCCTACCTCAAATGGCCTGTTAGTCATGCTCCCTTCCGTCCTCTTTCCTGTGTCTAAGCATCAAGTCTTTCACACATTTCTCATAGGATATAGTTTCAGCTCCTTCCCATCCAGGTCGCTTTGTTTTTTTGTTTTGTTTTGTTTTTTGTTTTTTTCTTGAGACGGAGTCTTGCTCTGTCGCCCAGGCTGGAGTACAATGGTGCAATCTCAGCTCACTGCAAACTCCGGCTCCCAGGTTCAAGCAATTCTCCTGCCTCAGCCTCTTGAGTAGATGGGACTACAGACGCCCACCACCCCGCCTGGCTAATTTTTGTATTTTTAGTAGAGACGGGGTTTCACCATGTTGGCCAGGCTGGTCTTGAACTCCTGACCTCAGGTGATCTGCCAGCCTTGACCTTCCAAAGTGCTGAGATTACAGGCATGAGCCAATGCGCCTGGCCTCTAAGAGAGTTTTCATCAGACCATGCTCTCACTCAAAATCTTCAATGGCTCTCCATTACCTCCATCTGGCCCAAACCAAACTCCTATCACTCCTTTGGTGAACATTCCCCTTTGACCACACTGGAGGCCCTTCTCCCCAGAAGCCACACCCACCTCTCTGCATGCATTCTCTTCTTACTTTTACTCAAGACATTCTACCTGTCCAGAATGACTGCCTCTCTCCTTGTTCCATCTTTGCCCACATCTCTATTCCTGAAGCGTTGCCTGACCCAGCCTGAAATATCTTTTTCCTCTTCAGGGATAAAGGGTTTTCTGCAGCTCCTGATAGCTGTGGCATCATTGGAATGCCAAATATTTTTCAATTAACCACTTGCTTTCCCAATAAAATCAGCAACTCTATGAAGAAACAATCTTACCATTTTCTTCCTTGATTCCTCCATGCCTTGCAAATGTCTTGGCACATGATGGGCCCTTGATAAATAATTTATTGGGAGACTTTTTTTTTTTTTTTGAGGAGTCTCATTCTGTCACCCAGGCTGGAGTGCAGTGGCGTGATCTCGGCTCACTGCAAACTCTGCCTCCCAGGGTCAAGCGATTCTCCTGCCTCAGCCTCCCAAGTAGCTGGGATTACAGGCCACTGCGACCACGCTCAGCTAGTTTTTGTATTTTTAGTAGAGATGGGGTTTCACCATGTTGGCCAGGCTGGTGTCAAACTCCTCACCGCAAGCAATCTGCCCATCTCGGCCTCCCAAAGTGTTGGGATTACAGGCGTGAGCCACCACGCCCAGCCTAGACTTTTTTAATGGTAGAGTTGAAGCCACCCCTTACTTCTGGAACGCAGACCCCTCAGGGGATGAAAGCCATCATAGTGAACCCCAAGATAGCAGTAATTACTCACATTTGTGTGGTGCCTGCCTCCCAGCCCATACAGTGCTCTAATACACCGTGACCTTCATGGTCCTCACCACAACCATGTGAGACACTCAGGGGTAATTATTTCATCCCATTTTACAGATGAGGAACGAAGGCTCAGAGAGGTTTAGCTACTTGTCCAAGCTCACATACCTGGTATGTGGCGGAGCCAGGATTTGAATCCAAGTTTTTCAATTCTAACTCTGAGCTCTTCCTCCTACCCACACCACTTTCCCAAAGAGGCCAGAGGTGGGAAGGCTGTGGAACAGAGAGGAGCTGGACAGCAGGGGCCATCACTTACCGGTCGGTTTTCATACTCCAGGCAGGGGCAGGTGATGGTGCAGCCATCCAGGAGGATCCGGCCCTTGGGAGGGGTCACTCTCCGACCCCCCTCAAGCTTGTAGTACACCAGCGTGTTCTGCCGAAGGATGAACCATCGCGCCTTCCAGTTGTGGACAATGTGGCCCTATGGACAGACAAGAAAGCCCTGAGGTGAGGCGGTCAGTGGGAGGGTATGGTGTTCAGGGAGGGGGTGTCTGGTGGCACAAGTAACCAGACTGTGCTGTGGAAATCAGTCTCCAAGGAAGACAGCAGGATTTGTGTCTGGATCTCTTCTGAGTACGTAGCAAAGACCTTTGGCACTGACCTTCTAGTTCCTATTTGGCCATTTCTCTGGTTTTAAATCTTGAAAGAAACTACAAAGTAAAAAGAAGAGAAAAATCACTTCCTGTAATCCTACTGCTAGGAGACAGCCATTGCTAACATATTGTATTTCCTTCCGGTCTTTTTTCCTTTTAGTTTTTGCCTTCTGGTTTTTTAAAAAAATTAAGATTATTTTACATATAGTTTTATTTTCTAGTTTTTTTTGTTTTTGTTCTTGTTTTATAGACAAGGTCTCAAAAGAGACAGGCTGGAGTACAGTGGCATGACCTCAGCTCACTGCAGCCTCCCTTTCCTGGACTCAAGTGATCCTCCCACCTCAGAAAGGGATCCTTTCTGATCCCTCAGCAGACATTTCCCCATCCACTGATTTTTCTAGAAATAGGCTCTCCATGTTCACCTGACTATTCTGCCCATTGGCTCTACCACCCACCTGAGAGCCACCTAAACTACCCTTCTCTTTATTCCTGCCACCTGAGAACCACCTAAATGACCCTTCATTATTTCTGCCACCTGAGAACCAACTAAACTACCCTTCTCTTTATTCCTGCCACCTGAGAACCACCTAAACGACCCTTCTCTTTATTCCTGCCACCTGAGAACCACCTAAACGACCCTTCTCTTTATTCCTGCCACCTGAGAACCACCTAAACTACTTCCCGAGTGGCTGGGACTACAAGCGTGTGCCACCACACCCGGCTAATTTTTAAATTTTTTTGTAAAGACGAGGTCTCACTATACTCCCTAGGCTGGTCTTGAAGAACTTCTGGGCTTCTGTGATCCTCTCACCTTGGCCTCCCAAAGTGCTAGGATTACATGCATGAGCCACCATGCCCGGTCCCTGTTTTGTTTGGCCTTGCTGAACATCTTCTCATACCATTAAATTTCTGTAAAACATATTTTTAATGACGATTATGTGGATACATAGTTTACTTGCCAACTTCTATTGTTTGTAACTGAGGTTGTTCCATTTTTTCCACTGTTCTGTAATGAATATCCTTGCACGTAAATTTTGACCTGCATCTGCTTTTTTTCCTTTGGATATATTCCTAGAAAGAATATTACTAGTCAAAGGATGTGGGCAATATGAGGCCACTTACAGTCTCCCAGTGCTAAGGACTCTGACAGTCTTACCTAGCCAGGTGTGGCAGGCATAAAGAGAAGGGTAGTTTAGGTGGTTCTCAGGTGGCAGGAATAAAGAGAAGGGTAGTTTAGGTGGCTGTCAGGTGGCAGGAATAGAGAAGGGTCGTTTAGGTGGTTCTCAGGTGGCAGGAATAAAGAGAAGGGTAGTTTAGGTGGCTGTCAGGTGGCAGGAATAAAGAGAAGGGTAGTTTAGGTGGTTCTCAGGTGGCAGGAATAAAGAGAAGGGTGGTTTAGGTGGGTCTCAGGTGGCAGGAATAAAGAGAAGGGTAGTTTAGGTGGCTGTCAGGTGGCAGGAATAAAGAGAAGGGTAGTTTAGGTGGCTGTCAGGTGGCAGGAATAGAGAAGGGTCGTTTAGGTGGTTCTCAGGTGGCAGAAATAAAGAGAAGGGTAGTTTAGGTGGCTGTCAGGTGGCAGGAATAAAGAGAAGGGTAGTTTAGGTGGTTCTCAGGTGGCAGGAATAAAGAGAAGGGTAGTTTAGGTGGTTCTCAGGTGGCAGGAATAAAGAGAAGGGTGGTTTAGGTGGGTCTCAGGTGGCAGGAATAAAGAGAAGGGTGGTTTAGGTGGGTCTCAGGTGGCAGGAATAAAGAGAAGGGTAGTTTAGGTGGCTCTCAAGTGGGTGGTAGAGCCAATGGGCAGAATAGTCAGGTGAACATGGAGAGCCTATTTCTAGAAAGATCAGTGGATGGGGAAATGTCTGCTGAGGGATCAGAAAGGAATGAGTTTAGTACACAGTCACAAAAGCACCTTCCTGGGATATTTCCAAAGCCGAGCTTAGGGCTAGGTTCTAACCAACAGAGGTGCTTTACCTGAATCAAAGTCCGTTGCCCCAACTCACTCATTTCCTTGCCTAGTATGGATTCATATCAAAGGCCCTTTTAGTTCTCAATCTCTGGTGCTATGATTCTATTCCACACTCAGCACGTACTAAGAGCTGTTAGAGAGCCAAAAGTTGTAGAAGGAATCGTCTGCACCAAAGTTATTTGTGCATATAACTGAGCTTTGTGAACACTGACTTGAGCCCAAACAGAATTTACTGTGACAACTAAAGAACACTTATAACACAGCTAATCTGACAAGAGTTTATTAACATGTCCCAGTGTTACTATGCTACGTGATGATCACTCTGTTTCCATGAGAGGGTTCATGCAGTCCAGTGGAATTGCACATTTTTGCTCTCTTCACTTTGTTCCTTACTTACATCCACATGTAGTATGGGCATTGAGAGTTTTACCTGACACAAGCAGACATGTTTAAAGAAACAAAAAAGATTTGTCTTTGACTTCTCAGCTATTGGGGTTCTCTACTGCTCTGCACATAGCCCAGCCTCAGGTCCCCATTTCCTATGACCACCCCCCGCCCCAACTGCAGGGGTCCTGGGGCAGCACTAGCAGGACTGGTCTGGGACATCTGGGTGCTTCTGAATCCAAGGCAGTAAACTGCTGGCACCCAAGGCTGTAGCTGGAAGGGAGTGGAGAAGGCAATTAAGTTAATGGTAGGAGGGAGGTGGGAGGTGGAGTAGAGGAGAGGGCAAAAGAATCTTAGGGCTGAGCTCGGTGGTTCACGCCTGTAATCCCAGCACTTCGGGAGGCCAAGGTAGGAGGATCACTTGAGACCAGGAGTTTGAGACTAGCCTGGGCAACATAGTGAAATGCCATCTCTACAAGAAAAAATTAAAAATTAGCTGGGCATGGTGGCACACATCTGCAGTCCCAGCTACTTGGGAGGCTGAGGAGGGACAATCATTTAAACCCAGGAGTTTGAGGCTATAGTGAGCTATGATCACACCACAGCACTCCAACCTGGGTGACAGAGCAAGATTCTGCCTCTTAAAATAATAATAATAATAATAATAATAGTATGGGATGCACTGTGTGTCTGTGTGCCTCCAAAATTCGTATGTTGAATGCCTAGCCCCAGTGCCTGAGACTGGGAATGTATTTGGAGATACATCCCCTTTAAAGAGGGAATTAAATTAAAATGGGGTCATTAGGATGGGCCTTAATCCAATCTGACTAGAGTCTTTATAAGAAAAGGTGATTTAGGTTGGCTGCGGTGGCTCAGGCCTGTAATCCCAGGAATTTGGGAGGCTGAGGCAGAAGGATTGCTTGAGCCCAGGAGTTTGAGGCCAGCCTCAGCAACATAGGAAGACCTCATCTCTATTAATAAAAATAAATAAATAAATAAACAAATAAATAAAAATTAGCCAGGCGTGGTGGCACGTGCCTGTAGTCCAAGCTACTTGGGAGGCTGAGGTGGGAGGATTGCTGGGGCCCAGGAGGTTAATGCTACAGTGAACCAAGATCATGCCACTACACTGCAGCCTGGGCAACAGAGTGAGTCCCTGTCTCTAAAACAACAATAATAATAATTTTAAAAAGAAGAGGAGATTTGGACACACAGCTCACACAGAGGAAAGACCACTCAGGACACAGTGAGGAGGTGCCATCTGCAAGCCAAGGAGAGAGAGGTCTTAGAAGAAACCAAACTGCTGGTACCTTGATATTGGACTTCTATCATGCAGAACCATGAGAAACAAATCTCAGTTGTTTCAACCACCTATTCTGTGATATTTAGTTATAGCAGCCCTCATAAACTAATATGATAGGGAAAGGAAGGAGACTAGTGATATAAGAGGAGAAAAATGCAACCAACAGATATCGGGCAGAAAATACAAATACAGGCCGGCGCGGTGGCTCACGCCTGTAATTCCAACATTTTGGGAGGCCGAGGTGGGCGGATCACCCAACTCCTGAGGTCAGGAGTTCGAGAGCAGTCTGGCCAACATGGTGAAACCCTGTCTCTGCTAAAAATATAAAAATTAGCTGGGCATGGTGGCACATGCCTGTAATCCCAGCTACTCAGGAGGCTGAGGCAGAAGAATCACTTAAACTCAGGAGGCGGAGTTTGCAGTGAGCCAAGATGACAGTGCCACTGCACTCCAGCCTGGGTGACAGAGGAAGAGTCCATCTCAAACAACAACAACAACATCAACAAAAATACAGAGATGTTATACTTTCCTGGACGAAATGTTACATTTCCCAGAGTTTCTTCCACTTAAGGAAGTTTCTGTCAATTCCATGCATGGGGCATTGATGTAATTTTTACTTTAAATTTTTTTATTTTTAATTTTTGTGGGTACATAATAAGTATATATACATGGGGTACATGAGCTATTTTGATACAGGCATACATTGCATAATAATCACATTATGGAGAATGGGGTAT
The DNA here is from genome assembly GCF_000001405.40 of Homo sapiens. Classification (NCBI taxonomy): domain Eukaryota; kingdom Metazoa; phylum Chordata; class Mammalia; order Primates; family Hominidae; genus Homo; species Homo sapiens. The sequence goes on from NC_000014.9 coordinate 67,402,389, forward strand.
CCATCCCCTCAAGCATTTATCCTTTGTGTTACAAACAATCCGATTATACTCTTTTGGTTATTTTTAAACGTACAATTAAGTTATTATTGACTATAGTCACCCTGTTGTGCTATTAAATAGTAAGTCTTTCTCATTCTTTCTAATTAATTTTTTTGTACCCATTAACCATTCCCATCTCCCCGGCAGCCCCTCACCCACCCTTCCCAGCCTCTGGTAACCATCCTTCTACTCTCTAAGTCCATGAGTTGTTTTGATTTTTAGAGCTGGCGAATAAGTGAGAACATGTGACATTTGTCTCTCTGTGCCTGGCTTATTTCATTTAACATAATGACCTCCAGTTCCATCCACATTGTTGCAAATGACAGGATCTCATTCTTTTTTATGGCTGAATAGTATTCCATTGTATATATGTACCACAGTTTCTTCATTCATGTGTTGGAGGACACAGGTTGCTTCCAATCTTGGCTATTGTAAACAGTGCTGCAACAGACATGGGTGTGCAGATATCTCTTCAATATATTGATTTCCTTTCTTTTGGGTATATACCCAGCAGTGGAATTGCTGGATCACATGGTAGCTCTATTTATATTTTTTTGAGGAGCCTCTAAATTGTTCTGCATAGTGGTTGTACTAATTTACATTCTCACCAACAGTGTAGGAGGGTTCCCTTTTCTCCATATCCTCACCAGAATTTGTATTTGCCTGTCTTTTGGATAAAAGCTATTTTAACTGGGGTGAGATGATATCCCATTGTAGTTTTGATTTGCATTTCCCTGATAATCAATGGTGTTGAGCACTTTTTCGTAGACCTTTTTGCCATTTGTATGTCTTCTTTCGAGAAATGTCTATTCAAATCTTTTGCCCATTTTGCATTGATGCATGTTTGGTGGTAGTCAAACATGGGAAAACAAGAAATTTTGGCAAGGGCAGTAGCAAAAGAGCAGATTGTTCTGATACCCAGACTCAGAGTCATCAGGGACAGGTGGCAAACAGAGTCAGCAGTGATGCTTCTAATAGAAACATCTTCAAACAGAAATGACACCAACCTAGTACTGTGGGTGTTTTTGTCTGACTGTATGGTCCCCAGCTCTATGGCATCCCAGCCAAATATTCTCTGTCCTGTCAAATATTCTCAAGTTTGTATATGTCCTCCAAGAAACCCCTTCTGTTCAAAGTCACTAAAGTGGAATGTGTTACAAGCAACTGAGAATCCTAACTGATAGCAAAGGAGAGAAGTCTGAGGAGAAAAACTGATGACAAAAGATGTACTACGTAGACAAGAAATTCAAATAAGCTGGTGGCCCTCATGAAAATGTTCAAATCCTTTGACCCAATAATACCACTTTAGGGATCTCTGTTAAGTAAATAATCTAGAATATGAGGCTGGGTGCAGTGGCTCACGCCTATAATCCCAGCACTTTGGGAGGCCAAGGAGAGAGGATCTCCTGAGCCCAGGAGTTCAAGACCAGTCTGGGCGCTATAGTGAGAAGTCATTTCTACAAAAAAATAAAAAATTAGCTGGGTGTGGTGGCACACTCCTGTAGTCTCAGCCAACTCAAGAGGCTGAGGTGGAAGGACCACGTGAGCCTGGGAGGTCAAGGCTGCAACAAGCTGTGATTGCGCTACCACACTCTAGCCTGGGCAACACAGTGAGACTGCCAAAAAAATTTTTGAAAGAAAATAATATAGATTATAGAAAAGGTTTCATGTATTGACACTTATAGGAACACTGCTTATAATAATGAAAAAAATGAAAAATAATCTAAATATATATGGTAACAACATAGTGCCTGGTGTAGCTGCAGTGCAAGAATTCCAATCCTAAGAGATGGTAGGCCACTGGCACAGCCTTCAAGGTCAGACTCCACAGTCTAAAGCAACAAGAATAGGTGGCAATGTCTTTGACATGAGCAAAGCACTTTTACTCATATTACTTCATATGATACCTAAAAAAACTCTAGCAGCCACATGCAGCTGCAGTCTCAGCTACTCAGGAGGCTGAGGCAGGAGGATTGCCCACGCCTAAAAGTTCAAGTCCAGCCTGGGCAACATAGTGAGACCCTGTCTCAAAAACAAAACTAAACAACAAACCTCTAGTAGTAGTATTTTAGAAAATACTTCTAAATATTTAAAATTTCGAGTTGGGTGTGGTGATTCACACCTGTAATCCCAGCACTTTGGGATGCTAAGATGGGAGGATCACTTGAGCCTAGGACTTCAAGACCAGCTTGGACAACACAGCAATACCTAGTCTCTACAAATAATAAAAAAATTAGTCAGGTGTGGTGACATGCACCTGTGGTCCCAGCCACTCAGGAGGCTGAGGTGGGAGGATCATTTGAGCCTGGGAGGTCGAGGCTGCAGTAAGCTATGATCACACCAATGAACTCCATCCTGGGCAACAGAGTGAGACCCCATCTCAGAAAAAATATATATAGTACATAAGTATTTCTAATACTTATGTATTTCTTGTAGTTTAGAAAATTTCTGGAGGGATACCCCAGAAATGTAAACAATGGTCACCTCTAAGGAGTAAGAGTGGATACAGAGTAATAAGAATGGTGGCCAGGTGCGGTGGCTCACACCTGTAATCCCAGAATTTTGGGAGGCCAAAGTAGGCGGGTCACCTGAGGTCAGAAGTTCAAGACCACCGTGGCCAACATGGCGAAACCCCATCTCTACTAAAAATACAATATTAGCCAGGTGTGGTGGCAGGCGCCTGTAATCCCAGCTACTCAGGAGGCTGAGGCAGGAGAATTGTTTGAATCCTGGAAGTGGAGGTTGCAGTGAGCCAAGATTGAGCTCCAGCCTGGGCGACAGAGCAAGAGTCCATCTCAAAAAAAAAAAAAAAAAAAAAAGAATAGAAACTTATTTTCATTTTCATTTCCTTGAGTACTGTTTTAGTTTGTTTACTTATATGAATGTATTATTTTTATCATGAAAAAATGAATTTAAATTTAAATACACAAAAATCCTGATGAGATGATTAGGGAAATCATTCATTCATTCATTTAATAATCAATGATTAATAATATGGCACCAAGGCAAAGATGAACAAGACTCTGTCCTAATCCAGTGGGGAAGACAGACACCTACCCCACCCAGTATGAAAAGTTCCAGGACAGATGACTGGCATGGCCTCAGTGATCCCCTCCTTCTGGTGTTCACAGCCTTGCATAGTCTCCTTCCACATTTTACTAGGGTTGGTCTGTATGGCAATATGGCAGAGTGATGGTATCCCAATTCTGACATTAGGTTATAAAGGTCTTCTGAGGCTTCTTATTGGCATTCTCTCTCTTTCTCCCTCTGCCTCTCTCCCTCTCTCTCTTTCTGATTATTTGCTGTGGGAAAAGCTAGCTGCCATATCCTAAGCAGCCCAATTGAGAGGTGAGGAGCTGAGGCCTCCAGCCAACAGCCATGTAGGTGAGCTCAGAATTGGACCCTACAGCCAGTCAAGCCTTCAGGTGACTGTCACTCTTGGCTGCAGCCTCACGAGAGACCCTGAGCCAGTCTTGCAGCTACGCTGTTACTGGATATCTGACCCTCAGAAACAGTGAGATGACAAATCTTGTTGTTTTAAGATGCTTGGCCAGGCACGGTGGCTCACACCTGTAATCCCAGCACTTTGGTAGGCTGAGGGCAGGTAGATCACTTAAAGTCAAGAGTTTGAGACCAGCCTGGCCAAAAAGGTTAAACCCCGTCTCTACTAAAAATTCAAAAATTAGCTGGGCGTGGTGGTGGGTGCCTGTAGTCCCAGCTACTCAGGAGGCTGAGACACAAGAATCACTTGAACCCAGGAGGAGGAGGTTGCAGTGAGCCAAGATGGCGCCACTGCACTCCAGCCTCGGTGAAAGAGCAAGATTCCATCTCAAAAAAAAAAAAAAAATGCTAACTTTTGGGATAATTTGTTATACAACAATCAATAATTAATATAGGGCATGATACAAACCCCAAGGAGGAGCTCAGGAGAGGCTGAGGTGGGGTTAGGTACATTCCCAGGAGTGATACTGGGGCTCAGTCTTCCTGGTTGTGTGGAGTTAGGCAGGTCAGGAAGTCAAGGAGGGGTGAGCATAGGACCCCTGCCACTTTGGGGAGACTCCCCGTGGTTCTATATGGCTTGGGCTCCATAGGGGAGGTGATGGGGACCAAGGTGGCAAGGGCTTCAGGTTCTGTGCCACAAAGTTTGATCTTCAAGGGGAGTCCTTGGAGGATTTTAAGCAGAAAGACAGCAAGCTTACGTTCTCATGTTAAACCTATCACTCCGAACACAGCAGCAGAACAGAATAGCCAAAGGAAGCAGGTGAGACTGGAGTGGGGAGCTCAGCTGGAGGCTGCTGGAATAGTCCATGAACCTGGCAGGAAAGCACCACCGGTTCTGCTCTACAGATAAACCACACCATGCACAGAGGGCATAGTGACTGGTCTAAAATCACCAGGCAAAGTGAGTCACAGGCCGATAACACAATGGTATGCTGAAGAAGAACCCAGGCCTCCCTCCACCTGGACACTTGTCCCTGGGCAGAGAGTAGCTTCTCTTTTAGGTTTCTTGTCTGTAATCCGCTGGCTGGAACCAGAGGCCAGCTGAAGCAGGGGGTGCTTGGAGTTCCCTGGATCCCTTTTGGAGAGAAGGACGAGGGGCCCATAAGCTGGAATGGCACCTCAGGGATGGGCTTATGAGACACAGAATGTTACAGCTGGAGAGACCCCAGGAAAAAGCCTCCTTTATTCCTTATTACTATTACTTTTTTTTTGAGACGGAGTCTTGCACTGTCGCCCGGGCTAGAGTGCTGTGGTGCGATCTCAGCTCACTGCAACCTCCACCTCTTGGATTCAAGCAATTCTCTTGCCTCAGCCTCCCGAGTAGCTGGGATTAGAGGCACCCATCACCACACCTGGCTAATTTTTTGTATTTTTAGTAGAGATGGGGTTTCACTATGTTGTCTAGGCTGGTCTCGAACTCCTGACCTCGTGATCTGCCCACCTCGGCCTCCTAAAATGCTGGGATTACAGGCATGAGCCACCACGCCCAGCCCCTAACCTTATTTTTTTTTAATTAAAAAAAATGTTTTTGAGGCAGGGTCTCATTTGGTTGCCGAGGCTGGAGTGCAGTGGCATGATCATAGCTCACTGCAGCCTCAAACCCCTGGGCTCAAGCGATTCTCCCATCTCAGCCTCCCAAGCAGCTGGGACTACAAGCGAGTACCACCATGACTGGCTAATTATTTTATTTTTTGTAGAGATGAGTTCTCATTTTGTTGCCTAGGCTGCTCTCGAACTCCTGGCCTCAAGCAATCCTCCCACTTTGGCCTCCCACATTGTTGGAATTTACAGGTGTGAGCCACCACACCCGGCAGACCCCTAACTTTAAAGATAAGGAAACAGAGGCACAGAAAGGTCTTGCCCAAGGCTCTATAACCCTGAGAAAAGCAGAGATGCCAGCTGGGCCCAGTGGTGTGTACTTGTAGTCCCAGCTACTTGGGAGGCTGAGCCAGGAAGTTCGCTTGAGCTCAAGAGCTCAACATTGCAATGCACTATGATCACACCTGTGAACAGTCCCTGTGCTCCAGCCTGGGTAACATACTGAGACATTGTCTCTTGAAAATAAAATAAAATAGAGGGCCGGGCATGGTGGCTTACACCTGTAATCCCAGCACTTTGGGAGGCCAGGTGGGTGGATCACCTGAGGTTGGGAGTTCAAGACCAGCCTGACCAACACGGAGAAACCACGTCTCTACTAAAAATACAAAATTAACCGGGCGTGGTGGTGCATGCCTGTAATCTCAGCTACTCAGGAGGCTGAGGCATGAGAATCACTTGAACCTGGGAGGCAGAGGTTGCAGTGAGCCGAGATTGCACCATTGCACTCCAGCCTGGGCAACAAGAGCAAAATTCGGTCTCAAAATAAATAAATAAAATAAAATAAAATAAAATAAAATAAAATAAAATAAAATAAAATAAAATAAAATAAAAAAAGAAAAAACAAAGATGGGATGATACTTGCTATGGGTTGAATTGTATTTCCCCAAAAAAGATACACTGAAGTCCTAACCTCTGGACCTGTAAGTGTGATGTTATTTGAAAATAGGGTCTTTGCAGATGTAATCAAGTTAAAATGAAGTCACCCTAGACTAGAATGGGCACTAATCCAATTGACTGGTGTCCTTATAGGAAGAGGAAAATTTGGACACTAAGAGACACATAGGGAGAGGATGGTCACGTGACAACAGAGACAGTGGTTGCACTGAAGTATTTAGAAGCCAGGGAATGCCAAGGGTTGCCTGCAAACACCAGAAGCTAGGAAGGATCCTCCTCTACAAGTTTCAGAGGCAGCACGGCCCTGGCAACACCTTGATTTTGCACCTCTAGCCTCCAGAACTCCTTCTGCTCTTTTTCTTCTACGCATATTTTTTCTTTACTCATACATTTTATCACTTTACTCTTCGGATTTTAATACTATAAACATATTCAACATCTGCATAACCATAATTTAATTAGTCATTTGGTGGGGACAGACAGGTGGTTTTCAGTTTTTTCGCCACATAAATGATCCTTTATTGGCCAGGCGCCTATAATCCCAGCACTTAGAGAGGCCAAGGTGGGAGGATCGCTTGAGCCCAGGAGTTCAAGACCAGCCTGGGCAACATGGTGAGACATTGTCGCTATAAAAAAAAAAAAAGAAATAAAAAAAAAGCAAAAAACAAAACATTAGCTGGGTGTGGTAACATGTACCTGTAGTCCCAGCTACTAGGGAGGCTGAGGCAGGAGGATTGCTTGAGCCTGGGAGGTCAAGGCTGCAGTGAGCCTTGCTGATGCCACTGTACTCCAGCCTGGGCAACAGAGTGAGACCCTCTCTAAACAAAATAAATAAGTAACAGGGGGGTGTGGTGACTCACACCTCTAATCTCAGCACTCTGGGAGGCCAAGGCCAGGGGATCACTTGAGCCAGGAGTTTGAGACCAGCCTGGGCAACAGAGTGAGACCTCATCTCTACAAAAATACAAAATAAAATAAAAATAACTCTTTGTTATAAAGCTTTTACAGAGCTTTACAAAAAAGGATAGAGCCCTGCACATAAAATCTCTAGGCCAGAGCATGTTCACATTGCAATGTTATTCACAATATGAGCCCAGCAGGAACGCCCGGCAGTGCTTCTGTCTCTTCTCCCAGGAAAAGCACTCCTGCTCACGGCTCATCCCCCACTTCCCTCTCCCCACTCCCCTGACAGCCAGGCCCAGTGAGCTCCTTGCATTTTGCCTGGAACTCTGCTTCTTTCTCGTCTGGGTGGGATTAAGAGCCAACTCTATCATGTCCCTGCCTGTCTCTGGCTTCGCTTTCACCGGTGATGACTGCTCTGCACTCCGGCTTCCAACGCAGGCCCTGCCCCACCTCTGAGCTCTTAACTCTCCTAAGACTATGGAATCCCCCTGCCACAGCCTGCAACTTCTCCAGTGGACATAGGGAATGCTATTGCCATCTAAGAGTAGAGGGGATATGGAGGGTTGAAAAAGTTGGGATTACTCAGCAGACTGGGACCACAACAGGGTTCTGGGGCCCTATCCTTCAGCCTGCAGGGAGGGGTGTGACTTCTGCTTGCCTCAGGGTCAGGCTCCATCCCAGTCTTTGGGTCTGGCTGGAATGAGCTCTAGGTATTTCAGCCAAGCCCCGTCTTTTCCAAGGGCTTACGGGGACCAGATCTGTTGACTCTCCTCATTTTCTGCACCCTGGATTCCCTAACCAGGCCACCCAGAAGAGAAGTCCCATCCTCCTGGTGATATCCTGGGAGCTCTGTGGCTCTGCCCTTAGCCCTCCTCTGACTCTCAGCATGGTGGGGGTGATAGGGAATGATGGAAGGTAACCCCCAGGAACAGGAGAAGGCCTCCAAAACTCCCAAAGCTCTATCAGAAGGATCTGTCTCCATGTTAACTTCATCCCTCCACAGGCTCTACCAGGGCCCAGCTATATCAACAGTGCCAACAAAAAGCCCCGTGCCCAGCTCTCACTCTCCCTCCCACCTCCCAAGCCGCAGTTAAATGTGAGATTAGGAGCTCCCCATGTGTAGTCTGAGGTGCAGCCACCTCCACATGCTGCGAGAAACCGGCCTATCAGTTCAGCCACAGTGGCAAGTGGGCGTGGCGCTTTGTACTGCTCTATCCAGTCTGACCCTTGATCTGGCATCAGCTTCTACCCTCCTTGCTTACTGTTTACAGCAAACAGCCACCGCTCTCCTGTACCAAATAACGTGCAACATCATGTGGACACATTTTGTGGGGAAAATGAAAGTGATGTGAGACTTTAGGGCTGATCCAGCCACCCCGGGAGGCAATGAAAGGAAGGGCCCCTCATCCCTCTTCATTCCCCTCCCAAAGCTGAAAACTCAGTAGAAGAACCAGAAAGCTCAGCCCTGGATTTATATGTCTCTTTGCTATGCCATCATAGCAGTATAAATGGTTAGTGTTAATGTCATTGTTCAAATTACGCTCTGTGTGGTGGCTCACGCCTGTTATCCCAGCACCTTGGGAGGCTAAGGTGGGCAGATGACTTAAACCCGGGAGTTCAAGACCTGCCTGGGAAACATGGCGAAACCCTGTCTCCACAAAAAAATACAAAAATTAGCTGGGCATAGTAGTGGATACCTGTAGTCCCAGCTACTAGGGAAGCTGAGGTGAGAGGACCACCTGAGCCTGGGAAGTCGAGGCTGTGGTGAGCCAGGATTGTGCCACTGCACTCCAGCCTGGGTGACCCTGTCTCAAAAAAAAAAAAAAAAAAAAAAGGTCAAATCAGGAAAAAATTTTGAAATAACAAACTTCCTTTTGCAGCTGCTCTTTTGTTCATCTTCTACCATAATCCCAGGCACTGAGTTTTTGTTTGCACTCGTTTGCCCTGGGCCACCTGGGGTGGTGGGGAAGGACTGAGGAGGGGAGGTCAGAACATGCAGTTCCTGTCCCAGCTATTACTGGCTCTGGAGCTCTGGGCAAGCTACTTCATCTTTCTGGTCCTCAGTTTCCCCGTCTGTAATAGAGTGATGTCAGTACCCACCGTGTATGGCACTGGGGAGGCAGTAAAGGTTTGGGTCAACCTGAGTGGGTCTGATCCCGATCCTGGCTCCACCACCCACTGCCTTCACCGCCCCGAGCAAGTTCCCTAACTCCTCTGGGCTTCGTTTTCCCCCTTGATGAAAGCAGGGCTGCTGGGAGGATGACATGAGACAATATCCAGGGCTGGCCAACAGTAAGTGCTTAAGACACATAGTAGCATTCCTCCTTCACAGGTTGTAAATTACAGAGCACGCCTATATTATCTTAGTAAATATTATTTAAATATCATACCATTCATAATATTTTAACAAGTTTTAATTAAGACACACGCTTCAGTACCCCTGCCCCGACTCCATACTGCGCTAACCAAGTGGGATTCTCCTCCTTGCCTGTGCGCTGAGCCACCGCTTACCCCGCGTCCCCTCGGACATGCAGCTCTGCCCATCAGGGCCACAGGCGGCCCGGTCCCACCATGGGGGTTGGGGATGGGAACCAGAGCATGCCCGTTCCGGGGCGCGCGTCTGGCCCCGCTCTAGGGAGCCGCGTCGGCGGGGCCCCACCCGGGCAATGTCCCGAAGCTCGACGCGCACTCACCCTCTTGACCAGGAAGCCCTCCTTGAGCACGCCGTCCTCCATGTCGCCGCCCGCACGCCAGGGCCACCCCAGGTGCGCCTTCCCCGCGCCTCGCGCTCCTCGGCACCCGCGCAGCCCGCGCAGTCCGCGCCCACGGCGCCCAGGAAGCAGCTCCGACGCGGCAGGGCGACGCCTCCCTGGCGCGTGTCCAGAGCCTGAGGCCCCGGGGCAGGAAGTCAGACCAAGTCGGGATTTCTGACGTGACGTTTCCACCCAAAGGTGCTCCAGGGTCGGTGGTTGGTCCTCCAGGTACAGAGCGGCCAACCCCGCCCCATCCAGGTGCGCCCCGCGCCCCTCACTGTTCCAGTCTCTCTGCTCAGCGTCCTTCGCCAGGTGCTTCCCGGGCACTTAGCGCATTGCCCTCGAGGAACGCTTATCGAATTGAACATAACCGACAGGACTCCAGGATTTGGAGCCATTCCTGAGCTCATTGCAAGTAGGAGATGGGACAGTGGGTGAGCCGAAACTGGTATGGGAATTTTATCCTGGCCTCTGATGGGGGCAGAGAAGACCTCTCAGTAACAGGAAGGTCACAGTTTTAAGGCGGCAGGCACAGTTTGCAGGGCCCCCTGTCCGCAGGATATACCCCGCTCCCTCAAAAAAGATGAAGCCGAAAATTCCATCATTAAGGACAAAATTTAAGGGGGCACCAAGGAGTCCAGTAACCTAGACAAATTATATATAGAGAGAGATGATTGGTTTTTTGGGGTTTTTTGTTTGTTTTTTGAGACAGGGTCTTTCTCTGTCACCCAGGCTGGAGTGCAGTGGTGTGATCATAGCTCACTGCAGCCTTAAACTCTGGGCTTAAGATCCTCCTGCCTCAGCTCCCCAAGTAGCTAGGACTACAGGAGTGCACCACCATGCCTGGCTGGTTTATTTTTATTTTTCGTAGAGATAGGGTGTTGCTATGTTGCCCAGGCTGGTCTTGATTCCTGGCCTCAAGCAATCCTCCGGCCTGGGCTTCCCAAAGTGCTGGGATTACAGGCAAGAGCCACCGTGTAAGACCTAGAAAAATAATATTTTAATGCATTTTTTAAAATCAAAATTAATGTCAAAAAATCCACGATGAACAAAATGCTAACATTTTAAATAGATAGGATCAACAACAATGTTCTATCAGGCCATATTGGAGCCTGGAACAGAAGGAAACTCAGTCAAATAGTACTGATTCTGTCTAACAATCCTTAGAACACAGTCACACATTTTTTTAAAATTTATTTTTATTTATAGAGACAGGGTCTCACTATATTGTCCAGACTGGTCTCGAACTCCTGGGCTCAAGCAGTCCTCCTGCCTCAGCCTCCCAAAGTGCTGGGATTGTGGGCATGAGTCATGGGGCCGGTCCATATTATTTGTGCTCCAGTTTGAAGGGCCCTGTCAGGACTCTTCACCAGGCATGGGAAAGGCCCTCAGATGCCTGTAAGGGAAGAGAAGGCTCTAGAGAGGAAGAAGGTGAACCAGCTTGTGGAAGGCGGGGGGTGCCTTTCAGAACCAGACTGAAGCCAGCTCCCAGGCCAGTCCCTGCCCTGGAGCTCTTGACACAGTGTTGCTTCTACATGTCTGTAGTAGACATATTACATCCCCCCAACCCCACTCCCACCTGCCAGCCCCAAGGAAAACTCGCAGGGTCTGGGTCACTGCGTGCCAGCCCAATGGCCCACTCTAGCCTTCTGCACTAACTGGCCTTCAGACTTCCCAGGAAGCCCCAAAGCAGTGGGGCTTCCATTCCAATTCAGAATGAACATCAGCTGGTCACCTTCTGAAGCCAGGCCTGTAGTAGTAGGTGCTAGGTTTTATCTAAAGTACAACAACCCCATGAGGTGTTTATTATGTCATTTTCCAGTCAAGGAAACTGAATCCAAGTAGTTAAATAACTTGCCCAAGGTTATGCAGCTCCAGGGCATTGCAAATACTCTTGCCTCCTAAGGAATTGTCCCAGCTCTGAAACCTAGCTGGGCTGAAAGCCAGGACTTGAGAGGTTGAGCTGGGAAGTTCTCATCCTCTTCGGCTCTAACTGTGGTCTATCCATCTCCTTCCTCAAAGAGGCTGTCTTGGCCCCACCCAGACACAATCTTCTGAGGCTTAGAAGAAGTGGCATTTTCTTTGGCAGGAGGGGTTCTTGAATGAATTCACAGAAATGGGAATGGGAAAGAGATGGATACCTTCTCCTGGCAGGGCTCCTGCCAGGAAGAAGTTAAGGCACACCTAGAACCTGCTTCCTGTCCTAGGAAACCCCTGGTCCAGCCCACCCTGCCTGACTCACTGGATCTGGGGCATGAGTCATACCCCTTCCTTCCCCAGGCTGTGGTGGCTGAGCCACCAGCCCACCAGGGAACCATGATGACATAAGCCCAACTCACCCATAGGGAAGAGGATGGAGACAGAAGGAAGCAGACAGCAGTAAACAGCTGGGGGAGGGGGCAGGGACGAGCAAGAAGCTTTCAGAGAGACACCCCTCCTCTCCCTCTCAGGCCTGGAGGCTGATGTGGAAGGGTCCCTGGCCCTCTCAGCTCCTCCCCTTTTTGTCCCGAAGGGACAGGGACAGATAATGCCTAGGGTGCTGAGTTGCAGAAAACTATTAGGTCTGTGTTTAAGTATAGGTGACTCACAGCCTGATGTGAGAATCTATCATTAGAGATTCATTCCTTTAGCTTCAGATAAGAATCCCCTGTTTAAGATACATAGAGTGGAAAAGGATAAATCATGGAAACTTATTCACAATAAATGCCTGGACTTCTTGAGTTTACCGGAATCACAGAATCAGAATCTAATCCCTAAAGATCACCAAATCCGGATGCTTCATTTTATAAATGAGGACCCTCAAAGCCCAGGGAAATAAAATGACTTGTCCAAGGTCTTGCAGCCAGTTAGTGGTAAAACCAGGGCCAGAATACAGGCTAACAGAGCTCAAGGCTGGCTCCTGGCAAATACAGGGCAATGCCCCCAGCAGCGACCTGCATCAGAGCATCCTGCAGTGAGAGGGGGGCTGCAGGCCTGGAAGGGCTCTGTCTGCAGAACTGGAAAAGACTTCAAAAAATCCTTCTACATTTTTTTCTGAACATAAAAATACATTTGTGCATATTATAGAATATTTAGAAAATACCAAAAGGGATAAAACCACCCTGAATCTATCACTCAGACAGATGATCAGTATGTTTATATGCACATACTTTTAAATTAAATTTTATTTAAAATTTTTGAACCCTGCCTTTTTTTTTAACTTATAATAGCTAATAAGTATCTTACCAGGTCATTAAAAGTAATTCAAAAACATAATTTAAATAACTGCATAAAATTTCATGGTGACTGAATTTAATCATTCCCATGTAGGTTGAATTTCCTTTTTCACTGTGTAAATAGTATTATGATAAATATCTCTGTACATACACATTTTGCCAGATCTCTGATTATTTCAGATAAACATCTAAGGTATAATTTTAGGTTAAAGGGTGTAAATTTTTAAAATTCTTGAAGCATATCACAAAACTGCTTTCTAGAAATGTATCACATGCTATCCTCACCAGCAGCGTATGACAATGCCAGTCTCACTGCGTCTACGCCAGCATTCAGTATAGTATTTTCAGGAATATACATCATTCTATTATAAAGATACATGCATGTGTATGTTCATTGCAGCACTATTCACAATAGCAAAGACATGGAATCAACCCAAATGCCCATCAATGTTAGACTGGATAAAGAAAATGTGGTACGTATACACCATGGAATACTATGCAGCCAAAAACAGGAATAAGATCATGTCCGTTGCAGGGACTTGGATGAAGCTGGAAGCCATTATCCTCAGCAAACTAACACAGGAACAGAAAACCAAACATCGCATGGTCTCACTTGTATGTGGGAGCTGGACATTGAGATCACATGGACACAGGGAGGGGAATAACACACACTGGGGCCTGTCAGGGGATGTGGCGGGAGGGAGAGCATCAGGAAAAATAGCTAGTGCATGTTGGGCTTAATACCTAGGTGATGGGTTGATAGGTGCAGCAAACCACCATGGCACACATTTACCTGTGTAACAAACCTGCACATCCCGCACATGTACCTTGAAACTTAAGATAATTAAACAAGAAGCTTTGCTGATTTTAAAAATGTATTTGCTTATTTATTTTTTATCAGCCCACATCATGCTTTGAGTAGAAAGCTTTGCTGATTTTCTCAGAACCAGCAGGGACAACCCCCACTTGCGTAAGCTGTGTGTTATCTCAGTCAAGGCTGAGCCCTGCTACCTGGGGGACGGCCAGCTAGAGGGACGTCCCCTGGAAGAGACTCAGAACTGAGAAGTTGCTGGAAAACTGCTAGAGAACTGGGCGGTGAAGTCCCAGAGTAGCGCATCATTTGTAGGAAAAGGAGGGCGTGTGGGGTCCCGGGCAGCCAGGAGAGCACCCTGAAGGCACTGAAAAGATTGGGCAGAGGCAAAAAGCCAGAGGAGACAGGAGCTAGAAGTACAGGCAGGAAAAGACTAAAGAGAAATTTTGCCTAATTCGTGGCTATGCCCAAGGCCATCCAGCTAGTTGCTCTGCTACAACAGAAATGTATATTCATTCATCTGTCAATTCATTCATTCATTCACTGAAGCAGGGAGACAGATACTGAGAATGTCCGTGTACAAAGCACGGACAGTGCCATGGGTGACACACAGACCTGCCCTGGGGCCTCATATGTCAGTGTAAACAAGGTATCTTTTCCATTAACAGCAGCATTGTTGATTAACAGCATCTTTTGTACTAATTCCGGGGACACTGCAGTTCACAGGGCAGATGCTCCACCATAAAGGTGAGGCTTCTCACACTATCTGTGGTGAAGACTGGACTTCTGAGCTGTGAACATTGAGTGGTCCTACTGTGCATGACCAGAAAACAGCCTCTGCCACAAGTGACTTATTGGAGACTTCTACGTCACCCAAACTGGTCTATATTCTGTTCAGTGAATCAAGACCACGGACTGTGTGCTTGAATGTTGTGGTAATGCCCAGCTGCTATAAAAGTTTCCAAGCACTGACTCTCAGTTCCCATTCTTTCATCATAGAGCAGTACCAGATCACTCTTGAACAGCACTGCTCTTGAGTATGGGTTCTGGAATCTATAGCATGGGTTCAAACCCTTCCTATGCCACCCATGTTACTGATGGCAAGTTACTTATCCTCTCTGATCCTCAAGTTCCTCATCTCTAATATGGGCTAATAGCATACAAAGAGTTGTTTGGGGAAAATAAATGAGATTATGACAATAAATTATGTAGTGCGGTGCCTGGGACACAGTAAACACACAATAGGTTTTTTCATTTCCACTCGATCCCACGTTGTGAGGTTGGTAGAAGGAGTGAGCATTGGTAATCAACACCTCCAGAGTTATGGATATAATATTTTTATTTTTGAGACAGGTTCTTACTCTGTTGCCCAGGCTGGAGTGCAATGGTGCCATCATAGCTCACTGCAGCCTCCACCTCCCAGGTATAAGCAATCCCCCTACCTCAGCCTCCTGAGTAGCTGAGACTATATGCATGCACCAACACACTTGGTTAATTAAAAAAAATTTTTTTTTGTAGAGATGGCCTATGTTGCTCAGGCTGGTCTTGAACTCATGGGCTCAAGTGAGCCTCCTGCCTTGGCCTCCCAAAGTGTTGGGGTTATAGGCATGAGCCACATTTTTGTTTTGTTTGGATTTTTTGTTGCTGCTTTGTTTTTTGAGATGGGGTTTCACTCTGTTGCCCAGGCTGGAATGCAGTGCCGCAATCACAGCTCACTGCAGCCTCAGCCTCCCAGGCTTAAGCAATCTTCCCACTTCAGATTCTCGAGTAGCTGGGACTACAGGCATGCACCACCATGCCTGGCTAATTATTTAATGTTTTTGTAGAGACAGAGGTCTCCCTGTGTTGCCCAGGCTGGATTTGAACTCCTGGGCGCAAGTGATCCTCCTGTCTTGGTTTCCCAAAGTGCTGGGTGTATAGGAGTGAGCCACCATGCCCGGCCTGGATAAAATGTTAAAGCTGGGGAGTGGGTAGAGTAGCATGGTCATATTTACTGTGTTCCTACTATGTGCCAAAGACTTAACATCTACTATGTAATTGATTCTCAAAATCGCCCTTTGAATTAGGTATTATTCCCATTCTGTAGATGTAAATGAAAATTTGGAGAAGTTAAATAACTTGGCCAACATTACACAGCTAGCATATGGTCGAGTCCAGGTTAAAATCCAGGCCTGTCCAGGTCCAAGCCTTGCTCTTTCCACTACTCCACACAGTCTTCTTTGGCTAAATTGTGTTCTCTCTTCCTGTGATGAAATCCTTTCAGCCTAAGTCAGGGGTCCATGGCAGTAGATTGCATTACTATTCCCAATTATTCATTCCCCTATCCCCTGTGATAGAATTACACATCCCTGTCCCATTGACTCAGGTTTGGTCTTGTGACTCGATTTGGACAATGCAACCTCAGATGCATATCTCAGCAGAAGCTTTGAGCACCATTGCTTGGTGCCACAAGCCCCGCGCGGCCCAGATAGGGGCTGCTCCTACTCTGGGTCCAGGAATGAAGGTGACTTGGAGAGAGAGCTGCAGCCAATGTGAGTGCGAAGTCAGCCTCTGTTGTAAACACTGAGATCTGGGGTGGAGTGAGGGGGTAGAGGATACTGTCACCACCATGGAAGTTAGTCAAAGCTGATCGACACACTTGTCACACTGTGATGCTACAAAGCAATGCCAGAGGGACTACGTGACTTGGAGCCTCTCCCTGCCATGGAGGGGTGGGTGCCCTCTCCCTGTCATTAACACCCTGAAACCTACCTCCCTGTTCCACTGAAAAAGCTGGAACGCCTTGAGAGGTCAGTCACTCTCCCCAGGGCGCTCTGCAAGGCTTTGCTGGGGATGAGAGCCCAGACCCATTGCTTCCCCACCAGTGCCATCCACCTTGCCACCCCCTAGAACTCAGCCTGGAAGGAGAAATGCCCCTTGGCAGATGTCTCAGGGCCATCAGGGCTGGGGTGGAGCAGGATGTGAGGTGTGACTCAGCTGTGTGCACGGGCAGGGCTGGACCTGCTGGATATAGATAAGAGCCCCTTCCCTCGCCTCCTTCCATTCTGCTTTCCTCACTGCTTTCCCTAAATGTTATTCCTGGAGGCTAGGCTTTTGGTTTTGCTTATTTTGAGTGGGTAAACAAGAGAGGGGCAGAACCTTGGCCTAGGGATGTCTGAGGACCCCCCAGCACAGGAAGGGAGTAGCCATGGTGTTATGCTCACCCCTGCGGAGCCCCTGTAGTTACAGCTGCTCTCCAGGCCTCAGGGGCTCCCACCTGGCTGGTCATCAAAATCACCTGCACGGTTTTTCCCAGCCCTACCTAAGAGCACCATTTACAACAATGCAGGGTATTTACTGCACAAAAGGAACCTGGCTAAGAAGGCAAATGGGGGCCGGAGGTGCAGTCTGCGTTCAACTACCAAAGGCATGCCTCCACGCAGGGCTGCCTTCCCCAAAGAAAGCAGGGGGGTTCTCATCTCATAAAGGCTGCATCCAGGCGGGGGGCGGTGGCTCACGCCTATAATCCCAGCACTTTGGGAGGCCGAGGCGGGCGGATCATGAGGTCAGGAGATCGTGACCACGGTGAAACCCCGTCTCTACTAAAGATACAAAAATTAGCCGGGCGTGGTGGCGGGCTCCTGTAGTCCCAGCTACTCGGGAGGCTGAGGCAGGAGAATGGCGTGAACCTGGGAGGCGGAGCTTACAGTAAGCCGAGATCGCGCCACGGCACTCCAGCCTGGGAGACAGAGCCAGCCTCCGTCTCAAAAAAAAAAAAAGGCTGCATCCATTCGCTAAGCCACATGGCAGTGGGTCTGCATCTCCCCAGAGCGGGTGCTTTTTTCTATTCCATGGAAAAGTAGCAGGAATCATGTCCATACCCAGGAGACTCTGATTCTTGGGTTGGGAAATCTTCATTTTAAGAAATCTCTCACTTCCAGGTGGTTCTGAAGGTGAGTTGGCTCTGGGAACCAGGACCCTGGAAAATCCCTGAACCTCTCAGCCCTCCTTAGGGAAGGGCCCTCTCAGTGCAACAACCATGGCATGCCCTCTGAAAGTCCCAGCTGAAGCCAGGTGCCAGGCAGGCACTGCCCAGAAAGTCTCTGCCACTCCCAGGTGATGTGACTGGCCAGACTCCATCCTGGCCTCCCACCTCTCCTCTGAGGCTGGCATTGAAGAGGCCCCCTGTCTCCATACACCCAGCTCCGCCTCTGGGAGATGCTGCCCGCCGCTAGGTGGAGCAGTTTGCTAGGGGGATTAAAAGAGGGGTGACGCCAGCCCTAACAATATCCAAGGCAGAGCTGTGAACGAAGGGACGTGTGACCGGTAGCAGGTGACTGCAGACTTCCTGAGGTTAATGATGGGAAGAGATGGTGGAAGGATTGAATTCTGATTTTGACCAATCACGCTCCTTTCTGGAGTTCCCTGTAGAGAAACTGCCCTAATCAGAAATTCCCGAGACCGGAAGCCTGGCACTTCTAAAGGCCCTAAATCTCAGGACAGCCCATAGGTAGTCAGAAGAGCCAGCTAATTGAGGCATCCCACCCTTGCCAGCGCCGAGACTCTCAAGTGAGGAACCTAGTGTGCAACATTTCAGGAGGGTAGATGTCTCAATTAGCTGGCACTTCTGACCACCTGTGGGGCACCCACCCACACTGTCCTGCAAGTTGGGGCCCTTAGAAACTCACCTTTCACAGTAGGGTGAAGGCAAATCATCTCTAATTAAAGATCCCAAATTGAGGTCTTTTCCTGTGCAATTGAGAATATGTTTCCAATAAATGCAGAAATGGAAGAAAATAGCAAACAATGATTGAGAGAGCAGGCTCTGGATCTGATCTTGGTAAAGTACAGATCTGATTCTGTCAGGCCTGAGAATCTGCATTTCTATCAAGCTCTGAGATGAGGATGCAGTTGGTCAGGGACCACATCTTGAGTGGCAGGGAGTTAGTTGACCTTGGGCAAGTTACTCAGTTCCTCTAAAAGGAACTGAACCCAGGACTGATCACATAATTTTTTAGTCCTGGTGCAAAAGGAAAATGCCAAGCCCTTGGTTCAAAATTAGTATGAATTTTAAGACCTTGACAGTAGAGAATGAAAACAGGCACAGGGCCTTTCAAATTGCAGGGGACCCTATGCAACTGCCTAAGCCTCAGAGGGTTGGAAGACTCAACAAAGTTAACCATGTAAAGCACTTAGAAAGCACCTGGGCATGGTAAATCCATGAAAATGTCCCTGATCATGATTGCCTAGCCCAGAACAGCCTCTCCTTGAACATCGGGATTGTCAGACTGAGCTTATGTGGACCGACCTCCACTTTACAGGGGAGGAAGTTGAGCCCCACAGCAGGAGTTTGAAGAATAAAGGTTGGGTGAATGGGGTGACTTGTGGAGGCCAAGCTCAGGCCACCAGACACCCAGGCCAGGGCTCCTCCTTCTGGGCCATCTCCTCAATGGACAAAAAGAAAAAGTGATGACGGCAGCAAGATAACACTACCACCATCGCTCAGAAATACCAAAGAGAGTGTGAGCCTGTCTGGATGGATGAATGAAGGAGGGCCTATAGGAACGATCCTAGCCATTAACTCACCTGTTGGGCTTCTAGAGATGTGCATTCGGAGCCATTGGTAAGAGCATGGAATTACGTGGAAACTGCAGAGGGGCCCTCCAACACTTTGCCTCTGAAATGGACCTAGGCTATTGTGCTTTGCGGGTTCTCGGTCTGCTTTCCCTAGTTTTGCTATCTCTGCCCTTATCTCCACTGCCACTTCTCATTGCTGTTAGGCTGTCCATCTCCCGCAGCTACTCCATAAATTGCTGGCAGTCTGATAGACAAATAACCTGAGTTATTAGGATGGTGCTTAAAATAAGGATAAATGGCATCTGACTGGTATCCGGTCAGTCATGAATGTTGCAATGTTTTGACATCTTAGAATACCCTCTAGCTGGGGAGAGATTGCCTCTCTCAGGGCCTAGCCAGTTCCTAGAAATAGCAAGGGCTCAGCTGAGAGCATGCTTTTGATGTACAAACTAACCAATCCTTCACCATCTGGCCTATACACCCAGGGAGACAATATTCCTCATCTTAATCATCCCAGGGCAAGGTATCAGGCAACTAGGGACCACTCCTATAGCTTAGAGCACCCTCCATAACATTCAAACTAGCCAGTCCAAAACTGTTCACCTTGTCCTGCCTTGCCTTCCCCTTGAAAGCCCCAATAAAGGCTCTGACCTAACGCTTTCCCCTGGCTCCTGTCTTCTGCCCCCTGACCACCCTGGTGTCTTCCCCCGTGTGGTATGCCATGTCTTACACAGCTAGCATATGGCCGAGGACCTGTGAGTGTAATACACTCTGTGTGAATTTGCTCTTGATTTTAGCCACGCAACTCACCGTGATGCCTGGCACATGGGTGCTATGCCATAAACATGGGCTGAATAAGTTAAATGAATAAAGGTAGAGGAGGCCTGTCCACCACAGATCTTTCTATTCCTTTCCACAAAGAAGTTGGGCCTGCCCAGACTGATCAGCAGTACTGTAATTTGTGCATCCCAGTTCACCCCTAACTTCTTCTCTCATACATGGAAGAAAATGCATATCAGTTAGAATGCTTCGGGCTGCAAGTAACTGAAAAGTCAACCAGCAGTGGCTTAAACCCAACACAGATGTTGTTAGTTACTTAATGAGTAGGCGATTCCAGAGTAGATGCAATGGCTCAGTGCTGCCATCAAAACCTAGGCTTTCCCCATCTTTTTTTTTTTTTTTTTTTTTTGAGATGGAGTTTTGCTCTTGTTGCCCAGGCTGGAGTACAATGGTGCAATCTTGGCTCACTGCAACCTCCGCCTCCCAGGTTCAAGCGATTATCCTGCCTCAGCCTCCCGAGTAGCTGGGATTACAGGCATGCGCCACCATGCCCGGCTAATTTTTTATTTTTTTTAGTAGAGACGGGTTTCTTCATGTTGTTCAGGCTGGTCTCAAACTCCCAACCTTAGGTGATCTGCCTGCCTCAGCCTCCCAAAGTGCTGGGATTACAGGGGTGAGCCACCGAGCGGTGGCCGGTTTTCCCCCTTTCTGCCCTGTCATCATCAGTGTCTTCTGCTACAGCAACAAACATTCTCTCAAAACTGTGTCCAGCAGAAAGGGCCAAAAAGGGGTTGGGGGAGGGCATTTGTTTGCAAGATTGAATTTTTAAAATTAAGTGACTGTCTGTAGTGACCTCTAAGAGAGTACTCATGACATAATTTTGTAATTATTTTTTACCTGTGAACATGCCTCACCTCCACCCTCCACAGCCAGCTTCTTCATGAACAGAAACTGTATTTTAGGACTCTGCTTCCCCAGTCCCTGGCACAGTCTAGGCACCCACAGTGTTGACAGAAGAGGGGGCTCTGAAGGGGGCCAAGAGTGAAAGGTGGGGAGGGACCACAGGTGAGGGAGGGGAGGGGTCCTTTGCTAGAACCAGGGAACTCAAAGGGAAAGTGGGCATCAGGGTGCTCATAGCATAGGAAAGGGGAAGTGGTAAGTCTGAGAAAAGGTGGGAGAGGGTTGCGGCAAACCTTGGCACAGTCTGGAGAGAACCGCAGAGAGGAAAGGAAGGGTGTAGAGCCTGAGGTTTATGCCAACACAGCTTCTTCCTTTAGGCTTCATAATATTTCTTCCATCTCACTGGGCATTGTTTCCTCCCAGCAAGGTGAGTGTGTGGCTGTCACAATATCCAGAAGTGTCCAAGTGCAAGTGAGCCCTGGGGTGGGTGTTACTGATGGCTCCTGGAATAGTTGGAGGAACGAAAGACTTTTAAATCCACTTCCTTTTTCCCACCCATATGGTCTAATGGAATTGAATGCTTAACACCAGGCACTTTTTTAAAAAGTAGGGAGGAGGCTGGGTGCAGTGGCTCATGCCTGTAATCCCAGCACTTTGGGAGGCCAAGGCAGGCAGATCACCTGAGGTCGGGAGTTCAAGACCAGCCTGACCAACATGGAGAAACCCCATTTCTACTAAAAATACAAAAAAATTAGCCAAGCCTGGTGGCAGGTGCCTGTAATCCCAGCTACTCAGGAGGCTGAGGCAGGAGAATCACTTGAACCCGGGAGACGGAGTTTGTGGTGAGCTGAGATCATGCCATTGCACTCCAGCCTGGGCAACAAGAGCAAAAAACTCTGTCTCAAAAATAAATAAATAAATAAATAAATAAAATTAAAAATAAAAAGGGGAGAGGAGAAGCTAAAATATTGGGGGTGATTAAGAAAGAATGAAGTGTGCCAGGCACAGTGATTCAAGCCTACAGTCCTAGCACTCTGGGAAGCTGAGGCAGGCAGATCACTTAAACTCAAGAGTTCAAGACCAGCCTGGACAACATGATGAAACCCCATCTCTATGAAAAATACAGGTGTGTGCTTGTAGTCCCAGCTACTTGGGAGGCTGAGGTGGGGGGAGTGCTTGAGCCTGGAAAGTTGAAGCTGCAGTGAGCCAAGATTGTGCCACTGCACTCCAGGTTGGATGACAGAAAAAGACGCTGTTTAAAAAAAAAAAAAAAAAAAAGGAAGCAGATCCAAGCCCCTGCCCACCCCTAGTCTTCCTTCCTATGGTCCCAGTCTCAGCATCCGGCATTCTCCCTGGTCTTGGGTCATGACCTGTCTGAGCAGGGTCCTGCTGAGACTTCCACTGGGTGTGGGGTGGGGAGGAAGCCCACAGGATTGGGCTGCCCCCAGAGCCCCTTCAGATCAGCACAGACATGCCCACGGCTATGCTTCTACCCTGTGTCTGGAAGTGGGCTCTCTTGTGGTCCTATTCTAGCTCTTGTCAATCAGAGCAGACCCAGTTTCCCTCAGTTCCTTCCTCCCCAAGGCTGGTCCCTGGGAGGCAGGGCTCCCTTCTCATTGTCTTAATTCTTCTCAGTCCCCTTTGGATAGGAAGGACATCATTCCAACTGGTTCACCTGCTTTATCTTTCCGGGAGAAACAAAGTTTAGCTCATACTAGGAATGAAAATTTTTTGTTTGTTTGCTTTGTTTTGGTTTGGTTTTAGAGACAGGGTCTCACTCTGTTGCCCAGGCTGGAATGCAGTGCTGTGATCACAGCTCACTACAGCCTCAAACTCTGGGCTCAAGTGATCCTCCTGCCTCAGCTTCCTGAGCAGCTAGGACTACAGGCACACACCACCATGCCTGCCTAATTTTTAAAAATTTTTGTAGGCCAGGTACAGTGGCTCATGCCTATAATCCCAACACTTTGGGAGGCCAAGGCGGGAGAATCACTTGAGGTCAGGAGTTCAAGACCAGTCTGGGCAACATGATGAAACTCCATCTCTACAAAAAATTAGCCCGGTGTGGTGGCACACGCCTATAGTCCCAGCTACTCCAGAGGCTGAGGTGTGAGGATTGCTTGAGCCCAGAAGGTGGAGGTTGCAGTGAGCTGAGATACCAGCACTGCATTCCAGCCTGGGCAACAGAGTCTCTAAAACCAAACCAAAAAACAAAGCAAACAAACAAAAAGTTTTCATTCTTAGTATGAGCTAAACTGTTTCTCCCGGCAAGACAAAGCAGGTGAACCAGTTGGGATGAGGTCCTTCCTTTCGAAAAGGGACTGGGAAGAATTAAGGCAATGAGAGGGGAGCCCTGCCTCCCAGGGACCAGCCTCAGGGAGCAACAACACAGGGGAACTGGACCTGCTCTGATGGACAGGAGCTGGAATAGGACCACAGGAGAACCCACTTCCAGACACAGGGTAGAACCACAGCGGTGGGCGTGTCTCTGCTGATCTGATAGTATCCTGAGAGCCAGCCTGATCCTGTGGGCTCCCTCCCTGCCCCACACCCCACATCTTGTCTCAAAAAAAAAATTTTTTTTTTTGGTGGAGACAGGGTCTTGCTATATTGCCGATTGGTCTGGAACTCCTGGGCTCAAGTGATCCTCCTGCCTCAGCCTCCCAAAGTGCTGGGATTACAGGCATGAGCCACCATGCCTGGCCAATGAAAAAATTTAATAACCGGCTTATCCTGCCTGAAACAAAACATCTCTGAGTGGTTTACTAAACACATCAAAACCCAAAACACACCCAGTATCTAACATTTAAAATATTCAGTATGACTCTCAGATTACCTTTTCCTGCGGAGAGACAAGCAGAACAACAGTCTCGAAAAGATTCCCCACACAAAGGAGACTATTGTGTGGTCCGACAGGATCTCTGGGCTGAGTTGGGTAGTTGCTGAGGAGGGTAGAGGGTTTGAGCTTCACCCTTGGGGTTTTCAATGGTGATCTCAGCAAGGGAGTTAAGAATCAAAGCCCTGGGACCATGGCTGTGAAACCTTTGAAAGTAGGAGAACAGCTGTCATGTGCCCTGTGGGAGTTTCACTATCTGCTGCCTCTTCGCTGTTGGCACAGTCAGTGTGTGCCCCTTAAAACACAAGTGGCCGGTGCGATTGCCTTCAGCAGCAGCAGACTGTGAAATGGTAGGCTGCCGGGTTCGGGGGACAGTGTGGATAATGTCTATTTTTTTGGTTTTGTTTTGTTTTTTTTGAGACAGAGTTTCACTCTTGTTGCCCAGGCTGGAGTGTAATGGCGTGATCTTGGCTCACCGCAACCTCCGCCTCCTGGATTCAAGCGATTCTCCTGCCTTAGCCTTCCAAGTAGCTGGGACTACAGGCATGTGCCACCATGCCCGGCTAATTTTGTATTTTCAGTGCAGACGGGGTTTCTCCATGTTGGGCAGGCTGGTTTCGAACTCCTGACCTCAGGTGATCCACTCAGCTCGGCCTTGCAAAGTGCTGGGATTACAGGCGTGAGCCACGGTGCCTGGCCTAATGTCCAGTTTTAAGAGACAACGTCTGCAGATTCCTAGGGCTTATAGCTCAGGGGCAGAGGAGTCAGAAGTCACCTAGTCCTCCCCAGGCCTCCGCAGGCTCCAGGACTCTTCCCTCTGCCCACTGGGAAAAACTAGATGAGCCAAAGCAATGGGAAAGCTGGAGTGTTGGAGGTAGCTAGAGTGTATTGTGTCGCGCGGGGGAGGGAGGGATTGGAGGTAGCCAGAGTGTATTGTGTCACGCGGGGGAGGGAGGGATGCTTCAGGCGGCTGATGACTATGGGGATGTGGGTGGCGTACTCCAGTAGAAAAGCTACACTGTAATATTTGTGACAGTCCCGTTAACTGTAAAGCACTATCCAAATGCCATTATAAAATCATCCTGTTGTCGACAATTTTAAGAGAAAAACTTCTGCCCAGTTGCCACTAGAGGGTGACCGAGTCCCGCATAGTTGAGAAGGTCTCGGGCAGGGAAGGGCCCTTGGTCTACAAACGGAGAGGGTATGAGAGGGCAGCTCTGGCTGGCTGTGGCCGTGGAAATGCGGCCTTCGGCGGGCCCTGGGTTCCAACGCGAAGTTGAAGCAGGCCACCTTTGTCAGGGGCTTCCGTCGTTGTTCTCTGGAATCCCAACACCCTGCCGCGAACACACTCAGGTGGAACCCCAGGTCGGCGGCCCAGGGCTCTACCCACCGGCTTCCCACGAGAGCTCCGTCTTAAGACTTACCGTCGCCATTCATTTTCAGTTCTTATTCCCAGGGCTCTACTAAATACCACCTACTCTGAGAAACTCATTTACGCTAAGGAGCTAATAATGGCAGACAACGATTTAGTTTTTAGCCCTTTCGGGGACACTCATACTTAGGAGATTTGGTTTCTTTTAAGGGTGTGTAAGCTTAGTCTCCTCAGGCCCCCCTGCACTGGGGGTGATAGTAACTGTAAGGCACCGTGCTTTTCTAGCATGTTCTGGCACTGTCATGAGACCATCCCCAAAAGCCTCTCGCACACATTTCCGAGACACCCAGGATGTTTTACAGGAGCTCGACAATGCCCTTTTTTTTTTTTTTGAGACAAAGTCTCACTCTGCTGCCCAGGCTGGAGTACAGTGGCACGATTCTGGCTCACTGCAACCTCTGCCTCCCGGGTTCAAGCGATTCTCCTGCCTCAGCCTCCTGAGTAGCTGGGATTAGGCACCCGCCACCACACCCAGCTAATTTTTGTATTTTAGTAGATACGGGGTTTTGCCATGTTAGACAGGCTGGTGTCAAACACCTGACCTCAAGCGACCCACCCGCCTCAGCCTCCCAAAGTGCTGGAATTACAGGCATGAGCCACCGTGCCCAGCTGACAATGCCTTTTTAGCCTCCACCTATGCCCAGACCCCCATGGTCAGCTGGGCACACCTCTGACTGCTTCCAGTGCAGCAGCAGAGGACCCACCCACACCCACATGCAAGGACGCCCTCGGTGCACTAGCCCAAAGCTCTATCCTGCTCCCCAAGATTGGAATAATATTCACAGCTAACACTTAGAGCACTTATGTGCCTAGCACTTTTCCAAGTGCTTGTACATATTTAATCTTCACTACACAGTAGGGGAGAACTCTTACCATTGCATTACCTTGTTTCACAAAGGAGGAATTTGAGGCCCAGAAAAGTTAAGTACTTTGTCCAAGTCACACAGCTGGTACGTGGAAGAGCCAAGATTCCAACTCAGGCCATCTGACTCATCGGCCAGGTTTCTCACCAGCACACACACTGCCTCTGCAGAGAGCGGGTGAAACTGCATTGTCAGTCTGTCCTCACCAGCTATTCCCTCACCAGAACTCAAGGCCAGACCCTCACCCTACTCAACGCTGCCCCTTCCTTCCAACCTCAGGCTTGAGGGCCTGGCCTCCTTCCTTTAGTATTAGTTATCATCTGCCGGCTGCTCCTGAAGCTCTCCCCACTGCTGCCCTGGGCTGTAGGGGGCCTGCTGGAGAGAGAAGCAGGCGTTGGTTTGGAGGAGCCAGGTGAACTTTGTGCAGCCTCTCTTATCACGCTCTGTAAGCAGTCAGCCACCTCATCTGATTAGCTGGTGTTGGTCTCCTTTAAAGATGGAATTTTCCCATTAGAGTCAAATGAGAGCAGGATCACAGAGTTAGAAGGAATGTGAAGGCTCAAGACCCGTATTCTCTTGTTTTATACAAAATAAGAGCCCACAGAGATTAAATAACTTGCTCAAGTTCACAAAGCTCAGCTGGGCTGAAGCCATGACTAAAATGGGATCATTGTGTTAATAACAATAACAATGATGAGGCCCAGTGTGGTGGCTCATGCCTGTAATCCCAGCACTTTGGGAGGCTGAGGCAAGTGGACAATTTTTTTTTTTTTTTTTTGAGACAGAGTCTCACACTGTCGCCCAGGCTGGCGTGCAGTGGCGTGATCTTGGCTCACTGCAACATCCGGCTCCCGGGTTCAAGCGATTCTCCTGTCTCAGCCTCCTGAGTAGCTAGGATTACAGGCACCCACCACCACGCCCAGCCAATTTTTGTATTTTTAGTAGAGATGGGGTTTCACCATGTTGGTCAGGCTGGTCTCAAACTCCTGACCTCATGATTCGCCCACCTCGGCCTCCTAAAGTGGCTCATGGCCACAGGTGGATCTTTTGAGGTCAGGAGTTTGAGACCAGCCTGGCCAACATAGTGAAACCCCATCTCTACTAAAAATACAAAAATTGGCAAGGTGTGATAGCAGGCACCTGTAATCCCAGCTACTCAGGAGGCTGAGGCAGGAGAATTGCTTGAACCTGAGAGGCAAAGTTTGCAGTGAGTTGAGATTGCGCCATTGCACTCCAGCCTGGGTGACAGAGCAAGACTGTGTTTCAAAACAAACAAATAAACAGCAACAACAACAAAAATGATGAAAACTAACATTCCTTAAGGTTTTACCGCATGCCAGATACAGTACCAGCACCAAGCTGGTACTTAGATACATTATCTCAGTTAATTCTTTCAACAGCGCTACAAGTAACAGCTTTAAGAGCTCTGTTACCTTCCTCATTTTACAAATGAAGAAACAGATTCCAAGAGATTCCAAGAGATTAAGTAACTTCCTCAAGATCACGTGGCTCATAAACTGTGGAGCAGATGGTACCCAGGTTTGTCTTTGACTCCAAAGTCGCTGCTCTTAATGATTAAGGCACACAAGGGAATCACAAGCACTCTGATAAAACTCCTGCGAGAGGAGCCCGAACCTGGCTATGCCTTGGTTGGAGCTGAGGCACGGGTACGATGGGACATGGAGACAGGCCACAATCACACATTCCAGTCCCCTCCACAAAACCACAGAGCTTGGATGACATGGACCCAGATTTCCCTGGGACAGAGCTTGAACCCTGTATACTCAGGTTCATCTATACAGAGTCAGGCTGGGAAGGGTAGATTATAGGGAATAACATACGGGCCTAGGGAGGAAAAATACCCACTGTAAGTTAGGAAGGATCCAGGCCTAGGGGACAAGGTGGCTCTTGTTCCTGTGCAAGCCTGTGCCGGACCCACGCCTGGTCCCCTGGAATGCCTGGGTGCTCTCAAGGGGAGGGCTGTATGGTAAAGCAGAAAGAGCCTTCCCACGTGGGCTCACGTGACTTTGCTATAAGCCCTCCATCCTAAGGAAAGAAGAAGCAGGAGTGCTTTCTCAACTGGCAGAGTGGTGACCGAGTGGAGTGTCACATCAACTGGTGTCAATGGCATCACGGGGATAAGATCTGGAGGAGGCAGGTGGCAACGGGGCCTGTGGAGTGGAGTCTTGGTGGAGGGGCTGGGCAGTGAGTGACCGGTGCAATATCAGGCGCTGCCCCAGGACATTGACTTGATGAAAGGCCCAGAGACCTCAGGACTTTGGAGGGCCTGCTCATCAGTAAGGGGCAGAGAGCTCCTCATTAAGTGGACCACAAAGCTTAACGTCCCATTCTGATCCCCTGAGGATTCTGTGATCAAAGCAGTCCCTTCCTGCTGTGACTTTGGTATGAGCATAAAGCCTCAAAGTGTGCAGGGCTGGGGATCGGGGCACCAGCTTCCCAAATACGCCTTTGTGTTTACATACAATCCTATAGGTGCCCCAACAACCTGGCAGGAGAGTCCCTATTCTCTCTAGATTTCAGAAAGACAAATCAAACCATGGGAAATCCATGGCAGGCATGAACAGCTAATTCTAGTTCACCAAATCTGGGCTAACAAGAGCAGATAAAAAGGGTTCAGCATAGGCTGGGCGTGGTGGCTCACGCCTGTAATCCCAGCACTTTGGGAGGCCGAGGCGGGTGGATCACGAGGTCAGGAGTTCGAGACCAGCCTGACCAACATAGTGAAACCCCATCTCTACTAAAAATACAAAAATTAGCTGGGCATGGTGGCGCTTGCCTGTATCCCAGCTACTCGGCAGGCTGAGGCAGGAGAATTGCTTGAACCTGGGAGGCGGAGGTTGCAGTGAGCCGAGATCGCGCCACTGCACTCCAGCCTGGGTGACAGAGTGAGACTCTGTCTCAAAAAAAAAAAAAAAAAAAAAAAAAAAAAACGGTTTAGTGTAATCCCAGCATTTTGGGAGGCCAAAGTAGGAGAATCGCTTGAGCCCAGGAGTTTGAGACCAGCCTGGGCAACATTATGAGACCCCATCCCTACCCAAAACATTTTAAAAATTAGCCCAGTGTTGTGGCACACATCTGTGGTCCCAGCTACTCTGGAGGCTGAGGTGGGAGGATCGCTTGAGCCCAGGAGGTCCAGGCTGCAGTGAGCTGAGATGCCACCATTGCACTCCAGCTGGGGTGACAGAGTGAGACCCCAACTCAACAACAGCAGCAGCAGCAGCAGCAGACCAAAACAGCGGCAAAAAAGGTTGGGGAAATGTGAGCTGGGTTGTGTCCCAGAAGCTCCCACATGGAAACTGGGGTGGGGGAAGGGAACAGAGGTTTCCGCAGGGGGCAGTCAGTGCCCATACTCTAGATGTCATCTTTGGGTGAGCTTGGAACTGGAGCACAATTTTATCTACTTTTTCTTCTTCATTTTGCATATTAAAATCTTTTAATAGGATAAAAAGCAAACATCTTTATTTAATGTGTTCATGTTGCGCTCACAGTGATTACCCTTAAATTTTTTAACATATTCTTTTCAATATGTACATGAAAATGTCACATAGAACAAAATGGAATATAGTGAGAAGTGTGTCTCTCCTGCCCCACAGGCAGCCACTATGAATTGGTAACATCTGCCCAGTGCTTTCCAGCTTAAAGAATGTGTGCTCATAAATTATCTCGTCGGATCCCAGCAACAACTCCCTAAGATATGTTGGCCCTAAATCATTATTGTCTCCACTTACAGATGGGAAATCCAGCTCCAAGAGGTTAAATGATCTGCCCAGAGTTAGGCATCTAAAGAATGGCAGGACCAAGATTTAGACCCTGGTGGTCAGAGCCCAACTTCTGAAGCCTTTGAATTACACCACACTGCCTTCCTTGGCGAACGAGCCCTGGTTCTTAGAACCTGGAATGTGCCATAAATAGTTCGCCTTCTGCAAAGAGAGACTTGCAGTTGGTCAGGAAACAGAAAAATATCTCCTGTCTTGAGTATTTACCTTCCAGAATGGACTGTTCATTCTCTGCTCTGAGACACGTTTACAAGGACACCTCTCTTCTGTGTTTTAGAGCATCGTACCTTTAAAAGTCAGCAGCGGGCAAGCTCTCAGGACAGACTATGTGAAGAGCCTGGTGTTCTAGGGCTGCCATGACAAATTGCCACAAACTGTGGGGCTGAAATAAACAGAAATGTATTCTCTCATGTTCAGGAGGACAGAAGTCCGAAACCAAGGTGTTGGCAGAGTTGGTTCTTTCTGGAAGCTCTGAGGGAGAATCTCGGGCTTCTCTGCTGCCTTATGGTGGTTGCCGGCAACCTGGGTGGTCCTGGGTTTGTAGGGGCATCACTCCAATCTCTGTTTTGGTGGTCGCATGTGGTGTTTTCCCTGTCTGTGTGTCTTTGTTTTCTCTTTTATAAAGTTCCCAGTCATTTGATTTAGGGCCCACCCTCATCTAGGTATGACCTCATTTTAAGTAATTATGTCTGCAGAGACCCTGTTTCCACATAAGGTCACATTCTGAGCTTCTTGTTGAGCTTGAATGTTAAGGAGACACCATTCAACGTAGTCCTCTCTGTTTTTCTGTTTTGTTCAATAAATAGGGAGGGCACTTTTAGAACATTCTGACTCTTCCTTAACCAGCCATGTCCCAACCCAGGAAGTTGATGCCCATCTTACAAGGAGGGCCAGAAAAAGGGAACAAGGCACACAGAGGTATCCTCAGAGCTGATGGATGGCTGCTGGCAGATGCCCAGAAACAGGTGCTGGGCCTGGAGGGTGGAAGTATATACCATGGTAGCTACATGGTTTGGTGTCAAAATACTTGTATTTTAGTGAGCATGAGAATGAGAGTAAGAGTGGGACAGAGAGAAGAGAAAAGGGAGGGAGAAAGATGGCTTATTCACACACAAAAATTTAGTGGTTCAGAATTAATTTAACTTGGAATAAATGATTTTTTTTTCAAAGAAAATTTTAAAGTTGGAGGTATAGAGGAAAACGTGAAAGAATACAGAGATGTACTTTGATCCTAATTGTGAAGTCTAAATAGTTAAAACTAAAATGGAATATAAAGACAAATGAGACGCATCCTATAATTCAACAACAACAACAACAACAAACCCATTAAAACTCATCGGGAGTATGAATGGACAAAATATCAAAAAAATTTTTGTGGGGGAAAAAGAAGGAGGAGGGTAAACTTAAAAAAGCAGTCATCACTATATTTCACTGGGGTAAAGACAAGAAAAGTTGGCCAGGGTAATAGAAGAGACATACTCTACAGAAACAAATTCAAGCTATTTAAAGACTTGATATAAGATGAATAAGCATCAACACAATGCTACAAGAAAGAATCACTGTTTAACAAATATCGTCTAAGTGGGTCATAAAAAGCCAGAGAAAATGGGAAAGCAAATGTGTTTCCACTGTGATGAGAAGAAAACATTTTGACTATTGATGAAATTAGATATCAGAGACAGGATGGACGGATCTAAATGTGTTTTTAAAAGCCTTTTGTGCCACAGAATGTAATAAAGCAAACACAAAAATGAAAGCCACAGATGGGGGAGAAATATATGTGGCAAATTAAGCTTTCTATCCAAAATAGCTAAAGAACAGATCTAACTATAAAAGGCCAGTATCCTGCTCCTTTTTGATAAGTACTCAAAGGAAATGAGCAGAGAGTTTACACACAATACTTCACATAGAAAAATAGGCAGCCCCACCATGTATCTTGAATTTGCAATTTCAGTGAATTTTATAATGTTATAAAAATTAATATAAATGATAAAACAATGTTTGATTGTTCAAATTCCCTGGATGCTAATTTGGCAAAACCTACAAAACAGTTCCTATCCTTTGATTCCATAATCCTAATTCTAAGGAAGTAGCTAAAGAAAACAGTTAGAACAAAGTCATTTCTACAAAGTGTTTGCTGCAGTATTATTCAAATAGAAAAAACAGAAACTAACCACTTGCACAGTGATTTCTAAATCAGTGTTTCTTAAAATGGGGCTGAAGGACTGTCTATATCAGAGAAGAATCGCTGATGGGAGCCTGGGAGTATTCATTTTATCAAGAAGGTCAGTTTATGAAACCACACTAAAGTTCGAGAGCCACTAGACTCTAAGCAAACCACAGACCATGAGAACATTTGGAGGACTAAAGAATGTTTCAGGTAACAGACCTGTTCATGCATAGAGGTGGGAAGAAGGAATAATGATGACAGCAGAGAGAACACCAAACCCTACAGGCAGTGTCTTGGTCCGTGTTTTGTTGCTTATAACAGAATATCTGAAACGGGGTAATTTATAAAGAAAAGGGATTTATTTTGTACTGTTATTGAGTTGAGAAGTCCAAGGTCCAGGGGGTGCATCTGGTGAGGGCCTTCTTGCTGGTGGGAACTCTCTGCAGAGTCCTGAGGTGGTGCAGGGCATCACATGCTGAGGGGGTGAGCATGCTAATGTGCTAGCTCAGGTCTCTCTTCCTCTTCTCTCTCTCTTTTTTTTTTTTTTGAGATGGAGTCTCACTCTGTCACCCAGGCTGGAGTGCAATAGTGCCATTTCGGCTCACTGCAGCCTCCTCCTCCTGGGTTCAAGCAATTCTTCTGCCTCAGCCTCCTAAGTAGCTGGGATTATAGGCACCCGCCACCATGCCTGGCTAATTTTTGCATTTTTAGTAGAGATGGGGTTTCACCAAGTTGGCCAGGCTGGTCTCAAACTCCTGACCTCAGGTGATCCACCTGCCTCAGCATCCCAAAATGCTGGGATTACAAGCCTGAGCCATCACGCCCAGCCTTTTCCTCTTCTTATAAAGCTACCAGCTCCACTCCCATGATAGCCGGTTAGTCCGTTAACCCATTAATCTATGAATGGATTAACCCATTCATGAGGGCAGAGCTCTCATGATCCAATCACCTTTTAAAAGCCCCTCCTCTCAATACTGCCACATTGGGGATTAAGTTTCAACATGAATTTTGGAGGGGACATTCGAACCATAGCAGGCAGCAACAGCCCCTGTCTGAGATGCCCACAGGGCAGTGGCCACAACAGGGTATGGCGGCTAAAGTCATTGGAGTGTTGTAACACTGTGCTTTGTTTAAAAACTCATTATGGTCATACAAGTTTTCTTTTATTTATCAAAGTCCCAGGGAGGTCACTGGAAGCAATAACAGAGCACCTACAAAGAATCTCCAGAACGCTTGCCTCAAGTCATCCTTTTCTGGATGTCACTCCTTCCCTTTCTCTGTCTTGCACTCCCAGTCCCTGGGTGACTAACAGGACCTTTCTGCCTTCAACTCTGCCCAAGGCCTCCCATCCCATAAGCATCACCCCGCTGTGTCCTTGGCCACGTCCATTGGTGGTGCCAGCGGGTGGAGGTGTTGTCCTGTCCTTAGGACAGTTCACTGACCACACATTTTTGCATCAAATAAGGGGGAAAAAGAGCTTAGCAGGCAGTCTACTGGAGACTGCGGATGGTTAAGTATTTGCTTTTGAGGATGGGGAGGCAAGGCAGGTCTGATGGGATGTGTTGCTAAAGCAATTGTGAGCTTCTCTGGCTCCCAGAGGGCTTACTTCCCTTAGGGCTGATTCCCGAGGCACAGAAATGCCACCGTAGCTCTACTTCCCACAGAAGCCTCTTTACTGGAAACTACTGATCCATTCTTGCCTGGAGTCTTGGGGCTTCTTGCCAGTATCTGTGAATGTCACAGGATACTACTGTCCAGCCAAGGTTGGCCAACCTCCTCCAAGAAGCCTGGGCAAATGCCCAGGATGCCAGGCCAGTAGGCGCCTGTGTGGGAGGGGAGAGTTCACTCTATACCATGGAGTAGCTGGGGGATATTGGGGTAGCCAGGCCTAGCCCAGCAACATATCAAGCTTTTATTCGTTGCTTTCTGCAGCCGTAAGGGAGAATACAAAGTCCTCCTTTCAAACTAGCACATCTGTTCCCTGGCCCTGCAATACCAGCTCTCACCCCTTCCTGGCTCTCTCACAGCTGCCCCCTCTAGGTGGTACCCAGTCTTCTGCAGCCTTGCATGGTTCAGCCGAGGGAGCCCCTTTCCATATGGAGACCAGGCAGGGGAGAGTTTCTTCAGGACACCAGAGTGGGCATTAGGGAACTGTTAGTCTGCTCCCAGCCTCCATCTGGCACCCGATAATCTCACTGCCACGCCCAGTCCTTCCACAAGTTCCTCCCATAGGGTCAGAATCCAGCCCAGAGAGCAGGTTCCCAGACCTCTGTGCAGTGAGCTGCCCTCTGGAGGGAGAGAGGAGAGGAGAGAAATGGCAGAGAAGACACCAGGCAGGCCAGGCGCTGTGGCTCACGCTTGTCATCCCAGCACTTTGGGAGGCTGAGATGGGAGGATCACATGAGCCCAGGAATTTGAGACCAGCCTAGGCAACAGAGTGAGACCCCATCTCTACAAAAAATTAAAAATATTAGCCAGGCTTGGTGGCACACACCTGTAGTCCCAGCTACATGGGAGGTTGAGGTGGGAGAATCACTTGAACCCAGAGGCCAAGGCTGCAGCGAGCCATGATTGCACCACTGCACTCCAGCCTAGGTGATGCAGCCAGACCCTGTCTCAAAAAAACAAACAAACAACAACAATAAAAAGGCACCTGGCAGATGGCTGGCATCCTGTTGTGACTTATATAATAGACCTTTCTTTCATCTTTAATCCCAAAGTACTTCTTGAGTGCCTACCTATGTGTGAAATGCTGTGCTGGGAAGCTACAATCATGAACAGACAGACATGATCCTGCCTTCGTGGAACTTGCAGTCCATGGTGGGGAGGCAAAAAATAAACAAGTGAGCAAAGTCACAAAATGATGTGAAATTGTAGTGAGTACGCAGAAGGAAATACACAGGTACAGCGATGGGAAATAAGTGGGCTTCTGCTTCAGATAAGATGGTCAGGGAAGGCTGAGCTGAGCCTGGTTGGAGGGGTGGGCAGCGGCCAGATTAGGCAGACCAAGTTAGGAGATTTCCATTTTTGTCTGAGTCTAATGGGAAGTGATTGGAGGGCTCTAAGCAAGTGACACGGTCTGATTTCAATGTCCAAACCTCACGGCGGCTGTACGTCTGAGAATAGGCTGTGCGGGCAGCCGTGGGAGGAAGGAGAGCAGACAGGAGCCTCTCTAGCATCCAGGGGGAAGAGGATGCTGGCTGGGACTTGCTGGAGGAGGGGGGAGAGAGAGGTGGGAGGAAATGAGATGTATTTGGGAGGTTGTACCTAGAGGACTTACTGATGGGCTGGAGTGAGGAAGAGGAAACAGGCCTGAATCCCAGATTTCTAGCTTGAGCAACCCAAAGACGGGTGGTACCATTTACCACGGTGGAGGAGACTGGTGGGAGGCAGGTGGACAAAGAAGGGGGGTTGGGAGGAGGTTTTGCTGGTCTTTAGGCTTGTCCTGATTCCAAAGTCAAGAAAGTCATTATTTATGTGCCTTTCCTATCAGCCTATTAGACCTCATTTTTATATGTGGTTAAACTGTGGTTGAGCCCACTGAGTCAAGAGGGCTGAGAGATAGTACCAAGGAGCCAGTTTGGTATTTGGGGCGGTCTGCTCCTGGGACAAAGGGCTCCCAGTCTAGTGTCCGTGCTCCCCAGCTGTCACCCCCCTCCCAATCATCTCCCCAAGGTCCTTCAAGCCATGTTGGCAAAGCTCCCAGGACAGTATGCTCTGGCCCCAAGATGTTTTGTCTCATCCCTAATCTCCCCTGAGCCTCCCTCCTTTTCTCAAAATGTCTTTTCCAGTGCCCTGGCTTGGGTCAGTGTCTAGAAGGTGGGGTGATCAGGGGCTGGACCAGGAACCTGGCAAGCAGGGAGATTTGAGCCTGATGCTGGTTTCAGCTCCCAGCTGGTGTGGGCTTCTCAGTTCCCTTCTCTGAGAATTGTAGATTTCTGACTGCAAAATGGGACACAATCCTTCCTTTCTTTATGGGGTTAGAGGTAGGAGCTTTGGAGTCAGGAAGATCTCAGTTCAAATCCTAGCCAGCTATGTGACCTTGGGCAGGTCACCTCTCTAAACTACAGTTATATCACCTGTGAAACAGGAATAATAACCCCCTTCCTAGAGGACTCTGGTGAGTATAAAGCAAGATTATGGCTGGGTGCGGTGGCTCACGCCTGTAATCCCAGCACTTTGGGAGGTCGAGGTGGGTGGATCACTTGAAGTCAGGAGTTCGAGACCAGTCTGGCCAACATGGCGAAACCCCATCTCTACTAAAAATTAAAAAAGTAGCCAGGCGTGGTAGCATACACCTGTAATCTCAGCTACTCGGGAGGCTGAGGCAGGAGAATTGCTTGAACCCAGGGAGCGGAGGTTACAGTGAGCTGAGATGGTGCCACTGCACTCTAGCCTAGGCAACAGAGTGAGACTCCGTCTCAAAAAAAAAAAAAAAAAAAAAAGCTAGATTATGAAGTTTTGGATTCTCACACCCAGAGGGTCAAGATACACGGCAGCTAGTGCTACTGTTCTTGCACATATAAGGAGACCATCCATCCATGAGGGCACAGGCAACAGGCATCAGTTCCTAAAGCAAGTGGGAAATGATAGGATGTGGGACCATGAGCCTTAGTCTACATGTCACAAGCCAGCACACACACAGACTTCAGGCTGGCCTCTGCAGAGCTAGGAAAGTCCAAAGCACACTGGATATTGTTTTGTGACTTCATTATTTTGTCTCTGTGCCTCAGTGTCCCCGTCTGTGAAATGGGGATAATGCTTGTGCCTAGCTCATAGGTTGTTGTGAAGCTTCAGTGAGCTAGCTTTTTAATTGCTAAATATGTAAGGTGTTTAGAATAGTATCAGGAATGGGCTCATTTTCCTCTTGTAGTAGTTGTAGGTTTTCATCAGTATGTGTCCTCTAGAAGGAAGATTTTCTTTAGTGCAGTAGACACTTCTCTTCTCTCAGCTGCAGAAGGAGGGAAGAATGGATAAGCACTGGGCTAATGACAATTTACAGACTGACAATTTGGGGAAAAGGTGCAAGGTTGAAAGATTCATCCTAGCATATTAGAGCTTGAAAATGGACCTAAGAGTTCCATGAAATTCAATAGTTTCTTTCTTTCTTTCTTTCTTTCTTTCTTTCTTTCTTTCTTTCTTTCTTTCTTTCTTTCTTCTTTCTTTTTTGCATCAGAATTACTCACAAAAGTTTCAATAGTTTCTAAACTCCAGACCTCAGAGCAGTACCTGTCTACAGTGATGTTTTCTCCAGTTTAGCGCAATATAGAAAAACAACATACACAATGCAGTAGATTTTTCTTAAATCCAAATTTGTTCCATTTTGAGATTTTGAGGTTTTGTTCTTTATGCTTTTAGTGTTAAAATGTCCTTTCTTCTCTTCTCTTCTCTCTTTTCTTTTTTCTTTTCTTTTGTTTTGAAACAGCGTCTCACTCTGTCCACCCAGGCTGGGGTGCAGTGGCGTGATCTCGGCTTGCTGCAGCCTCAACTTCCTAGGCTCAACCTATCCTCCTACCTCAGCCTCCTGAGTAGCTGGGACCACAGGTGTGTGCCAGCCCCAGCTAATTTTCGTATTTTTGGTAGAGACAGGGTTTCACCATGTTGGCCAGGCTGGTCTTGAACTCCTGGCCTCAAGTGATCCACCTGCCTCAGCCTCCCAAAGTGCTGGGATTACAGGCGTGAGTTACCACTCCCAGCCTTAGCTGGGTAATTATGAGAAGCATCTGCATTTTCTTTATTGTGTTGGTGATGATCTGCACATACCCAAAGAACTAAAAATAAATGGCAGGAAGTCTGACTTCTTTGAAGCTGGGTAAATATTTATTTTCCCAAAGATCGAACCTCCTTGATACGGATGTAAAGTTACATGAAATGTGCCTTAGGTCTGCAGACTGTGGTCTATGGCTCGAATATACAGGTGGTCAGGATTTACACTGAAACTGTTAGCTGTAAAATTACTGTCTCCCCCACCGAAAAAAAAATTTCTGCCCCACTCACCTTGATCCACTGCTGGATCATGGCCAGGGCATAAAAGCCACTCCGGACTGGGCGCGTGGCTCACACCTGTAATCCCGGCACCCGAGGTGGCCAGATCACTTGAAGCCAGGAGTTTGAGACCAGCCTGGCCAACAGGGTGAAAACCCATCTCTACTGAAAATACAAAAATCAGCTGGGCATGGTTGTGCATGTCTGTAGTCTCAGCTACTTGGGTGGCTGAGGCACGAGAATCACTTAAACCTGGGAGCCAAAGGTTGCAGTGAGCTGAGATCGTGCCACTGCCTGGGCGACAAAGTGGTTTTTCCTGTCTCAGAGTGAAAAAAAAAAAGAGACACTCCCAGTTTGCCCTGATGCTGCCCTGATTCTATTTCACCTCCAGCCTTGACACACTGAGCAAATGGGCTCCCTTCCCTAAGGCCTACTTCCTCCATCTGGCAAATGGGCAGGAGCAAGAGAAGGCAGGGAAAGAAGGCTAAATATTGATCCTAACTCTTGTAGTGTCATTAATCCCTGACAAAGGGCCTCAGAGCTCGGCTTGTCTCTAAGCCCACTTTTCTCCAATCAGAGGGCCAATATTCCAGGAATAGTCAAGCCATGGGATAAAAACGGAGCATCAACTTTTCCTTAAATCTTTTGGGGAGAAATATGAATATACTATGGAGTAGAATGCAACATTTAGATGAACGTTTTTAAAAGAAAAATTCAACTGAAAAGAGATTTCCCAGCTGTGGCTGCTGCTGTAGATCAAGCTAACCAACTTGGGGTCCAAGTTCGTGCTTCTCTGGCTTAGAGGATGCTCTGATCCTCCAGGTCCTGTGAGGCAAATGTCATTTCCTGGGGGCTCAGCATAGGCCAGAGACATTTGGTCAGGAATGAAGATGATTTGTGACAGACAGCAGAGGTAAATTCAGTCCTCCAAGGCCCTGGCAGTCTTCCTTAATGCACCAGGCACTGGTCTCCAAGCTCAAGACCTTTTGCAGTGAGCCCAGTGAACCACTGTGTGGGCAGTCACTTACAAAGGGGAACTCCAAGAAAAGGACCCTATGTCAGCTACTCCCTCAAACTCAGGCCGACTTCTCCAATGGGCTCAGTAGACACAGGGCCCTGTGGTGGTTAATTTTATGTGTCAACTTGACCTCCCAGGTGCTTGGCTCAACATTATTTGGGGTATCCCGTGAGGGTGTTTCTGGCTGGGATTACTATTTGAATCAATAGACTGAGTGAAGCAGACTGCCCTCTCCATGGTGGGCGGGCCTCATCCAATCTGTTGGAGGTGAGGCCTGAATAGAACCGAAAAAGTGGAGTAAGGGAAAAATCAGGCTCTCTCTACCTGACTGTCCTTTGAGCGGGACGTCAGCCTTCTCCTGCCTTCGTTCTCGGACTGGAACTCACAGCACTGGCTCTCCTGAGTCTCCAGCTTGCCAAGTGCGGATCATGGGACTTCTCAGCCTTCAGATACATATGGGGCTGAGACAGTCCCATGATCTGCAGTTGGCTATAAATATCTATCTCCTTCCTATTGGTTCTGTCTCTCTGGAAATTCCAGACTAATATAGGCCCTCTACTTTTAGGGGACCACGAAAATGTTTTAATTTTAATTTCTTTTAAAATTAGAAGAAGATGACTATAATAGTAATGAATACATACAAATGAATCAAGTTTGGATTCAATTTGTCTTTATGCCAATGTAGTCACAAAATATAATTTTTAATATATTTTTATGGAAGAATGGGCCCACAGAGGCATAAGTGCCTAAGCGCCATGAAAGCCATGATGTGGCCCTGCTGACACTCTGCAGCACCCCATCCTTGAGGGTTAGGAGGTCAACCCACTGAACCAAGGGGTACACATTGCTTCCTTGCACCTGGGAGCCTACGTGCACCCGTTGGTTCAGTGGGTTGGCCAGAATGGTGTTTCTACTGCCTTCCACTGACCTTGAAGAAGAGGTTATTTTTGGAGCTATTGTCTTGAGTTTTATCTATTAATAGAAAAATTGTGTGTGTGTGTACTTCTACCTAGCGGTCCAGAAGGCAGAGTGAACGAGAAGCAGGCCTAAGATAAGGAACAGCTTCTCCTTCCAAAGAAGGTGACTACCAAGGAGCACTCGTCCCTGCCTCCACAACCAGTTTTCCTCTGTGTCCTGTCCTGGTTCTTGTCTAATTAGGTTGACCTCTCTCTCCTGTAGACCAGGACCAAGCATTCAGTGAGCATACATGACGTGTCAGATACTGTTCAGGGACAGCAAAGGTAAACAACAGGACACCTGCAGCCTTCAGAGGCAAACAGCCTTGTAAACAAGCAGTCAGAGCTGAGTACAAGTGCTGTGGGAAGACACAGCTTAATTCTGCCTGGATACCCTGTGAAGGGTGTGGAAGGACGAACATGTGACCTTAGGGAAAACAGGCAGGTGTATCCTTCCAGCCTCCCAAAGGGAAGATTTTGTTGTGTGTGAGGAATGTCAGAAATGTAATAAAGCCAACGACGTTATATTAAATGAGTTCTGGGCTGGGTGAGGTGGCTCATCCCTGTAATCCCAGCAGTTTGGGAGGCTGAGGCAGGAGGATTGCTTGAGCCCAAGGGCTCAAGACCAGTCTGGGCAACAATGGTAAAACCCTGTCTCTGCAAAAAATACAGAAATGATCCAGGCATGGTGGCACATGCCTGTAGTCCCAGCTACTTGGGAGGCTGAGGTGGGAGGATTGCTTGAGCCCAGGAGGCAGAGGATACACTGAGCTATGACTGCGCCACTGCACTCCAGCCTGGGCAACAGAGCCAGACTCTGTCTCAAAAGAAAGAAAGAAAAAAAAAATGAGTTCTGTACATTGTGACCCCCAAATTACAAATCTATTTGTTTTATGACTGCATAAGACTTTTCTTCCAGCTAAGAAGTAGAAACAAGTGTAAATTAAGAGTGCCATGTTGCAGAACACCTACCACTACCACAAAGTATGTTTGCCCCACAACCTTTTTAATCACCTGCAATTTTGACAGGAAAAGAAAGGAAAGAAGGCATTTCAAGCCGATGGCAAGGCACAAAGGGTAGGAGGGCCAGTGTTCTGGGAATGACAGGTAGTCCTGTACAGTCAGAAGGAGGGATGCATTCCAAAGTACAGTGGAGGGACAGGCATAGGATAGACATTTAGGAAAAAAAAAAAGAAAGAAAGAAAAGAGAAATAAAAATGTAGGTACCAGACACAGTGGTGCACACCTCCAGTCCCAGGTACTCAGGAGGCTGAGATGGGAGGATTTCTGGAGGCCAGGGGTTCAAGGCTATGATCATGCCTGTGAATAGCCACTGCACTCCAGCCTGGGCAACATAGTGAGATAACATCTCTAAAAAATAAAAAGAAAAAAATAGATGCAGGAATGGCATGTCCCCAGTTAAGCCTCTCGTCCTGGATGGGATGAGGAAACAGGTACAGAGAAATGTGAAAGGAAAATAAATCTTGGGGCCCCTAAATCACTAAGCTAAAGGGAAAAGTCAAGCTGGGAACTGCTCAGGGCAAATCCCCCTCCCATTCTATTCAGAGTCACCCCTCTGCTCACTGAGATAAGTGTATATCTGATTGCCTTCTTTGGAGAGGCTAATCAGAAACTCAAAACAATGCAACCATTTGTCTCTTATCCACCTATGATCTGGAAGCCCACTCCCCACTTCCCCTTCATCTTGAGTTGTCCCAGCTTTCCGGACTGAAATAATGTACATCTTACACATATGTATTGATGTCTTATGTCTCCCTAAAATGTATAAAACCAAGCTGTGCCCCGACCACCTTGAGCATATGTTGTCAGGACCTCCTGAGGCTGTGTCATGGGCATGCATCCTCAACTTTTTGCTAAGGTTTATTGGCAAAATAAACTTTCTAAATTAACTGAGACCTGCTCAGATTTTTGGAGTTCACAGAAAGGAGCATTCTTGCTTTTCAGTGGAGGAGAGTGGCCCCTTTCTGGTAAGTGTGATGAAGTATGCATTCAGAGCATGTTTTTCAGCCTCTGAGCTATAATCATCCCAGCCAATTTAGGAACCATATAGTATGATAGAGGAAAAATATATGTTGGGACTTTGTTCTTGACTTCTGACTCAGAGCTCATAAGACCCTTGGAATTTCCTGAGTGATAGGAATGTCTTTTGTTATTCATAATAAGGCCCTTCCTTACACACCTGAGTTTATGCTAATGAGGTAACTCAGGATAGAACCCCTAGATAGCATCAAGATGGGGGCTGGCCACCAGAAAGACCAAATACGTGATTAGAAGGTGGGAACTTTCAGTCCTCTGTCCTGACCTCCAGGGAGGGAAGCCGGGCTAGAGACTGAATTACACAAACTCTTTTTTGTGTGTGTGTGACAGAGTATCGCTCTGTCACCCAGGTTGGAGTGCAGTGGCAAAATCTTGGCTCACTGCAACCTCTGCCTCCTGGGTTCAAGTGATTCTCCTGCCTCAGCCTCCTGAGTAGCTGGGACTACAGGCAGGTGCCACCACGCCTGGCTAATGTGTGTATTTTTAGTAGAGATGGGGATTCCACCATGTTGGCCAAGTTTCTCTCGAACTCCTGACCTCAAGTGATCTGCCCGCCTCGGCCTCCCAAAGTGCTGGGATTACAGGCATGAGCTACCATGCCTGGCCAAGTTACACAAATTCTTGAACAATGAGTTTCCAAGAACCTCTGGGTTGCTGAACGCATGTCTTGCCCTTGGCATCCCTCCTTGGCTGTCCTGACTTGTATCCTCTATAATGAAGCAGTGATCATAAGTAGAGCAATTTCTTGAGTTGTCTTCTACAAATTATCAAACCTGACAAGAGGGTCGTGGGAACACCTAAATTTGTAGTCAGCCAGGCAAAAGTGTGGGTGTCCTGGGGACCCATTACAGCTGGCATCTGAAGTGGTGGTAGTCTTGTGGGACTGAGCCCTTAACTTGTGGAATCTGATACTAACTCCAGGTAGATAGTGTCAGAATGGAACTGAACTGGGGGACACCCAGTTCGTGTTGGAGAATTGGAGAATTGATGTGGAAAACTGACACATATTTGGTGTCAGTAAAAAAGCACACATTTGGTTCAGAAGCGGTATTAGGAAAAAACATGCAGAGAGAAATGATAATTCCCAAGAAACAGCCTCAACCTGGTTTAAGAGAGGCAATTCTTTTTTTTTTTTTTTTTTTTTTTTTGAGATAGGGTCTTGCTCTGTCACCCAGGCTGGAGTGCAGTGACATGATCATAGCTCACTGCAGCCTTGACTTCCAGGCTCAAATGATCCTCCCACCTCAGTCCTCCTAAGTAGCTGGTACTACAGATGAGTGCCACTACACCTGGCTAATTTTTGTATTTTTTTTGTAGAGATGGGATTTTGCCATGTTGCCCAGACTGGTCTTGAACTCCTGAACTCAAGTGATCCATCGTCCTTGGCCTCCCAAGGTGCTGGCATTAGAGGCATGAGCCTCCCTGCTCAGCCTAAGGGAGGCAATTCACACAGCAGCTCATGTACTTCACAGTTTGCTTGTGGCTAATGTCAAGTCCTTTGTCTTTGGAGTCTAGCCTGTAAGAAACAGTTCAAAAAATAGGGCTTCCCAGGAAAACCAGATCTTTTGTTCATTTTAATGGCAAGATGGGAGGCCCAGATAGAGGGTCTGGAATATACAAACTCTCCCAGCTCTCATGGGAGGCAGATCCTCTGGGAGGATGTGAAAAAGAAGAGGCAGGACCAGTTTTAGCTTGGCTTTTTCCCTGATGCACTCGGCGCCTTTGGGCAAATTGCTCCCCTCTTGGGCTTCAGTTTTCTCATCTGTAAAAT
The DNA here is from genome assembly GCF_000001405.40 of Homo sapiens. NCBI lineage: Eukaryota > Metazoa > Chordata > Mammalia > Primates > Hominidae > Homo > Homo sapiens. The sequence goes on from NC_000014.9 coordinate 67,446,226, forward strand.
AAACAGTACCAGACTTGATGATTGCTTAGGTCCACCTGCCCCAAGAGCAGAATTCCATGGCTCTAAACTCAAGAAGAGTGCCCCCAGAGATTGTTAGGAGATCAGTAAATAGCTGGACACAAAGTTCATCTCATTGAATAACTATGAGTGTTGAATAAAGGAATATTTCAGGGAAGCCAACAGCCTCCAAATTACTCCTGCCCTGCCCCTGAGCCAGATGCATTCCATGAAACCAAAATCAGAGAAACAGAGTGATGAGGTGCTGACCTCCGGGTCAGCAGAGGCTGTGCTCCTGGTAGTTAGAAGGGTGTCCTGCCAAGCACGCCAGCCACTGCAGTCCTGGCTTCTCCCCAGAATGTCCTTTCCCAGGAGGGGCAGCACAGTCACCACCTACCCTTCTGATGAGCCATTAGGACACTGAAGCCCATTCAACGTGACATGGCGCAGAGCAGGGAGGGAGAGCCACTATGCTGGGTGACAGAATCAGGATTCAAAAATATGCCGCTGACTTGAAAGGTGGGCTGAAGCTAACAGGGTTATATTTAATAGGGAGAAATGAGGATCCTAAGCTCAGATCCAAAAAGATCAACTAGACCAGGGGTTGGCGAACTACCAGCTGCAGCCTGCTGCCTGTCTTTGTAAAAGAAAGTTTTTTTTTTTGGATCACAGCCACGTCCATTTGTTTGTAGGCTCTCTATGGCTGCTTTTACGCTGCAGTGGCAGGGTTGGGTAGTCACACAGGGACTACAGAGCCTAAAATATTTACTGCCTGGCTGGCCCCTAAATTAGATAAGGAAGTCCATATGGGGAGTGTCTTAGTCTGTTTACACTGCTTTAATGAAATACCACAAACTAGGTGGTTTATAAACAACAGAAATTTATTTCTCACAGTTCTGGAGACTGAGAAGGACAAGATTGAGGTATCGGCAGGTTCAGTGTCTGGCAAGGGCTCACTTCCTGGTTCAAAGATAGCACCTTCTGCTGTGTCCTTACATGGTGAGATGAGGGGATCTCTCTCAGGCCTAATTCACAAGGGCACTAATCTCATTCTCAAATATTCCACCCTCATGACCTAATCACCTCCCCAAGCCCCACTTCCTAATACCATCAGCTTGGAGGTTAAAGTTTAAACATAAATTTGGGGGGAACACAAACATTCACACTATAGCAGGAAGATTTGAATTTAAAGCAATTCAAGTGAAAAAGATAAAGAAAAAAAGAAGATGAAAGATTATTATTTAGCTTGCATTAATAGCATTATGATAGTAAGACAAAGACTGTGTTAGATAGGTAGGTCTCTTTTAGATGTAGGTGATGAAAAGTAATAGAAAACTAGCTCAGCACAGGAGGGATATATTGGGAGGGTGACCAGGAGAAGGCAGATGAGCCTCAGGACCACTTCTCCTATAGCCACTTCTCGCTTGGTACAGACCGGCTTCTGTGAGTGGCAAAAAAATGGCTATGGCAAGGTTCTCGTCACTAGTTTGCTCCTTTTCACCAATCTTGGTCTTTTCTATTTTTTCTCAGCACATGGAAAGATGATATGTCCTAGCCTGCCCTACAGTTAAGTGAGGCTATGGATTGAAATCTGGCGAATGTGGGTGGAAGTGAGCTGCATCACTTTCAGACAGTGGCCATTAGAGCTGGGGAGGCTTCTTCATGCCCTCGCCCACCCCTTCATTCCTTCCACTCTCTACCTTGCATCTGGAAGTGAAAGAGTAAGATGACAAAGCTTCAGAATAGCAGGATCTTAGATCCCTGAATCACCACTTGGGGGAGAGCTTCCCAGGAAACCTGCCGAACCCCATCAAATTTTGCATGAGAAAGAAATACGTTTTTATTGGATTAAGCCACTAACATTTCAGGTTTGATTCATTTCTTACCATAGCCCATTCTTTTTTTTTTTTTTTTTTTTTTTTTTTTTTTTTTTTGAGACGGAGTCTTGCTCTGTCACCCAGGCTGGAGTGCAATACTGCAATCTCGGCTCACTGCAACCTCCACCTCCCAGGTTCAAGCGATTCTCCTGCCTCAGCCTCCTGAGTAGCTGGGATTACAGGTGTGTGCCACCATGCCTGGCTAATTTTTTTTGTATTTTTAGTAGAGACAGGGTTTCACCATGTTAATCAGGATGGATATCATAGCCCATTCTATATTGATCAATGTAGCTACCAATTGCTGTTGAATTGTATATTTTACCATTTCAGTCACCAGAGAGGTATTCAAAAACAAACATCCCTATAAATGAATTGATTGGAGCAGCTTAAATTTGGTGCCAACCTCTTAGCCAACCAGCTGGCCTTGGGAACAGAATCATAGGTGAGTGTGGCAGCCCCTACAAGGACTGCATGGGTGAAGTTTGGGGAAGGGGGATGGTTTGCAGTTTCCAGAAGGAAGCCTGGAGGGATGGTGGGGGGCTGTGGAGGGGAGAGAGAGCAAAGGGAGACTACAGACAATAATGCTGCCCTACTGATCACAAACACTTCAGTGTCACGCTCTCAGCATAGTATTTTAAATGGAATCCTGAGTCAGGATTCCTGACAAATCCATTAGAACAGACTGGAAACAGAGGGAGTAGGGCAATGAGGAAAAGGCCTTAAGAAGCCTTAAAGAACCTTGACCTAAGAGGTAGAATTGGAGGAAGTGGGGCTATTTAATCTTGAAAATAGAAGACTTGGCAGGAACACAGTGATTCTCTTCATGGCTGTGAAAGACCATCCCATGAGGGGAATACTGTGACACTCCAAAGGGCCAAACTAGGCGTGGAAGGTGTCACGACAGAAAAGTCAGATTGTAGCCCAACTTCAGGAGGAGCTTCTGTCCATGATAGCCAACCAGGAAGGGCCCAGACCCTTTTAGGAAGGGAGAAGCTGGCATCATGAGGACACACCAGCCAATTCTGCTCAGACTGCTGAAGATGGGATTCCTGCATTTTTGGACTGCTTGTTCTATCTGCACATTCCTCTCCAATACTAAGAGTCTGAAAATTAACTTAAATTGGTCATTCAGTCTGGCCAAGAGGATCCAGGAGGTGCTAACTGCAGCCGAGGCCAAATGAGCTCTACTGTGAAGGAGGATAGAGGCTGCATTGGATATGATCCACTTGTCCAGAAGCCAGCCTCTGCCCTCTCAGAGCCCAGAAGCTTTAGAAGAGGGTTGTGGTAGGCACTCGGGAGGGCCTGGGAAAGATGCTCTTTCATGGCACTCTTGTCACTGATCCTTGAACCCAAGGCTAGAAGGCAGGGTGTGGGGAAGTGGGGTGGCAAGGAGGAGGGAGTCTCCTGACAATGGTCCCCTGTATCTTGTAGGCTGACAGGCAGGGACAACACACACTCAGAAACAATGCAGAGGCTCAGATAGTGCTATGTGGTATAGCATCAAGGCCTTCTCCCATCATTTGCCAGTTGAGGCCTAATATGGTTTGGCTCTGTGTTCCCACCCAAATCTCATCTTGTAGCTCCCATAATTCCCATGTATTGTGGGAGGAACCCAGTGGGAGATGACTGAATCATGGGGGTGGGTATTTCTCGTGCTGTTCTTGTGATAGTGAATGGGTCTCACGAGATCTGATGGTTTTAAAAAATAGGAGTTTTGGCCCAGTGCGGTGGCTCATGCCTGTAATCCCAGCACTTTGGGAGGCAGGCAGATCACCTGATTTCAGGGGTTTGAGACCAGCCTGACCAATATGGAGAAACCCCTTGTGGAGGCACATACCTGTAATCTCAGCTACTTGGGAGGCTGAGGCAGGAGAATTGCTTGAACCCGGGAGGCAGAGGTTGCAGTGAGCTGAGATCGTGCCATTGCACTCCAGCCTGGGCAACAAGAGCAAAAACTCTGTCTCAAACAAACAAACAAACAAACAAAACGGGAGATGTTCTGCACAATCTCTTTTTTTTTTTTTGCCTGCTGCCGTCCATGTAAGATGTGACTTGCTTCTCCTTGCCTTCCGCCATGATTGTGAGGCGTTCCCAGCCATATGGAACTGTAAGTCATTAAACCTCTTTCTTTTGTAAATTGCCCAGTCTCAGGTATGTCTTTATCAGCAGCATGAAAATGGACTAAATACAGTAAATTGGTACCAGTAGAGTGGGGCACTGCTGAAAAGATACCCAAAAATGTGGAAGTGACTTTGGAACTGGGTAACAGGCAGAGGTTGGAACAGTCTGGAGGGCTCAGAAGAAGACAGAAAAATGAGGGAAAGTTTGGAACTTCCTAGAGACTTGTTGAATGGCTTTGCCTAAAATGATGATAGTGATATGGACAATAAAGTCAGGCTGAGGTGGTCTCAGATGGAAATGAGGAACTTGTTGGGAATTGGAACAAATGTGACTCTTCTTACGTCTTAGTAAAGAGAATGGTGGCATTTTGCCCCTGCCCTAGAGATTTGTGGAACTTTGAACTTGAGAGAGTTGATTTAGGACATCTGGTGGAAGAAACTTCTAAGTAGCAAAGCATTTAAGAGGTGACTTGAGTGCTGTTAAAGGCATTCAGTTTTATAAGGGAAGCAGAGCATAAAAGTTCAGAAAATTTGCAGACTGACAATGCGATAGAAAAGAAAATCCCATTCTCTGAGGAGAAATTCAAGCTGGCTGCAGAAATTTGCATAAGTAACGAGGAGTTGAATGTTAATCCCCAAGACAATGGGGAAAATGTCTCCAGGGCATGTCAGAGGTCTTCATGGCAGCCCCTCCCATCACAGGCCCAGAGGCCTAGGAGGAAAAAGTGGTTTTGTGAGCCAGGCCTAGGGTCCCCCGTGCTGTGTGCAGCCTAGGGACTTGGTGCCTTATGTCCCAGCTGTTCTAGCCATGGCTGAAAGGGGCCAACATAGAGCTCAGGCTGTGGCTTCAGAGGGTGCAAGTCTCAAGCCTTGGCAGCTTCCACATGGTGTTGAGCCTGTGAGTGCACAGAAGTCAAGAACTGGGGTTTGGGACCCTCCTCCTAGATTTCAGAAAATGTAGGGAAATGCCTGGATGCACAGAAAGAAGTTTTCTGCAGGGGCGGGGCCCTCATGGAGAACCTCTGCTAGGGCATTGTGGAAGGGAAATGTGGAGTCAGAGCCTCCACAGAGAGTCCCTACTGGGGTATCTCCTAGTGGAGCTGTGAGAAGAGGGCCACCATCCTCCAGGCCCCAGAATGGTAGATCCAACAGCAGCTTGCACCCGTCACCTGGAAAAGCCACAGACACTCAATGCCAGTCTGTGAAAGCAGCCAGGAGAAGGGCTATACATGCAAAGCCACAAGGGCAGAGCTGCTCAAGACCATGGGAACCTTCCTCTTGCATCAGTGTGATCTGGATGTGAGACATGGAATCAAAAGAGATCATTTTGGAGCTTTAAGCTTTGACTGCCCCACTGGATTTCAGACTTGCATGGGGCCTGTAGCCCTTTTGTTTTGGCCAATTTCTCCCATTTGGAATGGCTGTATTTACCCAATGCCTGTACCCCCATTGTATCTAGGAAGTAACTTACTTGCTTTTGATTTTACAGGCTCATAGATAGAAGGGGCTTGCCTTGTCTTGGATGAGACTTTGGACTGTGGACTTTTGAGCTAATGCTGAAATGAGTTAGGACTTTGAGGGACTGTTGGGACGGCATGATTGATTTTGAAATGCGAAGATAGGAGATTCGGGAGGGGCCAGGGGTGGAATGATATGGTTTGGCTCTGTGTCTCCACCCAATTCTCATCTTGTAGCTCCCATAATTCCCGTGTGTTGTGGGAGGAACCTGGTGAGAGATGATTGAATCATCAGGGTGGGTCTTTCCCATGCTGTTCTCATGATAGAGAATGGGTCTCATGAGATCTGATGGTTTTAAGAAACGGGAGTTTCGGCTGGGCATGGTGGCTCCTGCCTGTAATCCCAGCACTTTGGGAGGCTGAGGTGGGTGGATCACCTGAGGTCAGGAGTTTGAGACCAGCCTGGCCAACATGGTGAAACCCTGTTTCTACTAAAAATATAAAAATTAGCCGGGTGTGATGGTGCACACCAGCTACTTGGGAAGCTGAGGCAAGAGAATCATTTGAACCCGGAAGGCAGAGGTTGTAGTGAGCTGAGATCACACCACTGCACTCCAGCCTGCTGGGTGACAGAGTGAGACTCTGTCTCAAAAAAAAAAAAAAAAAGAAATGAGAGTTTCTCTGTACAAGGTTTTTTTTTGCTTGTCACCATCCATGTAAGTTGTGACTTGCTTCTCCTTGCCTTCTGTCATGATTGTGAGGCATTCCCAGCCATATGGAACTGTAAGTCATTAAACCTCTTTCTTTTGTAAATTGCCCAGTCTCCGCTATGTCTTTATCAGCAGCATGAAAATGCACCAATACAAGGTCCAAGTGGCCCTGTGCCTTAACTTACTGGCAGGACTAGGATCAGAACTCTCCTCTTCCAGGTTTTATAGGAAGCAGGGCAGTGTGGGGTAGTGGTTAGGAGCAAAGAGGAGAGCCAGGCCATCTAGGTTTGAATCTTGACTCTTGTTACTTATCATCTGTGTGACCTGGAGCAAGTTAATTTCTCTCTCTGTGCCCAGTTTCTCGATTATAAGACATGTCTAGAGACAGCATCTACCTCAGAGACCTGTTTTAAGTATTGGAATGGTTACTATTTCCAGGGCTCAGATATGGTAAGTATTTGCCCAAGATCACATAGACAGGAAGAGGCAGATCCAGAAATGGAACCCAAATCTGCTGGATCCTGAAACCTGAGCTTTTTCTCCCTCCAACCCTAGCCATGCTACCTTCCTCAGCCCACACAAGGAAATTTTTTCTGCTACTGTCTAGGGCATGGGGGTCTCCCTTGGTCAAGCCTGTGTGTGCTAGACACTTGAGAATTTTCTGTCTTCACACATGGGGAAATGGAGGCACAGTACTGTCACAGTGACATGTCGCCCCAGGAAGGGGTACTGAGTAGCTGAGCCTGTGCCAGATGTCTTTTGGGTCAAGCACTTGAGATGAAAGTAACCAAATAGTATGCTCAAATGCTGCTCCAATTATCCCCCGGGGGGTCAGCTTGGGCCTAGGGCTCTGTCAAGGAGGCTGGGTTGACTAGTCAAAGTGCCCCTCTTCCTGGCTTCAGAGGCATCCTGAGCCTGCCAGCCATTGTGCAAAGGAAGGCCCTGAGGGAAGGAGCAGGAGAGCCTGGGTGAAGGAGAGCCAGGAAAAGTATCCTGCCCTCCCAGCTGAGACAGAGGGCCTGCCTGGGGCTCCCTGTCCTGCACACACCTCCCATCAGCCTGCTCAGGTACCCGGGATGCTGACATGCTGAATCCTTGAACAACCTTTCCTTAGGTCTGGCTGTCGCCTTCCTGCCCATCAGGGATGTATAAATAGATTTTAGCTGCACCTATTTTTGCCCCCAAAAGATGCTGATGGCCTGAGCTGTTCCTAATCTCATGCCAGGTCAGGATGGTGTCCCTGTCTCAGAAACTATGGTGGGTTAGAGGTTCAGAGCTGGGATGAGAAGCAGCGGGTGGAGAGGGGGCGGCTGAGTCAGAAATGTGCATGTAGGGCCACCATCTGCTGGGCCTTGGCTGAGGTTCCAGAGCTGTGGAGAGAGGGGCAGAGGAGGTGACCCAGGCTTAGAGCTCAGCCGTGAGTGTCAGAAGACACAGGACACAGTGAGCATGGCTGTGACTGTAGATCCTGGCTCTGCCACTTGTCAGCTAGCTGAACTTTGGCAACCTCTTGGAGCCTCAGCTTTCTCATCTGAAAATGGAGGAGAATCATACCTCCCTCTCAGGAGGGCCTTAAAAAAGGTATCAAGTCCTTAGGTTAGCACCAGCAGCAGAGCGAGGGCTGGCTTGAAGGCAGCAAGACAGACTTCTGGAACCAAACTCTTTGGGTTAAAAGCCTCACGGTGTCACTTACAGGTTGTGTCCCCTGGGGGGCAGGGTAGGGGGGTACTTAACCTCTCTGCTCTTCAGTTTCCTCATCTGTAAAATAGACATAGTAATGGTTAAATGTTTCATGCAATTGTTATAAGAATTTAAATGGCTTAATGCTTACAAGGCACTTAGAACAATGCTTGACACAAATCATGAGCACCTACTAAATACATAGCTGACATGCTTGTTCATGCTTATAAACCTATGCACTATGCAGTTTTACCTGTTGAAATTCCTTCCCAGCATCTGATGAACAAATCCTCCTTGAAACTGTCATCCCTCCGTCTTCTAAGGATGATACCTTAAATTTTGTTTTTCTTCATGTGACGCTAACTGCATGGCATCCCCTCACCTTCGTGTCTCCTTCTTCTTGGAATGTCAGCTGGGGCTTCCTGAGTCTGTAGAACTCCGAACACTCATCCCATGTACTCTGATCTCCAGGCACTCATTCATTCATTTATTCACTCATTCATTCATCAAACACAAATGGGCATCTCTCATGTCCCTGCATTAGGGACTGGAGGTATAGGAAGAAAAGCCAAGTGTTCTCTGCCTTCAAGGAGCTCACGAATGGAGAGATGGAAACTAAAAAGTAAGAAAATATATCATTAAAGTGGACTTTAATAAGTTATATAATAAGGGGGAAATACCCTGGGTCCCATGGGAACACAAAGGCAGGGCCCTAACCTAGGCTAGGGAGTTGGGAAGAGTCCTCTGGAAGAGGTGACATCCCCTGAGGGGCGCCCTGTCCCAGCCAGGGCAGCATTCTTTCTCCTTTTTTTTTTTTTCTTTTTTGAGACGGAGTCTCACTCTGTCACCCAGGCTAGAGTGCAACCTCTGCCTCCTGGGTTTGAGTGATTCTTGTGCCTCAGCCTCCCACGTAACTGGGATTACAGGCATGCACCACTATGGCTGGCTAATTTTTGGATTTTTAGTAGAGACGGGGTTTCACCATGTTGACCAGGCAGGTCTTGAACTCCTGACCTCAACTGATCCACCCGCCTTGGCCTACCAAAGTGCTGGGATTATAGGCATGAGCCAATGTGCAGGGCAGCTTTCTTATTGAGCACGGTCAGATGCTGCCAGCCTGTCTGCTGCTGCCCAGCCTCGCCAAGGTGCTGGCCAGGTCTGGCTGTAGCCCTGCGGCCCACCCTCGTTCTCACCCTCCTCACATTTGGCTGCCCCTCAGTTTCTCATCCCCACCTGTTCCCTCCCACCCCAAGGCCTTTCCTGTGCCATCCCCTCTGTCTGCAGTATTCTTCCTTCCCCACTGTGGCTCGCAGTTAATGACCTCTCCTTTTAGATCTTGATGCAATTGTGACTTCCTCCAGGGAGCCTTCCCTGACCACCCTGACTAGATCAAATCCCCCACTGCAGATGCTCCTAGAACTATGTGCTCCTATCTTGTAGTTCTGACATACACATCATGTGATATCTAATTCTCATCTCTCCTATGGATCAAAAACAGGATTTAAAAAATAACAGAATTAATAAATAATAAATGAAAAGCTAGGAACATGTGCATGTTAATCCTGAGACACTATGGAAATTTCTGCTTCCCTTTAAAGTCATTTAAAATAATCATTTATTTATAATTATTTATAACTATCATTTACCATATATAATAAATTGCTAAAGGGTTCATTTGTTTCTTTTTTCAATCATTCCACACATATTAATTAAGCACCTGCTTTGGGTCAGGTGCAATTTCCAGCACTAGGAGGAGAAAGCAGTGAAAGATATGATCCCTACCCTCTGGAGCTTACATTTGGGTAGAGAAGACAGAATAAAGAAACAAACACCATTTTGGACATAGGCCCTGGCAAAGATTTCATGCAAAGCAATTGCAACAATCACAAATTGACAAATGGGACCTAATTAAACTAAAGAGCTTCTACACAGCAAAAGAAGCTATCAACAGAGTAAACAGACAATCTACAGAATGGGAGAAAATATTTGCAAACTATGCATCTGACAAAGGTCTAATATCCAGAATCTATAAGGAACTTAAACAAATTAACAAACAAAAAACCAAACAGCCCCATGAAAAGTGGGCAAAAGACATGAAGAGACACTTCTCAAAAGACGACATCCATCTGGCCAACAAGTATATGAGAAAATGCTCAACATCACTAATCATAAGAGAAATACAAATCAAAACCGCAATGAGATACCATCTCATACGAGTCAGAATGACTATCATTAAAAAGTCAAAAAATAAGGCCAGGCACGGTGGCTCACGCCTGAAATCCCCAGTGCTTTGGGAGGCTGAGGTGGGTGGGTCACCTGAGGTCAGGAGTTTGAGGCCAGCCTGGCCAACATGGTGAAACCCCGTCTCTACTAAAAATACAAAAAATCAGCTGGGCATGGTGGTAGGCACCTGCAATCCCAGACACCTGGGAGGCTGAGGCAGGAGAATCACTTGAACCTGGGAGGAGGAGTTTGCAGTAAGCTGAGATCACGCCATTGCACTCCAGCCTGGGCAAGAAGAGCAAAACTCCATCTCAAAAAAAAAAAAAAAAGTCAAAAAATAACACATGCTGCAAGGCTGCGGGAAGAGGAATGCTTACACATTGCTGATGGAAATGCAAATTAGTTCAGTCATTGTGGAAAGTAGTCTGACGATTTCTCAAAGAACTTAAAACAGAACTACCGTTTGACTTACCAATCCCATTACTGGGTTATATACCCAAAGGCATATAAATTGTTCTACCCTAAAGAGGCACACATATGTATGTTCATTACAGCACTATTCACAATAGAAAAGACATGGAATCAACCTAAATGCTCATTTATGGTGGAGTGGATAAAGAAAATGTGGTACATATATACCATAGAATACTATACAGCCATGAAAAAGAACGAGATCACGTCCTTTGAGCAACATGGATGAAGCTGGAAGCCATTATCCTGAGTGAATTAATGCCGAAACAGAAAAGCAAATACAGCATCTTCTCGTGTATAAGTGGGAGCTAAACACTGAGTACACATGGACATAAAGAAGGGAACAATAGACACCAGGGCCTACTTGAGGGTGGAGGGTAGGAGGAGGGTCAGGATTGAAAAACTACCTATAGGGTACTATGCTTATTAGCTGGGTGACAAAATAATCTATACGCCAAACCCTCAGACACTCAATTTACCTATATAAGAAACCTGCACATATACCCTTCAACAATTTGAAAAGTTAGAAAGAAAAGAAAAAAGAAACAAACAGCAGGGCATGCTGGCTCACGCCTGTAATCCCAGCAGCTTGGGAGGCTGAAGTGGGAGGATGGCTTGAGGCCAGGAGTTGGGAGTTAGAGACCACCTTGGGCAACAAAGAGAGACCCTGTCTCTGCAAAAAATGTTTTTAAAATTTAGCCATGTGTGGTGGCATGTGCCTGTGGTCCCAGCTACTTAGGAGGCTGAGGCAGAAGGATCATTTGAGCCCAGGAGTTTGGAGGCTGCAGTGAGCTAGGATGGCACCACTGCACTCCTGGCTGAGCAACAGAGAGAGACTTTGTCTGTAAAACCAAACCAAACAAACAAATGCCTAAAGAAGGAAGCCACAGACTTTGGAAAGCAGCCGGTTGTCACGGCCCCCCAGCTATAGGACTTTATTACAAAAGTCCCACTAGGGGCTCACTAGGAGCTCTCAGTGAGGATGACATTGGTTCTAGAAAAACAGGAAATCTCTTTGGAAAAGTCCAGCCAGTGGACTGGGCTCTAGCCACTGTGAAATGACTCCCCTGCTATAGGCTGTTGTCTCTTATTAGTAACCAGATGCTCCAGGAGCAGCAGGCTGGCTGGCCTCTGAGGTGACAGAACACCTGAGGCCCCAGCTGGCGGGGGATGAGGACAGGGCTGCTCTCTGGTGCCAAGTGTCCTTCTTAGCTGGTCAGAGTGCTGCTGTTGGCTAAGGATCCCTGTGGCCTGACACTCCCCTGCTTCAGCAGCCAGGAGCGGGAATTGAAGGTGGAGCTGGCCAATCCGTTGTGACAGGGAGTGCTGCAGCCCTTGAAACCTGAGGAGAGCTGAGCCTTTTCCTCGCTCACCCGTCCCAGGCTGAACTTTCAGCTTCGGATCTTTGCTGTACTGAATGGGGGACCCATTAGAGTGCGTACAGGGTGACAGGGAAAGGCTGAGACTGCCCTATGGAAGATGGATTTGTGGGGTGGAGCTGGAGTGTGGGGTGAGGAGCCTCCTCCTCAGATTTGATGAATTGATGTGCGGTACAGTGTCCTTTATGGACTCATAATAACCCCTGCCAACTCTCTGGTTCGTTCAACAAATGTTTATTGAGCTCCTACTACCTGCCAGACCCGCAGCGTGCCGGGTGCTCGGGATACCACAGTGAAGGAGATGTGGTCCCCAGCATCCCTAGTGGGTAACAGTTATCCCCATTTGGGTAACATATTGTTCTTTCTAAGCATTTGTCAGGATCTCGACTGATACTAGTCAAAAGCCTGTGAATCCCATAAAGTATTACTGTTGTTCCCATTTGAAGGGCGGGAGAGGGGAGACAGAGAGAGGCCTTGCTTAAGGGAAGCTAGGTAGAACCAGGTCCTGTTTAGTCTTTTCACTGACCCCCTGCCAAGGGGAGTCAGGGAACTGATACTTTATATGCTATTTTTTTCCTTACTTATTTTTTGGTTTGGTTTGAGGCAGGGTCTCACTCTGTCACCCAGGCTAGAGTGCAGTGGCCTGATCTTGGCTCACTGCAGCCTCGATCTCCTGGGCTCAAGCCTCCCACCTCAGCCTCCTATGTAGCTGGGACTACCAAAGTGCACCACTATGCCTGGCTAATGTTTTTTGTTTTGTTTTTTGAGATGGAGTCTTGCTCTTGTCGCCCAGGGTGGAGTGCAATGGCACGATCTTGGCCCACTGCAACCTCCGCCTGCTGGGTTCAAGTGATTCACCTGCCTCAGTCTCCTGAGTAGCTGGGATTACAGGCACCCGCCACCATGCCAGGCTAATTTTTTTGTATTTTTGGTAGAGATGGGGTTTTGCCATGTTGGCCAGGCTGGTCTGGAACTCCTGACCCCATGATTCGCCCACCTCAGCCTCCCAAAGTGCTGGGATTATAGGCATGAGCCACCACAGCCAGCCACTTGGCTAATTTTTTAAATTTTTTTTGTAGAAATGAGGTCTCATTATGTTGCCCAGGCTGGTCTTGAACCCCTGGCTTCAAGCAACCCTCCCACCTTGGCCTCCCAAAGTGCTGGGATTACAGGTATGAGCCACTGCACCTGGCCTATATTATTGGTTTTTAATGATTCACCCTAACCATTAGAGTCTGATAGCAAAACCTGATGAATCAGGGAAGGCTTCATGGAACTTCTGAGCTTGTTTTCTCTATTCACTATTTCATTTCTGGCACCTTCTTGTTGAATGAAACCGATGCCCTTCACAGGCAAGAGGATAGATTAGAGACCTATTTAAAGTTCTTGCTTTCACCATGCAGGTCACACCCTGATACCCATCTTGAAAAGCCCTGCTTAGAAGGTCTTACTGGCTGGACGCAAACACAGCTTGATTTGAAGCTGAAAGGCCTCCCTGGTTACACGTAAGCTTCTTGAGGGTCAGAGACATCACTTGGGCTTCTGTGCCTCCCAGTACTAAAGAGCACACACGCTGTTCCTCACATAGGCGCTCAATAAACCCTAATTGATTCGTTGATTGGGAACAACAATTATATCGTTGAAGTGCCTGGAAAGACAATCTCCCAGGGCTGCCAGCCAGCTGGGGGCTCAAGGGACAGGTGATTTCAAATCAATGTGCTTGCTCATCCCCAAGGCAAAGTTTAAAACGGATGACTGAAGCATTCTTTTAGAACAGTGCAAAACTGCAAACATGCAAATAGCCAGCAGTAGGGGGATAGCTAAGCTAACTGGGTTATATTAAGATTCTGGAAGACTCTACAGTTATTTTAAAAAGCAAGTATGTTGTCTATTTTAATACAGAGAAATGTGTATCAGGTACCAAAATGGGAGAAGCAGAATTTGAAAAGAATGTAGAAATAAACATACACTTAGAAAGACAAGAAGAAAAGGTGACCATGTAGTAGTTCCCCATACCCCGCCTCCCTTTTTTTGTAAAGTTCATTCAGCAAAAGGGATGGTTATAACAGGGTCATGTCTCTCATACTGTGTGGTGTCATGGGAGGAGTCCCTGGGCCAGATCACCAGATGACCCAGGGATCCTGGTGCGGCTAATTATGGACCATGTGGCCTTGAACAACCTACTCTCCCTATCCTCAGTTTGTTATCTGTGAGGTGTGAATTATAACACTTGTCTTGCCTATCTTGCCAGGTAAGGCTGTAAGGAAATTAAGAGTCTTTATCTGCCAGGCGCAGTGGCTCACACCTGTAATCCCAGCACTTTGGGAGACCGAGGCAGGTGAATCATGAGGTCAGGAGTTCGAGACCAGCCTGGCCAACACAGTGAAACCCCCGTCTCTACTAAAAGTACAAAAATTAGCCGGGCATGATGGCGCACACCTGTAGTCCCAGGTACTCGGGAGGCTGACACAGGAGAATTGCTTGAACACGGGAGGCAGAGGTTGTGGTGAGCCAAGATTGCACCACTGCTTTCCAGCCTGGGCAACAGTGAGACTCCGTCTCAAAAAACAAACAAACAAACAAAAAGGCTCTTTACCCCATGTAGTAGGATATTCATAGATTTCTGTGTAGAAATAATGATGTGTTTGACTATGGGGTGCTGACTGACACCTAGCTTATACAGCATATAAATGTTTTACCTTTCTGGAATCCAAAAAGTCTTGCAAAATCCCATGGGTTCGGGGTAAGGGATCACGGTCCTGTATAAAGCATTTTAGACATTTTTTATTTAACTCAACCTTCACAATAATCCTATAGAGTAGGTTTTACCATCTCCATTTTACAGATGAGAAAACTTGTGTGTAGAGAGGTTAAGTAATTTGCCTTCCTATTCATTATAAATAGTACAGGCTAAATGAGGACCATTCTAAAGCCCATAATTTTGGTCATTATGACCTCGCCAGCAGGATTCCAGAAATGCTTGCTGGAGTGGCATCTCCTTGCATTTTCCTTGTGAAACAAATGAAGGAGAATGTCTCTCCTAATAGTTGACATTGATTGGGTGCTAAGCACTCTACAGTCATTGCCTCTTTTAATCTCCACCACTCTGGGAGGTCTAGACTATTATTGGCCACATTTTCAGATGAGGAAACTGAGTCTCAGACAGGTTACATAACATGCCCACTTGAGTCAGGAACC
The DNA here is from genome assembly GCF_000001405.40 of Homo sapiens. NCBI lineage: Eukaryota > Metazoa > Chordata > Mammalia > Primates > Hominidae > Homo > Homo sapiens. The sequence goes on from NC_000014.9 coordinate 67,461,338, forward strand.
TGGGATTCAAACTCCAGTCTAATGACTCCAAAGCCTGGGGTATTGAATCTTTGTTGGGCAATCAGGAAGTTCCCAGGGGTACATGGAGCATAAACAGCCACATTCCAGAAAGGCTGAGAAAGAGGGTGGTTGCAATCAGAGTTATGAACCTGGAGCAATCTAGCCCCTTCCATTTTCTGGTACTTTCCCTTCCCTCCCCAGCCCTTACCCTCACTCTCCCTCCTTCTGGACAACAAAGTCAGCTGTCATCTCAAGGATATGAAACGTAAGCCAGGATTGGGTGTCACATGCCCTCAGCAGAGTCATAGGAAGAAAAAAAAAAAACTAGAAACAATGCACAGTCAGAAGAAGAAAAGTTGTTTCTTAGGCTGCTCAGGGCACATGCAAAGGCAGAAACAATGAGATAGTCCTGCAAAAGGTGCCATCTGGTCCTGCTGGTCAGCAAATCTGAGATCCTGGGAGAACAGATTGAGTGAAAGTCAGCAAAATAACACTAAATAACACCTGATGTCATTTTGTTTTTATTTCTGAAAGGATCCAAGGAACAGGCTTTCCCTTGGAGTTTGAAGAGGGCCGGGCGAGGTTCTGCCTCCTGTTCTGACCTTTGGCTTTGATTGGGCAGGTCAAGTTGTCCCTGGAGCTGCCCAGTGGGCAAGCCAGGGAGGCTCTGGGCACCAGCTGTCCTTGACTGCCTGTCCCTGAAGAACTCCTGGGGACTCTACTGCAGAAAAGGACAACAGCTAAATCAGGCATAGACTGTAACAGGCGAGGTCTCCTGGAGGTGGGGTAGGGGTTAGATGAGAGATACTAGCTCAGAGCATGAGCAGCATTTCATGAAGGTTAGGATGGGGGAGTGTGAGGGTTAAAGATATGATCACAGGTGATGGTCACATGTTTACAAAGAAGTCAGATGTGTGGCAGGGATCTGGATTGTCCCCATGCAGAAAGTTCTCACTGCTGTATAGAGAATGGGGAAAGGGACTGGTTGCAACTAACTGAAGTAATTTTCTTTTTGCTTTTAAATTTTTAGAGAGCCAGGTTCTTACTCTATCACCCAGGCTGGAGCTCAGTGATCATAGCTCACTGCAGCCTTGTACTACTGGGCTCAAGCAATCCTCCTGCCTCAGCCTCCCAAGTAGCTAGGCCTACAGCCATGAGCCACCACACCTGGCTAATTTCTTTAAAAAACAGAGATAGGGTCTTGCTATGTTGCCCAAGCTAGTCTCAAACTCCTGAGCTCAGGCAATCCTCCCACCTCAGCCTCCCAAAGCTCTGGGATTGCAGGCGTGAGCCACCACGCCCGGCCAACAAAGAAATTTACTGGAAAGCTGTGAGGGGCACCTCGTGGAGTCAAAGGAAAGGCTGAAGAGCAAACTAAGAGGACAACAAAAAGCCAAACACCTCCAAGGATCCAGGTAGCAGGAGTTATTGGACAGTCTGTTTAGGTTTTGTGTTGAGATTCAAATCAAGGGAAAGAGGTTGAGTATTCTGGTTTGGGTTAGAAGTCCATCCTTGGCCTGGGGAGAAGAGGACCCACCAATACCATAGCCAATGGGAAAGGGGTCATTCTGCAAAGCAGGAAATAACTGTATTGCAATTAGTAAGGATGCTGTAAGCTTCCACTAGCTGGCATTACTAATTCATCCTGATTTGCCTGGTTTTGCCAGTGAAAGCTTCATGTCCTAGGAAACCCCTCAGTCCCAAGCAAACCAAGTCAGCTGGTCATCCTACAACCAACAGGGTGGTGATCCTGAGTTGGCTGTGAAAAATCCCTGTGGCAATGCCCAGAGGCAATGCCCAACTGGACATGGTGGCTCACACCTGTAATCCCAGCACTTTGGGAGGCCGAGGTGGGAGGATCACTTGAGCTCAGGAGTTCAAGACCAGCCTGGGCAATATAGTGAGACCTCATCTCTATTTTTAATTAAAAATTTTTTTCAAATATATTAAAAACCAAAGGCAATGCCCACAAGACTTAATAATGTGGATGTCTAATATTCCATTTTAAGATGTTTGCTGGAGCTGGGCGCGGTGGCTCACGCCTGTAATCCCAGCACTTTGGGAGGCTGAGGCGGGTGGATCACAAGGTCAGGAGATCGAGACCATCCTGACTAACACGATGAAACCTTGTCTCTACTAAAAATACAAAAAATTAACTGGGCGTGGCGGCACGCGCCTGTAGTCCCAGCTACTAGGGAGGCTGAGGCAGGAGAATCGCTTGAACCTGGGAGGCGGAGGTTGCAGTGAGCCAAGATTGCGCCACTGCACTCTAGCCTGGGAGACAGAGTGAGACTCCGTCTCAAAAAAAAAAAAAAAAAAAAAAAAAAGATTGCTGTGCCGAGCTAGCATCTAATGCTGGCTGCTCTAGACCATCAGCAGAGTTAACTTTTGCACTCAGCCTAGGGGGAGGCTAGAATGTGCTCCCAGTGAACTCAACTAACTACATCTGAGCTAAATACACCAAACTAAGTCTCAGAGAGGCTCAGTCTCTTGTCCAAAGTCATATAGACAGTAAGCGGTAGAGACAGGGTTAGAACAAAAGTCTGTCTGAGTCAATACCTCTGCTACATCTTCCCTACCTTTGCCCTACTCTGGGAAGGTCCAATACTGCCAACAACCTTGAGACTCCAAGGATCTGTGGGACTTGAGCTCCCAGGTAGCTTCAGGAGGGCCTCAACAGGCCCAGCTCACAGAGGTTAGTGTGCATGAGGTGGCGCAGGGTGTGTGTATGTGTGAGAGTGTGTGTGTGTGTGTATGTGAGACAGAGAGAAAGAGAGCAGCCCTGCACCTGCACCACCTGGCCTGGTGCAATCTACCCCAGGGTAGGAGTGCTTATGTAGTAGGTACAGAGAAAGTTTTGCCAAAACAAAACAGATCCATATTTCCAGTCCCGCTGACCGCAATCCATGACCTCTGAGAGAACAGGATGGAGGCTAAGGGTACCTGGGACCCCAGGCTCTCCCTGCAGCCTCCCCTGGCCTGTGCCCCCATCCTCAGAATGGGGTTTCCTGGAAGGGGCTGGGTGAGGCCCCACAGGTCTTCCTTAAAAGCACTCCATCACCCTCTGTCCATCACATCCATCACCCTCTGTCCCCCTGCCCCCACCCTCCAGAGCCCTACAGGCTCTGACCCCTGCCTGCTTCTCTCACCTGCATCCTGTACTCCTCCTCACCCTCGCCCCCACCACGCAGCAGCCACACCAGCCTTTTATCTGTACCTCAAACTCTTCGAGCTCATTCGCATCTTTGCCTCTTGTACCAGCTGTTTCCTCTGCACAAAACACTCTCCCTGCACCTTCACAGGGGGACTGTCATCACGATCCAGGCTTCAGACTAAATAGCATCTCTTCTGGCAGACCTTTTGGGGCTACCCAGTCTAGAGAAGCTCCCTATTCATTTGCACACCACCCTGTTTTAATTGTATCACGATCTGTTATTTTCGCAAGTTCTGTTCTCTGTGTGTTCTCAGCCTTCACACATGCTGTGCTTTCAACCTGGAGTGCCTGCTCTTCACCTCACCTCAAGCTTCACCCCCTGTCCTGGCTAAATCAGACACAGAAATATTTCCTGATCTCCCCTTCTAGATCTGGGTTAATCCCTCTTTCCCTAACAGTGAGCCATCGGAGTTGTCGGCACCCTGTAATTCCACTGAAGTCATCCTACAGCAAGGACACAGGAATCTGTCTTGCTCCCTGCTGTGCCACAGGCCTAGCGCAGGGAGGTCCTGGTGCACAGCAGGTGAATGGATGACCAAAGTCAGCTGCGTTGACAACACTGGAAGAATGTAGCCACTCTGCTGGTGACCGGCACACAGAGGGCTTCCAGGCGCCAGGACTGGGTTTGTAAACTGAAGGCAGAGCGAGGGGAAGCTCCACGGAGATAGAAACCAATGTTGCCAGCTTTAAGTGAGCTCATCAGTCTCCAGTTGGGCTAAGAGGAGAAAGAGTGTTCCAGGGAGAGGTAACATAGGGGCCGAAGGCCCAGAGGCAGTGAACGGGAGCTGCAGGGAGAACTACAAGTCAGTCTCCCTGGATGGCACAGGGCTGGGGCAGAGGCGAGAAATGAGGCCAAACCACAAAAGGTTTGTAAGCCTCGCTAAGGTGTCGAGCTTGATCCTTAGGGTAATGGGAAATCATTAAAGAGTCTGAAGTAGGGAGTGAAATGGTCAGATCTGCATCTAAACAGAAACTTCACAACAGGTACAGGTATATCTTGGGATGCCTAAATCCTTGCGTTCCCTCCCAGATGACCACACACTGTGCTTCCAGCTTTCACTCCTCATGGAATTCCTAAGTGGGTACAAAATGCAAGGGCTTCAGCAGAAATCTGCTTCTCGACCCCTATACTGGGTTGAATGGTGGCCCACCAAAAAGATGTAGCCACGTCCAAGCCCCCTGAAGCTGTGAATGTTACCTTATTTTGAAAAGGGGTCTTTGCAGTTGTAATTAAGGATCTTAAGATGAGATCATCCTGGATTACCCGGGTGGGCCCTACATGCAATGGTAAGTGTCTTTTTAAGAGACAGAAGAGGAGGAGGCCATGTGACCACAGTGGCAGAAATGGGAGTGATGCTGCCACAAGCCTAGGAAGCCAAGGATTGCCGGCAGCCACCAGAGACTGGAAGAGGCAAGGCCAGATCCTCCCCTAAAGCCTCAGAGGAGATGCAGCCTGCTGATGCCTTGATTTGACTTCTGCCTTCCAGAAGTGTGACAGAACACAGTTCCATTGTTTAGAGCTACTCATTTTGTGGTAATTTGTTACAGCAGTCCTAGGACACTGATACAACCCCATACTTTAACTAAGAAGCTTCAGCCCCAGGACCCTTCGCCATCTGGTGGACCCTTCTAAACCAGAAAACTTCCTTTCTGTTTGGAAGCTGTAATTGTGACAGAGGCAAAGAGCCAGACCATATCATCTGCGGATCTCCTTCTCTGTAATGTTTGGCACTAAAAGGCTACCTTTGCCCAAACCAAGAAAGTGTATTACCAGAATGAAACAATGGGTGGATCAGTGGAGCTGGGTCTTTGGCCAAGGCCGGAAGACTCTAAGAGGGAAATGCTGGCAGGGCTCTGCAGGGATTAATGGTTTGGAAAGAGGGAGGAGGACAGTGAGCTGCTCTATGGTGGTGGGCACAGAAATGGCATGGATGGTTGTTGTCTAAATAGATTCCTAGCTTCAAGTTCCCAAAAGAGCCTGGGAACTGGTGTTCTGGAACACTCAGCCTGGCCTTTAGGGTGGGTTCACTAAGACTCCACTTGTCAAGAGTTTCTTAAAGCACTCACTACGTGCTTCCTTTGTTCGGCACTGTACCCAGCTAGGCACCTTGCAGGGCACAGTAAATGTCTGCACTTCTGGACAATAAGATTCCAGCCTGGGCCAGGCACAGTGGCTCACCCCTGTAATCTCAACATGTTGGGAGGCCAAGGCAGGTGGATCACCTGAGGTCAGGAGCTCAAGACTAGCCTGGCCAACATGGCAAAACCCCATCTCTATTAAAAATACAAAATAATTAGCCGAGCATGGTGGCACGGGCCTGTAATCCCAGCTACTCAGGAGGCTGAGGCAGGAGAATCACCTGAACCCGGGAGGTGGAGGTTGCAGTGAGCCGAGATCGCGCCACTGCACTCCAGCCTGGGCGACAGAGGGGGACCCAATCTCAAAAAAAAAAAAAAAAAAAAAAGACTCCAGCCTATCTCTGAAAGTATCAGTAATCAACCTATCAACCTTTGAGTGTGTGAAAAGTGTCTCTTCCTGGAAGAATCCTTACCCAACCCCGTAGACAGCCAGGGTCCTCTGTTAGAGCTTCTTTTCTGGAGGATTGGTCAACGTTGTAATGTTATGGGCTTCCCTTCAACATCTTCAGCATCACAGGAACTAGCCTGGTCCTTGGCTCACTGCAGGTATCTAATAAGGAGTTGATGAGTTAAACAGGTCAGTTCTCAGTCCTATCTGGGTTTTCAGAAGGCACCAGCAGAAGGTTCTTATCTTGTTAGGAGAAAGGTTTCAGCTGGTAGTTTCAAACACTCTGAAGGTACTGACAGCCAGGGGCCCAGGTTTCATGCCAAGACAAGGAAATAGGATGAAAGAGAAAAGGCCCAGGGCAAAAAGAAGGCTGTGGGTGGGAAGGAGGGAGGGAGGGGAGAGGGTATCAAGGCTAAACTCAGCATTGGTAGAGGCCACAATTTCACAGCTCTCCTCCACTAGGCGGGATCTTTGTGCCAATTGTCTTAAGTCTTGGCTAAGACAGCATTCTACACCTCCTTTCTTATAACTCCCTCTCTCTCCCTTCCATCCCATTCCCAAACATTTTAATTTAACTGCAAATAGCACCCACATGAGCTGGACTCAAAAGGCATCCAGAAACTCATCAAGTACAAAGGGGTATTGGACTCACCACAAATCCTGCCCCCGGTGGAAGGTCTCTGCTTATATTGAACAAAAGAGTGTTCTGCAGAGAAATGTGGTAAATCTGGGTGGCCGACTCTTTGCCAACAGACCTCTCCCATAAAACAGAAATAATGGTGGCCATCTGAAATGGGAAGAAATGAGAGCATGCATGCAGGGCCCAAAGTTCAGTGCCTGGCCGCAGTCACGGTACTGGCAGTCTTGAGGCTAGCCTGGGAACCACAACTGCTATTTCAATTTTTTTTTTTTTAAGGTGGAGTCTTGCTCTGTCACCCAGGCTAGAGTGCAATGGTGCGATCTCGGCTCACTGCAACCTCTGCCTCCTGGGTTCAAGCGATTGTCCTGCCTCAGCCTCCCGAGTAGCTGGGATTACAGGCATACGCTACCACACCCAGCTAATTTTTGGATTTTTAGTAGAGATGGGGTTTCACCATGTTGGCCACGCTGGTCTCTAACTCCTGACCTCAGGTGATCCACCCGCCTCGGGCTCCCAGAGTGCTGGGATCATAGGCTTGAGCCACCGCACCTGGCCAGTGTTTCAATTTGTAAGACCTGGCTCCTCTAACCTGCTGTATGAGGAATCAGTCACTCCTTTTTCCTCTGTTTCCCTCCCTTGGTTGTACCGGGGCAGTCTAAACATTGCAGCCTTCTGAGACAGGCACCCAGGAAGACCAGGCAAGACTACAGTCATGTACTCACTGTCAGTAAACATTAGGCTTTCACAAAGTCCAGGCAGACTTCAGAAGACGTGGATGAAGTCCTTAGTGTTAGCTCTCCTGGGGCATTTCTCTCCACCTAGTGTTGTTAGTGCCCTTTGGATTGGGTGAGGGAGGGGTGGAGGAGGTGAGGAAGGAAAGTGTCGAGAAAGGCAGGCGCCCACTGACTAGAGTAGGGAAGTAGCTGGCACTTTGGGAGGCCGAGGCGGGTGGATCACCTGAGGTCAGGGGTTCAAGACCAGCCTGGCCAACATGGCAAAACCCCGTCTCTACTAAAAAATACAAAAATTAGCCGGGCCTGGTGGCATGCACCTGTAATCCCAGCTACTTGGGAGGCTGAGGCAGGAAAATCACTTAAACCTGGGAGGCGGAGGTTGCAGTGAGCTGGGATTGCACCACTGCACTCCAGTCTGGGTAATAGAGTGAGATTCTGTCTCAAAAATAATAATAATAATTTTTTTTAAAAAAAAAAGGGTCTTGGGCCCCCTCAGTCTTCTCGCTCGGGGACCTGCCTCTTGCCTCTTCTCTGAAGCTCCATAAAGGAGACCCTGTTTCATTTTGCTTGCCTCTTTCTATAAAATCTTGTTCTGAGAGAACTACCTTGTATATTTGTTTATGCTAACATGTAAATGACTGCTGGGGATTTATGCTATCTCATTTTCATAAGGGAAAAAGCTTTCAGCCAAAGAAATGAAAACCTTCAAGTGAGGGAGGCAGAGGGCCCTCCCGATGATTTAGAAAGCACACTGTCTACTCCATCCAGAAAAGCAGTGGGTGTTCTATAACCCAGCTGTGACAGGGGGCCCATGCCATTTGCGTTTAGCTGAAATTACTGAGCAACTTCAAGACAGGGTCTCACTGTCACCCAGAATACAGTGGTGCAATCATAGCTCACTGCAACCTCCAAATCCTGGGCTCACGTGATCCTCCTGATTCAGGCTCCTGAGTATCTGGAATTATAAGTGTGTGCCACCATGCCTGGCTTTTTTTTTTTTTTTTTTTTTTTTTGTAGAGATGGTGGTCTCTGTATGTTGCCCAGGCTGGTCTCAAACTCCTGGGCTCAAGTAATCCTCCTGCTTCAGCCTCTCAAAGTGCTGGGTTTACAGGTGTGAGCCACCATGCCCAGCCTGACTGAGCAACTTCTGAACCCTCCATCCTCTTCCTGGAAGGAGGAAAGTGGGCAGCGGCCTGGTGGTGGTGGTGGTGGTGGTGGTGGGAGGACAGGGAAGCTCAATGGAGCAGAGGTACATAAAGGGGGAGAGATTACTCCCTCCAAATGCACTTCTCCAACAAAACAGGGCTGCCAGGGAGGAGTGCAGAGCTGTTTTTTCGAAGCATGACTTTCAGTGTAACATCACTTTCAAAGTAAAGGGCTCTGGCCTTCCATGTCTTTGGGGGTACCCTCAGCCACCCTGCTTGGTCCCTCCTGCCTCATGAGATGTCTCAGGTCATGGCTGGTGTTTCCAGGAGGAGCTCGTCTCATGGGCAACTGCAGCCAACCTGCAGTCAACCTGGATACTGCCTGAGATCCCCCTCTGCCTGGGAGCGTGGCACCAAAGTAAGGCCTGGATCACATTATGCCACCTGAGAATTGGGGTCAGGGTGTGAATTCAGGTTACCAGAGAGTGTCAGAGTAGAGACAGCAAGAAGGATTGGCAGGGAGTGTCACTTGCCCCCTCCACAGGGCAGCCCCGCCCAGCAGCCCTCTTAGTTCAGGAGGGCATGATGCCAGGGTGCAAAGGGCCTGGCCTCCAGGAGCCCCTGAGAAAGTGGCTCCAAAAGAGGAAAAACAGATGGGCCAGAGCCAGTCCTGGAACACAAACACCAGTATATTTTATGTGCACAAATGTGAAAAGGAAGAGACAGAGGGACCAACGGAGACACAGAGCAGGCAATGGGCGCACAAACCGGTCGTGTGTCCTTCTCAAGAGCTGCCCAACTGGGAGACAGTCCCACCCACCTCAAAGGCCCTTTAGCAGAGCTGGGGCCTGCATCTCCTCCAGGTCTGGGTGGCCTCAGGGTGGAAGGCACTCTCCCTGCCATGGCTCCCCTAAGGGCTGGGCCTCTAACCTGTCTGCATCCCAGGGTGATGCCTACACAGCCCAGGGCTTCATAAATGCAGGTTCTCATGAACTGACCCACTCAGCAGCTGCCTCCCCAGGAGACCCACGCAGAGTGAGGGACCAGGACAAAAGGGCTTCATGGGGACTCCCTAGGTATTATTGCTGTGAATAAGCATAGGCCATTGTGACTCACTGGCATTGAAGAGGGGACAGGGCACATGGGATGCCTAGCAGATGTCCGAAGCAGTTCAACCATGCAGGGCAACACATTGCAATCTGTAACTCAGAGATGCTGCCATGTCTAGTGGAGAGAGGCCCAGGACACCAGAGGTTCATGAACAGCCAGCAAACACTCCCCACCAGCACCCTTAATGCTTGGCAGGGCTGGGATTATTCCAAACTTTGAGTCCCTGGCCACTAAGGGATTGGGGCCCTGATACCCAAAAAAGCAAGAATTGAAGTCTGGGCTATCCCTGGTGAGATCTGAACCTGTAGATCCCGTGGTCAGGCCATGGGTTGTTGCCTTCCTTTGCTGGAGGTTTGATGCCTTATGAGGGGCAACTGGAGAAATGGGACACCTAGATGGAGCAGAAACACAATGCTGGATGTTGCCAGGCACACAGGCATACCCCCAGGACCTCCTGCACTTGGGAAAGTATAGGACCCAGAGAGGAAATGGTGCCAGGGAATGCCCACAAGGCAACTTCTGGAGCAGCAAGACCTGGTGGGCCAATCAAGGATTTGCTCTGGCTGAGAATTATGGAGGCATCAACAAGCTGGCCACTGGACTGAGTTGTGGAATGCAAGTGTGAAGGTGGGTAGTGTGGTCTAGGGGCCCACATGGAAGGCCTGAAGGGGTGCTGGGAGACTAAGACAACATGGAGTTGGAGAGAGAACCAAGGAAACAATTGCCCAGAGAGAACGGGGAAGCCAGACAATATTCTCCTCCTGGAATTTTCTCCACCTATAGATGGAAAACAATCTACTCCCACCGGAAGCCTGATTCTCTGTAACCCCCAAAGCCCTGGAATTGGGGCCACAATAAAATCAAAAGGAGGGCTGGCCACTGCAGAAAGTAGTTCATCCCTGGATTTGAGGAGCCTGCCCAGGAAATAGGCTAGGAAATACCCTTCGTTCTGCTCTGGACGGGGCTAACTGCAGAAAATCCTGCCAAAGGCAGAGTCTGCAAGCTTTTCTCCAGACCTAGGACACAACTGTGGCCCACCCCACCACACCCTGCACCCCACCACACCCTGCACAGTATGGGCAGGGCAGCCAGCAGGGAAGAGGACATTCTCTCCACAGGTGATACCGTCACTTTGTAATGATCCATAAAAAGGGGAAGGCTAATTTCTACCTAAGAGTCCTAGTGTGGTCAAGAAGAGACCATGTACCATGGGGTGGGCCACTTTCTAACGGACCCTTCCCCTTGAGGAGTGAGAGTCAGAGCCGGAAGTAGGCTGGAGTGAGTATTTCACCTGTCCACTGCCAGCAATGGACCTGTCACAGGACAAAGTGGGGCAGGGGAACCAAGGTGCCAATGCCCATGAGTGTGGCAGGGTTAATACTGTTTAAGGAGTGAGCTCAAAGGGTCAGCCTTGCTGGGAGGAGTTTGGGGAGAGGGGCAGCCCTGAGGTTCTGCTACCAGGGCTGAGGCTCTGGCAGAACCAGAACTGATACCCTCCCACAAAGGAGGCTCCAAGGAGCCTTCCACAGCTGCAAGGTCCTCCTCTCTTTCTTCCTCTCATTCTCCATCAGTCTCCAATGCTGGATACCTGGCTTCTCCATCCCATAGAAAGCTAGACTGCTCAGTTTTGGCTTGAAAATAAACCAGGCAGGGAATAGATGACCTAGAACTCTGGCTTTTCCCCACCAAACTGACTTGCCTCTAGGTCCCCACTGTGGATCCACAGGGCCTAACCCAGCCTGCCTGTGCATTGGAGGGCATCATTTGTTCTCAGCTGAGCCACTGAGAAGGGAGCACTGCCACAGCCCACTAGACCGGGGGTAGGGAGGTGTAACTCAGGAACTCCCCAGGCATCAGGCCAGCCGGAACAGTGGAGGGAAGGGCTGCAAGGGGGTGAGGGTTGGGGGTGTCTCAGGGCTTCATCTCCGGCAGCTCCTGTGCTGGCTAGGGAGCTGGGGTGGGGCAGGTGTGGCGACCGACGTGGATAAAGAGCCGCTAGTGGTAAAGGCTTTGAAAACAAGACAGAAAAGGGGGAAACGCCACCGAACACACGGGGATTGAAACCTCCAAAAGCCCAAGGTTGGTGGGAATCCAGCACCACGGGGGCCCCAGAAGGCCAAGGGAGCAGCGCAGGGCCCTGGGGGAGGGGAGAGGAGCCAAGGGAGGGTCTCCCAGCCCTTGCAGACCAGCGTTGCTGCCACGCAGCCTCCTGGCTGCCCAGTCTCTCCTCGGCTGCAGCTCAGCAGGCCCCTGGGGAGGTATTGGTTGCAAGCAAGCACCTGAATATTGCCTAATGGAACCAGCCAAAGCTCAACTAAATCCAGATCGGAGGGAGGGAGGTCAGGCCTTGCCTCCCACCTGCGGCCCCATTCTCATTGTCCCTTGGCCAGGACAGGGCCTGCTGCTTCCAAAGTCAACTACATAGTCCATCGCTGCTCAGCCACAGGCCTCCTGGTACCAACCCCTGAACTGGGCCGCGATCCATGGACCCTTCCCAATGTCCCTCTGCTGCCTCCACACCCCATCCCCCAACACCTGACCACGGCCCCCCAACACCGGCCCCCGCGGACGTTAGGGGGCTCTGTGTGCCCTATAGGGCTGAGGCTTGGCCGGAGCAGGGCTTTTGCTGCATGGATGGGGCAACCTCACCAGCTTGGTCTCTTTGTCCATGAGTTCCATGAGAGATCCCCAGGCCCCCCACCCGCTTCCTGCTCAGTCAGTCTTGACATGGCCGTTGGCCAGGGCTAGGGCGCCGCTGGGCTCCCCGGGCTCAGCGTCCTTGTCGAAGCGGAGGCGGAGGGTGTTGCGGATGATGAACTGCTCCATGATGAGGGCCCCGCAGAACCAGGGCACGGCGTACTCCAGGGTGATGAGGCCCATGAAGTCAAAGTCGAACTGGGAGTAGTCCCAGGGGCAGGCGTTGAACTGGCGCAGGATGAAGCCGGTGGTGAACTCCCACAGGTAGGTCCAGAGCGTGTAGATGAGGCAGCGCAGGAGCAGCGGGCAGCGGCCGCGCAGCCGCAGGTACATGCGCTCCACGATGAGGATGGAGGTGCCGTAGATGAAGAGGGCCCACACGCTCGTGACCCCAGGGAACTTCCAGTTCAAGTTCACCACGAACTCCCAGGCCGCTGTGAACATCACCTCGCAGAAGTAGCCGTGGATGGCATACAGGTACCAGCGGGACAGCGCCGTCAGGGGCTCGGCAGACGCCATGGCGCCGACTGGGGCTGGCTGCGGGGGGCGCAAGAGAGACAGGTGAGGGCCGGGCGCGGTGGCTCACGCCTATAATCCCTGCGCTTTGGGAGGCCGAGGCGGCGGATCACTTGAGGTCAGGAGTTCCAAACCAGCCTGGCCATCATGGTGAAACCCCGTCTCTACTAAAAATACAAAAATTAGCCTGGCGTGGTGGCCCGCTCCTGTAATCCCAGCTACTTGGGAAGCTGAGGCAGAAGAATCGCTTGAACCCGCAAGGCAGAGGTTGGAGTGAGCCAAGATTGCGCCACTGCACTCCAGCCTGGGAGACAGAGTGAGACTCTGTCTCCAAAAAAACAAAACAAAAAAAAAACAGAGCAAAGAACAGAATAACCCACCCACCCCACTGACTTCTCTGCAACTCTACCCAAATGCTACTTAGAGGGAGGTGTCTGTACTCCCTAGAGCTTTTTTGGATTATCTGTGGTCAGTTGAAGAGTCGGCTGGCCTGCTGCACCAATCAGCCCCATTTCTAGACTACTTGCTGATTTCTCAGCAGGCCTATCCACTGGGGACCCCATTTCTTCCTCCACTTCTTCTCAAACAGTTCCATGTCACTCATATTTCTGAGATGTAAGTGACTCATCACATTTGTCCTTGTGTGTGTGCATGCCATTTTTTAACCATGTGTAAGTGTACAATTCAGTGGTCTTAAGTACATTCACATTGTTGTGCAACTGTCACCACCAACCATCTCCAGAACTTTTTCATTGTCCCAAACAGAAACTTTGTATCCATTAAATACAAACTCCCATTCCCCATACCCTCAGCCCCTGGCAACCACTATTCTATTTTCTGTCTCTATGAATTTGACTACTCTGGGTGCCTCATATAAGTGGAATCATACAAACACTGTCCTTTTGTGACTGGCTTAGCATAACTGGCTTAGCTTTCACTTAGCCTAATGTCTTTAAGGTTCATCCATGTTGCAGCACATGTCAGAATTTCCTTCTTTTTTTTTTTTTTTTTTTGTGACGGAGTCTCGCTCTGTCGTCCAGGCTGGAGTGCAGTGGCGCAATCTTGGCTCACTGCAACCTCCGCCTCCTGGGTTCAAGCGATTCTCCTGTCTCAGACTCCTGAGTAGCTGGGACTACAGGCACACACCATCATGCCCGGCTAATTTTTGAATTTTAGTAGAGACGAGGTTTCACCATGTTGCCCAAGCTGGTCACAAGCCCCTGAGCTCAGGTGATCCGCCCGCCTTGGCCTCCCAAAGTGCTAGGATTACAGGCGTGAGCCACTGTGCCCAGCCAGAATTTCCTTCCTTTTAAAGGCGGAATCATATTCCATTGTATATATCACCATATTTTGTTTATCCATTCATCCATTGATGGACACCTGGGTTGCTTCTACCTTTTGGCTACTCAAAATAAGGCTGCTATGAACACGGGTGTACAAAGGTCTGTCTGAGTCCCTGCTCTCAACTCTTTCAAGTACATATGCAGAAGTGGAAATACTGGATCATATGGTAATTCTATGGTTAACTTTCTGAGGAACCACTGTGCTGTTTTCCACAGTGGCCACACCATTTTACATTCCCCATCAGCAATGTACAAGGGTTCCAATTTCTCCACATCCACCCCAAACACTTGTTATTTTCTGTTTTGTTTTTATAATGGCCATCCTAATGGGTGTGAGGTGGTTCTCTCATTGTGGTCACATTTGTCTTTGCTCCATTAAATGGGGTTTTGGTGTTTGGTTTCAGTGCTGAGGGGAAACCAATGGATTGACACAGGAAAGAGTCCTCCCCAGTCCTTCTGGCTCCTTTCCCCTCCCCTCTTTTAAACCCCACCAGTCTTCAACGCCCGGCTCCCATGCTGCTTCTCTCTACTTTCTCCTCACCCTCCACCAGCGACTGTCTGCACCACTTACCTGGCCCATTATCAGGTGCCACCCCAATGGCTTTTTGAGGTATGTGCTCTCATGATCCAACTAGCATGTGAACTCCTTGAGGATAGTGACTGTTGCACAGGCCAGTGCTTTGTGGCCTTGACGCAGGCCCGTCCTGGGCAGGCCCTCTCTAAATGACATGTCCTGTTCATGTGGAGGGAGGTGTGGGACTGCATCAAGAATGGGAAGGTAGGGCTTGAGAACATAAATCCCAGCTCTGCCAGCTGCTAATGGCTTCACATCTCTGTCGATCCCCTCTCCAAGGTGGGAGAAAAGACAGAGGTTAAGGAAATGGCATCTGTAGTATGCACACCTGTCTGGGAATTCCAGCCTCACATTTCAGCTGAAGCAGGCCTGGTCACATTAATACCTACCCAGCCTTGTGCATTGCTCTGTGGTCTTCCAAGCACTTCGTTCGCATTTTGTCATGGTTCTTACATAATTAAAATTCAGGCTGGGCGCAGTGGCTCACACCTGTAATCCCAGAACTGTGAGAGGCTGAGGCGGGTGGATCACCTGAGGTCAGGAGTTTGAGAACAACCTGGCCGACATGGTGAAACCCTGTCTCTACTAAAAATACAAAAATTAGCTGGGTGTGGTGGCATGCACCTGTAGTCTCAGCTACTTGGGAGGCTGAGGCAGAAAAATTGCTTGAACCCAGGAGGCGGAGGTTGCAGTGAGCCAAGATCATGCCACTGCACTCCAGCCTGGGCAACAGAGCAAGACTTCCTCTCCAAAAAATATATTTATAAATAAAATAAAAAAGATTCATGTGAAGGTCAGAAAATTTTACTCCCATTTTTTTGCAGTGAGACAGAGCTCAGAGAGGGGACATTATTTACCCCATATCCCAGGGCCAGTAAATGGAAGAGCTGAGATTAGAACCAATATCTCTTGCTTTCTACTGCAGAACTCATCCCCTGCACATGACTGCCCATCTCTTAGACATACGTACCAAATGTCTCTCCCCTGCTCAAAAATGCTCGATAGTGGCTGGGCACAGTGGCTCACGCCTGTAATCCCAGCACTTTGGGAGGCGGAGATGGGCAGATCACCTGAGGTCAGGAGTTCAAGACCAGCCTGACCAAAATGATGAAACCCTGTCTCTACTAAAAATACAAAAAAACAATGGATGGGTAGGTATTAATGTGACCAGGCCTGCTTCAGCTGAAATGTGGTGGCATGCGCCTATAATCCCAGCTACTTAGGAGGCTGAGACAGGAGAACCGCTTGAACCTGGGAGGTGGAGGTTGCAGTGAGTCGCGATCGCACCATTGCACTCCAGCCTGGACAACAAGAGCGAAACTCCATCTCAAAAAAAAAAAAAAAATGTTCGATATCTCCTTATTTCCTAATGAAACACAACAGCATCCTTGGCCTGCCATTCAAGATTCTTCATGACCTTGCCCCGATTGACATCTTCAGCCTTTTCCTCACAATCCAGCTCTTCCTGTCTTTCATCTCCATGCCTTTGCAGGTCCTATTCATTCTGTTAGGCGTGCCTTTCTCCTCTCACTTCCATGAGTATAAACCAGCTTGCAGGTTACCTTCAGAACAAAATCTCTTTCATTCCCCCAGGTCCCAAGGCTTCTCTTCCTCTTCTGAATTTCTACAGCACTTACTCTGTCTCACTCCCTTTGCTACAGGTTATTTTCAATATTATATTGAGAATTTCTGTCCCCGGCCAGACCTCTTTCCTGTGTGCTACACCTATAGCTCCTGCCCTTCCCTAGACAGCTCCCCCTAATGTCCCACAGGCATCCCAAACTCCTTTCCTAAATCAAACCCATGGGCAGGTGTGGTGGCTTATGCCTGTAATCCTAGCACTTTGGGAGGCAGAGGCAGAAGGATCGCTCGAGCCCAGAACTCTTGAATTCAAGACTAGCCTAGACAATGCAGTGAGACTCTGTCTCTAAAAAATAAATAAATAAAATCAAACCCATTATCTTTTCCCCAAAACCTGTTTCTCTCCTAAGACCCCCACCCCAATTAATGGCACCACCATGCACCCAGTTAGAACCAGCGGTCTCAAAGTCTGTCTGGCTTCCTCTGCCACATCCCCACCCTAACATGAGTTCCTGAGAGTGAGGGCCTTGCCTGCCTGGTTCAGCATAGTATTCCCAGTGCCTGGCACAAAGCCCAGCACATAGTAAGCATTCAAGAGAAGAATAAAGACATTTCTTAGTTAGCAATCGCCATATAACAAATCATCTCAAAAACCCTGGCCTAAAACAACTACCGTCTACTATTACAGCTCACATGTCTGTGGTTGGCAGACGGCTGGGGCAGCGTAGCTCCACTCCACCTGTCTCTCATCCTCCTCCGGGGCCCAGTGGACTTGCCTGGGCATATTCTTCTCATGGCAAGGGCAGAGGCACAAAGCTGAGCAAGGCTAGCTGTACAAGTGTGGTTCAAGACCCTGGCTAAGCCATGCCCACCATCATCCCACTGGCCAAGGGAAAGCCACCAAGTCAGCTACTAACTCCCACCCTTACCACCTCTTAAATATCTTTGGGATCCATCCCCTCCTCTTCATTACTCTTCTCATTGCTGCCACTGCTCTGGTTCACGCCCTCATCATGTCTCACCTGGATGACTCCAAAGGTCTCCCAGCTTTGCCTTCTTCCTTCTAATTCACTCATCACAGGATGAAAGAGTGTGTAGAAAAAACGCAACCTTTCTAAAATGCAAATCCGATGTTTCTCACCACTTGAAGCCCATGAGTGGATCTTCAACATCTACAGAGTAAATAAAGCTCAAACCCCTGGGGACGGCTGGCAAAGCCCTTCACAACTCGTCCCTGCCTCCAATCCTGTCCTCCAGATCTCTACCTTGCTGTTTTTGCTACCTGGGCCCCACCCAGGGCCGGTGAACCCTCCTTTAAGACCCAGCTCCTCCTCTGTGAGGACTTTCCTAAGCACCCTGACTCCAGAGTTGTCTTCCCACTTCTGCACCCTCCCTTCTCTGTGGTAATAGTGAGCACTCTGCTTCACTGGATTCATCTGAACGCCAGCACCAGCAGCCTCCTGAGGAATGCTTGTTTAAGATAGTGGTAAGAGAAAAAAGCAGGATTCAAAACTGAATATTCAACCTAACTCCGATTCTGCAAAGGCATGCATATGTGCACATATACAAAAAAATTAAACAACAATCATCTCTGGATGGTGATATCATATGTGCTTTTTTTCTTTATATTTTTCTGCATACTTTTTTTTCCTAACAAGCATGTATAACTTTTATAAAACTAAAATTTCATCTTAAAAATGCTTATGGAGGCTGGACGTGGTGGCTCACCCTGTAAACCCAGCACTTTGGGAGGCTGAGGTGGGTGGATCATGAGGTCAGGAGTTCAAGACCAGCCTGGCCAACATGGTGAAACCCTGTCTCTACTAAAAGTACAAAAATTAGCTGGGCGTGGTGGCGTGTGCCTGTAATCCCAGCTACTCGGGAGGCTGAGGCAGAAGAATTGCTTGAACCGGGACCCAGGAGGTGGAGGTAGCAGTGAGCGAGATCGTACCACTGCACTCCAGCCTGGGCTACAGAGCAAGACTCTGTCTCAAAAAAAAAAAAAAATGCTTGTGGAAGCTGGGTGCAGTAGCTCATGCCTGTAATCCCAGTACTTTGGGAGGCCGAGGTGGGTAGATCACCTGAGGTCAGGAGTTCGAGACCAGCCTGGCCAACATGGTGAAACCACATCCCTACTAAAAATACAAAAATTAGCCGGGCATGGTGGCATGCACCTGTAATCCCAGCTACTCGGGAGGCTGAGGCAGGAGAATCGCTTGAACCTGGGAGGCGGAGGTTGCCGTGAGCCGAGATAGCGCCACTGCACTCTAGCCTAGGTGACAGAGTGAGACTCCGTCTCAAAAAAGGAAAAAAAAATGCTTGTGGAATGAATATGTATTCACCGTATTCATACCTCGTGTATAGAAGGTGTTCAATGAATTTGCTAAGCAAATGAACCCAAAGAAACCTGAAGTCATGTAAAATTATTGCAGGCTCTTCCCTCCTGTGTCATCCAACAACAAACCATGCCTCACAGGTCTCAATATGGCCAGCTGGTTAAGTTCAGGGACCCCAGATGATCCTAACTGCCTGGGTTGGAATCCTGGCTGATGCTTTCCACCTGTGAGACCTAATGGACGCTGCCCAACCACCCTGTGCCTCAGGGTCCTTGTAGGTAAAGTGAGGATAACGGAAGTAATGACCACAGAAGGCTGTTGTGAGGACGAATGAACTCGTACATATACACTACTTAAAATACAGCTAAGGCTCCAGAAAGGGCAGCTGTCATTTCTGGCACAGAGCCAGACCTCTGGACAGCCCCTCCTGCTTTTACACCGCCTCTTACCCGATGCAGGGTCACTGTGCCCCTGCTCTCGGCAGCCTCCAGGCAGCCCTTCCTGTCAAGCAGGTTAGGTCTTCATCACAACCCTGAGCACCAAGCTAGCGAGCCAAGAAATCGGGTGGCAATAATAACCCCACATATGGCCCTCAGGAGAACAAAACTCCCACAGACATCCCGGGAGACTGAAGGTGAGCCTCCAGCTTCCCTGTGGCTACCGAGGGATGAATGGAAGAGGAAGGGTGTCAGAGCCAGCCCGAGGGGCAGACTTGAAAAGATGGTGGAATGAAAGGGGCACAGCCTCTCACCCCCTCATTTAACCTCCTACCCCCGGGCAGGAGAGAACAGATCCAGGCTCCAGGGGAACACACTGAGGCGGTCTGAGGGCCTGAGACAGATGGCACAGCACAGGGATGTGGAGACCTCTGGACCTCCTACCCCAACTCAGGCCCCATGACCTGCACGTATCCCCCTGGCTCTTCCAACCCCCAGGGCCCGGGCTGAGGGAACAGGAACCTCACAGGGGCTCTCCTGCAGCAGCCTGACATGACTGTGTGGATCTCATTACTCAGGCCAGACCCCAGCCTTGAAGCTGACTTTAAACCCTGCTCTTCTTGCCTCTGATCTCTCTGGGATGGCCCAGACCGGTTTCCCAGCTGGTAACAGACGGGAGGGTCCAGTCTCTTCCCCAACCCCAGCAAGTAACTTGGGAGAGTCAGATCCCAAAACCCTTGGAGCAGAAGCAAGAAGAAAGGGGTAGCTGTCAAAGGGAGAGAGAAACCTAGGGTGAGAGACAGGAAGTTGCTGAACAGAAGAGAGGATGGAGTTCATGCCTGCAGTCCCAGCACTTTTGGAGGCTGAGGTGGGAGAATAGCTTGAGGCCAGGAGTTCGAGACCAGCCTGGGCAACATAGCGAGACCACCATCTCTACAAAAAGAAAAAAAAGTAGGCTGGTTTGATGTGGTGTGCCTGTAGTCCCAGACGCTAAGGCAGGAGGATCCCTTGAGTTCAAGAGTTTGAGGCTACAGTGAGCTATGATTGTGCCACTGCACTCCAGCATGGACAATGAGCAAGACCCTGTCTCTTAAAAAAGAAAGAAAGAAAGAAAAACAAAAAAGCGAGATGGGGGAGAGAGAAATATGGTGTGCCCCAAGCCCAGATTCTGTTTCTGGGCAGCAGGAAGCCATGGGTAGTAGATGGAGGGGAAGCACACCACGGCAATGTCAGACAGTGTCCGAGGGCAGAACTAGGAGAACATAGCTGGTCCATGCAAGACCAACAGGGGAAATGAAAGACCTGAGTCAGGGCAGAAGATGGGGTTGAAGAGAAAGGAATAGGAGACAGTGTCATTGGCTGAGGTGGCAGCTCCCAGTGTGGTGGGGAAGATGATAATATTAGAGGCTGGGCATTGACTTGGATGCGTTTTCAGAACCCCACTCTCCAAACCCATTTCTAATCAGCACAGGAGCTGTGCTTAACTTTGAGCTAGGACAGGCTCGCCCACCCCATACAGGGCCTGACAGGCCTCTATTCCCTGCCCCGGCCTCCACCCACCCGACTCCCTATATCCTTAGGCTCCTTCCACTAGCTCCTTGCTCAGCCCTGGGATCAGAGCCCTGGGAAAGCCTGCTGCAGGGAGAACCGGCAGCTCAGGGGACCTTGGCTTCTTTCTCCTGGTGACAAACAAAACTGTCCTGAGACCTGTGACATGAAGATAGGACAGCCCAGGAACAGAAATTCAGGGTGGATTGAAGAGGAGGAGAGTGTGAGCAAGGTTGAATGCAGGAGGACAGAGTTTGGAGAGCAAAGGATAGCTTCACAAGCAGGGTTTCATTGAACAACATTCAAATCCGAGAGTCCTCATACCTGATGAAAGGGCCTGGGCAAACAGAGTCCCATCGAAGGGCCAGGACTCAAGGTGACTTGTGAGGTCTAGGAACTACCCCTTCAAGGGAACAGGTGATGGGGAAGGGGAAGGGGATCTGGCTTTCAGAGCCCTGTTCACTAAGAGCATCTCACCGGCTGCTCTCCGAGCCTGCTGTTCCACAGGGTGGCAGGGGACATGGCCAGCAGTTGAGAGGGGTAAAGAGGCTGCCATAAAAGTCTAAGACAGGCTGAAGGCAAAACCAGATGGAATAACTGCCCTTGGTTTTGTCAAAAACTCCCATCTTGTTTCAGGGGGCTAAGGTGCCACAACACAGTGACTCTGGGAATTTTTGTCCAGAGAAGCATCTGGCCAGAAAATTGGGATTCCCCTCCCATGCAACCGGGCTGGGAAGGCCTTCCGCTTTCACTCCACTCACTTCCCAAGCTTCACTCCCCATCCCCAGCCACCCCCATCACTACAGTTCCATGTTCTGGGGAGACCCACAGCCCTTCTAGGAGACCCCTGAGGCAACGCAGCGGGGGACAGCTTCAGGAGCCCTTGGGCGGCTCTGTGCTGAAGATAAGTGGCTTCAATGAGGAAAGGGCAGAAACCTCCCTGAACTTCCCCTGTTGTCATCAAGTTAGCAGGGAGGAAAATAGGGCTTGCCCAGGGCCAGAAGGGAAGCAAGTGGAGGGAAACTCCTGTAGCCACTGGCTGGTGCACATGCTGCAGACTTCCACCCTCTTGCTGTGGGTGCCCCCCAAGGAAAGCCCCTGGGATTAGTGATACTGCAGGCCTTGATGAAGTCCTCCCTCCACCTCCCAAGTCACAGTAATAATAATAACCAGGTGCTCTTCTCAGTATTTCCATGTATTAACTCAAAAAATTCTCAAGCCCATTTTACAGATGGGGAAAGTGAGGCAGAAAGAGGCTACGTTCTTTTTTTGTTTGTTTTTTGTTTTTTTAGATGGAGTCTCACTTTGTCACCCAGGCTGTAGTGCAGTGGTGTGAACTTGGCTCACTGCAACCTCTGTCGCCCGGGTTCAAGCAATTCTCATGCCTCAGCCTCCCAAGAGGCTGGGATTATAGGTTCCTGCCACCACACCCAGCTAATTTTTGTATTTTTAGTAAAGACGAGGTTTCACCATGTTGGCCAGGCTGGTCTTGAACTCCTGACCTCAAGTGATCTGCCTGCCTCGGCCTCCCAAAGTGCTGGGATTATAGGCACGAGTCACCACACCTGGCCGAGCCTACATTCTAATAACTATAAAAGGCAAGGCTGGGATTCAAACCCCACAAATCTGGTTCCAGAGTCTTTGCTCCTAATCAGCACACTGCACTGCCCCCGAGGCTGACTGCAGGCTCCTCTGAGGGCACTACCATTTTCTGAGTTCCTGCTTCTGGAAGGCTGGGATGGTATGTGGAGAGACAACAGGAAGCAAGGAGAAGGTTGTGAACTTCTAGGTGGTTCATTAACAAACTTCCCAACTGGGTGTCAGAGTTCCTAAAGGCTCCCAGCCTGTTCCTCGGGATCCACACAGAGGCCCTCCAGGGTCAAAGCTGACAGTCACAGGACCATGACAGCAACCAACCCTCAGGCCCCAAGGCATGCGCCATTCAAAGGCCCCTCACCAGGACACACACAACCCAGAGGCCCCCTGACTGCCAGCCCACACCAGTGCTCCTGGGAGTCTCAGATGGCCCGGCCCAGCCCTGCCATGGAGACACCAGCCAAGAGCAGGGGCCAGCTGCCCAGAGGAGCAACAGCCAGCATGTCAGGAGGAGCGGTCCGAACACAGAGGATTTCAGGGGGCCTCAGATCCCAAGCAAACCGCAGCAGGAGGCAGGGCAGGGTGAGTGGGCTTGGGGGATGGAGTCAGTTCTGGCACAGAGGTCCCTGGGGCTCAGAAAGCGAAGGATGCCCTGCACGGGGGACTGGCAGGCTGGCATCCCAGACCTGTATGTGGCTGCCTTGCTGTTACCATTCAGATCTCAGCTGAGCTGTCATATCTCAGGGACTTTTGATCCCCAGTCCAAAATAGCCTCTCTGTCACTCACATCATTCCATTTTATTTTCTACATAGCACTTTCACTTTCTGATATGTTGCTACTTATTTATGGTCTGTCTCTCCTCAACTAGAATGAAAACTTCATGAGAGCAGGGGCACTGTCTTGTTCACTGCTGTTTAGTCAGTGCCTAGAGTGGTGCCTGGCAATAATACCTAGTAATACTTGTGGAATGAATGGATGGATGAGTGGGCCCAAACAGGCCCAGGCCCTTAAACACTGATGAGGGCAGGTATAAACAGCTAGCTGCCTCGGTCTCTCTTCCCTCCTTTCTTGAGAAATATAGCCTTCTAAAACATTTAATTCTAGCATTTAATTTTTTTTCTAATTATAAAAGCAACATGTGCTCACAGCTGAAATTTAAACATTACAGAATGACATAGAAAGCAAAAGTTCCCTGTAATCACACATCTTAGAGAAAGTCACTATTAATGGTATGTTGTGTAGTCATCCGGATTCAATTTTATTTTTTAAAAAGCCAATCCATGCATCATAGAAGAAGCATTCATAGGCCGGGCATGGGGGCTCACACCTGTAATCCCAGCATTTTGGGAGGCTGAGGCGGGAGGACTGCTTGAGCCCAGGAGTTTGAGACCAGCCTGGGCAACATAGTGAGACCTCATTTCTAATAAAGAAAAAAAAAGAAAAAGCACTCATAATTCTGAACTAACAGCGATTACCATTTCTCCTTTGCAATATTTTCCTATGTGTGTATTTTACAAGTCACCATAATATACTTATTCTGCAACCTGCCATTTTTACTTGTCATAACTGTTTTTCCAAGTTGTTATATAGCCTCTGTGCTCATTATTATAATGGCTGTGTAATATTCCAGCAAGCGGAAAACTGTAATTTACTTAACCTAGATGTCCAAAGGGAACAGTTGTTTCCCATTTCTACTACTACAGATGATATAACGAGAATTACCTTTAATGCCTGTAATGGAAGAATTCAGCCCTTTTCTTCTCTGGTACTATTTCCTAATAATATATCTTAATGGATAATTCCAGAAGGAGAATCACTGAACCAAACGGTACAACAGCCTTAAGGCTGATGGCATAAATTGCTCTGGGGAGATGTGCCTCCCATCTGAGGAACGACGTTCCCACAGAGGCACCCATGGCCATCTCTTTACCCCCAACTCCCCTCCTACAGTCTAGGCTTGCTCACACCACCCTGGCTACAAATCAACTCAAGAACACACTTCCTGAGAAACTCTCCAGTCAAACTGACTTTGTAAGCCCAGGCTGAGTGGAAAACAGATTCTGGCCCTGAATTATAAACTGTCAACTAGGAGAGTCAAGATCTACCTAAAGTGGAAAAAGACCTGATTACCCCTTTTCTACTCCCTGCAAATTCCTGCATGGAATCTGAAGCTCTGGGTTCCCATGGACCAGCCTAGGAACTCCAAAAAAAGCTTGTCTGTTCAAGATTGCAAAAGCCCAGCTCTGCCTGCCATGCCTTCTGGGGAGCTTCCTTCCTGCAGGCCTCTGATCCCACCAGGCTACGGGCCCTGCACAGACATAACAGCCTTCAGGCCAGACAGGCCTCTGGGGGTTGGGAAAGCAGCCAATTGTCATTTTTTAAGGCATCATCAAGGAAAAGCCAGGGGCTGAGGCTGGAAAGAAAGGCCTGTGAGGACAGGCAGGGCTGTGCAGTTAGGAGCCTCTCACCCTACCTCGAGCTTGTCTCGCTGAGGAGGAGATGCTGCTGCTGATATGTGACAAAAGCAAGAGGACATGCTCCTCCAGATCCCCTGGTGGTCACTCTTATGGCAGCTAAGGCTCACAAATCCCCCCACCTCCCAGGGCCCTGGATGCCCTACTCCAGGCCTCCTAGACCAGCAGCACATGCATTGCTCATGGCTTCTGGGCAGAGTCCAGTCCCAGGTGATGCATGGTCCTCACTGCACAGATCTGAAGCCTGACGGCCAAAGTAGATGCTGTTTCCCAGGTGTGAGTGCTCGCTTCACTCACGCCAGACAATCTGAATGATATGGTTTGGCTGTGTCCTCACCCAAATCTCATCTTGAATTTCCACCATGTTGTGGGAGGAACTGGGTGGGAGGTAATTGAATCATGGGGCCAGGTCTTTCTCATGCTGTTCTTGTGATAGTGAATAAATCTCATGAGATCTGATGGGTTTTTGTTTTGTTTTGTTTTGAGACAGAGTCTTGCTCTGTTGCCAGGCTGGGGTGCAATGGCACGATCTTGGCTCACTGCAACCTCTGCCTCCCAGGTTCAAGCGATTCTCCTGCCTCAGCCTCCTGAATAGCTGGGACCACAGGTGCATGCCACAATGCCCAGCTAATTTTTGTATTTTTAGTACAGATGGGGTTTCACCATGTTGGCCAGGATGGTCTCAATCTGTTGACCTTGCGATCCACCCACCTCGGCCTCCCAAAGTGCTGGGATTACAGGCGTGAGCCACAGTGCCCGGCTGATCTGATGGTTTTATAAGGGAGAGTTTCCCTGCACAAGCTCTCTTTCTGCTTGCTACCAACCTTGTAATATGTGACTTGCTTCCCCTTGCCTTCCACCATGATTGTGAGGCTTCCCCAGACACGTGGAATTAACCCTCTTTTTCTGTATACATTTTCCACTCTTACGTATGTCTTTATCAGCAGCACGAAAACAAACTAATACACTGGGTCTGGCCTGGATTTTAGAGGCCATGTGGCCATAAGACGGCTCCCGCATGTGATGGCCCAATATTGCTTGACATTCCCCTCCCATTGCCCTGTGACAGGACCTTGGATGGGGAACAGACTCAGAACTAGAACCTCCAGACTCGTGCCCATGCTGATGAGGTGCCGAGCAGGCAGGATCGCTGGGCTGGTGATCCCCTGGGTGCTTGTAACATACTCACTTATCACACCCTTGAGTGTGCAGCTCACAACAGACATCAGGATCACTGTCCAGGAGTGTCCTGGGTTAACCTTTGTTGGCTGGGCCTCAGTGCCATTCTCAGCAACGTAGGCAAGCATCAGCCCTAGGGCTCAGCTGATCCTTGGCTGGGGGGCTGGCAGCTTCCATGTGTCCCTGGGAATAAAAGAGGAGGCTTTTATTAGCTTAAACTGCCCCCAGCAGATCCAAGAAAAACATTGCAAGGGCCTGGGCTCTGGGCTCAGCACCAGACACTCATCCCACCCTGGCCACCAGGGCCCCTTCCCGGAACCTACCCCCTCCTCTTTGCATCCAGTTTGCTCAGGTCTGATTAATCCAGCCACAAAAGTCTGGGATGGTCCTGGACAATCCACATGTCCAGGGTTAGGACTTAGGGCTTCTTGCCTAAATGTGTGAACACTTGTGAATCTGAGAGGGGATATAATTTTAGAATCCAGCTCCATTCTCATTCAGCTTCAAATTACATTCTCACCTTCACCCTGTAGTGGGTACATCTGTTCTCAAGGGCGGTCAGAACCTCATGGAAGGCAGACAATGTAGGACATTCGTTTCAGCACTTTGAAAGCAGAGAACAACCACTCGTGCAGAAAAACAAAATGTGTGCTAAACCTTTCTACGTACTATTCTACCTCTCTAATATTTATTCATCTCATTTTATTATTTCACCATTATTATGGTTGAGGCCCTTCCTATGAACATCAGTAACCAGCTACAAGCTAATACAAATCTTACTTTATAATGCCCTTTGCCATGTACTTTAAAAAAAAAAATCAAGTAGAGACGGGTCTTGCTATGTTGACCAGGCTGGTCTCAAGCTCTTGGCCAACCCTCCCACCTCAGCCTCCCAAAGTGCTAGGATTATAGGCGTGAGCCACTGTGCCTGGCCAGCCATGTACAGCCATGTTTTTACTACTATCCCTAAGACTTGACTATTTAATGGAGATTCCAACATTTTTTGTTTTAATATGAAAGTGCTAAAGCTTCCCTGAAAACCCCCTGGATACAACACCATCTGCATATGCCCAAGGACAGCACTCAGGCCCAGCATGGCCCTCTGGGACAGCCCAGCCACTCAGAAGCTGAGAACAGTATGTGGCTGGGGGTGGGAGCTGGCACTCCCCTGTGGATGACCAGGCAGGATGGACCAGAGGTGCTGGTCTGTGCTGATGCCCATGTCCACCTTCCCCACTCCCCTCTGACCACCAGGGTCTCTGAGTAGAGGCCGCTTGGGCCCTTGCTCAAGCTGACAAC
Organism: Homo sapiens; assembly: GCF_000001405.40. Lineage (NCBI taxonomy): Eukaryota > Metazoa > Chordata > Mammalia > Primates > Hominidae > Homo > Homo sapiens. The sequence continues at coordinate 67,488,289 of NC_000014.9, forward strand.
CTGTGAGGCAGCCAGGCAGCCGAGGAGAAGTGAAAGGGCAGGAGTGGGGGAACTGAAACTCACTGTATGGTGTGGTTTTGGGGGGTGCCCCCCTGGGTCTCCCCCCGGGGCCTCTGCACTGAGAGCATCACAGTGGGCTGCTGTGCTCAGCCTTGCCTCCCCCTCCCCAGCTCCTTCACAAACGGGACCCTCCAACCCTCCCTGATCTGTCCATCTTACCGGCTTCTTCCAGCCTGCCGGATGGCGGACAGGGGTCACCTTGACACGTACCTATCACCTTGAGGAAAAGGTTTTAACGGAGCATGTCCGAACCCTCTGGGACTCTCTCTCCACCAGCACCACAAGGACCATGTGCCTGGGGAGTTCAATCCCACCTGTGGAGACTTCTCCCCACCCTAGGCCCTCAGCCACATCCACGGCACAAGTCAGAACTAAAACAGAAACAGAAACCAAAGACCACATCCTGCCGGCACAGCCTGCGGGTTACTGCAGCCAGCTCTGGGAGCCCACTGCCTGCTGAGGTGCAGCCCTGGCAGATGAAGCCCCAGCACTCAGAAAGGCTCCTTTTGAGGGCAGTGTCCCACCAGACACCTCCCACTTCCTGGTCTGCAGGCTTTTTCCCCAGGAAAAACTTAGTTGCAGGGAGGATGAGATGATGGTGCACCTCTCCCTCCAAGTGCATAAGCTGTCCCTAGGCCTCACTGACACTCCCTATCCCCCAAGAGTAGATCCCAGGGGACAGGGGACATGAGGCTCCTTTGAGGACTGCAGGACCTGAACCAGAGTTTCTTGGAACATATGAATGAATGATGAGCCCTTATAGCAACTAACATATGGATGGAACTTAGATCATCTCTCATGATTTTCTCAGGCTCCTGAGGGGCAGGAAGGGCAGAAATGGTCACCTCTATTTTAGAAATGAAAACACAGAGGGTTCAGGACATTAAGAGATTTGGCCAAATCCAAACATTTGATTCAAATCCCAGTCCTCAGCCTCCAGAATCACCCTGTCCCCATACAATGTGCCTTCGAACTGCTTCCCACCCAAATCTCATCCTTAAGGCACATGTCTGCATGCAAGGGTCTTCAAGTCAGTGTAAACTACTTAGTCCATTCCAAGTAAGCTGCTTATTTTGCAAACTTATAGCTGAGTTTGTCCATGCAGCTTCTGGTCAATATGCCTGAGACGCTGCTGGGAGCGTGAAGAAGCAGAGACCACCGGCCTGTTTCAAGCACTGTCATCTCTCCTGCCCTCCTCTGCAGCCACCATTCTGACTCCTTCTTCCAGACCCTGCTCCCTCCTCACTCCTTTGCGATGCCGTCCCACAACCTCCAGGTCATTCCATCACTGATGTTCCCAGGGGGATCTGACCATCCTTCAACTGAAACATGTCATCCCATCTTAAAATTCTTTCTATGTAGCCGGGCGCGGTGGCTCACGCCTGTAATCCCAGCACATTGGGAGGCCGAGGCGGGCGGATCACGAGGTCAGGAGATCGAGACCATCCTGGCTAACATGGTGAAACCCCATCTCTACTAAAAGCACAAAAAATTAGCCAGGTGTGATGGTGGGCACCTGTAGTCCCAGCTACTTGGGAGGCTGAGGCAGGAGAATGGCGTGAACCTGGGAGGCAGAGCTTGCAGTGATCTGAGACCACGCCACTGCACTCCAGCCTGGGCGACAGAGCGAGACTCCGTCTCAAAAAAAAAAAAAAAATTCTGTCTATGTGTCTGTTTCCCCCACCACGCTATGAATTTCTTGAGATCATAAAATTTCTGCTGGATGGATGGACAGGCAAGGTGGAGAAGGGCCCAGCTGCATTTAAATTCTTGGGCGACTGAAACATCCAATGTTACTAATCAAACATAGCAATGTCTTGTGTTTTTCTCTAATTTATAGGCCACCATCACAGATGAGCCATACATGTTGGTTTACTAAAGGCAAGGCTGTCTCTGCAGGTGAAGGAAGCAAGGAGTGTGCTCACTCTCCTTTCTCCCATCTCCAGGAGCCATTGCACCACCAGAGAATGAAGAGAGGCAGAGTGGGCGGCCTGGGTTTGCACAATACAGAAGGCATGTCCAACATCACGCAAGGAAGACTGGGGCAGGAACAGACTGTTCCAGGCATCAGGGGAGATACTGCAGCCTCCTATGTGGGCAAGGGGCCAAGCGCAGGTTCAGGTCAGAGAATAACAACTCCTGTTCTGTTATT